>NC_000004.12:184678956-184981987 GCF_000001405.40 Homo sapiens | reverse complement strand
CAAGCAATCCTCTTGCCTTAGCCTTTTAAAGTGCTGGGATTACAGGCTATGAACCACTGTGCCCTGTCTTATGTGGCTATTTAAATTTATTTATTTATTTATTTATTTATTTATTTATTTAGCGACAGAGTCTTACTCTGTCACCCAGGCTGGAGTGCAGTGGTGCAATCTCAGCTCACTGCAAGCCTCCCAGGTTCAAGCGATTCTCCTGTCTTAACCTCCTGAGTACCTGGGATTGCAGGTGTATGCCACCACGCCTGGCTAATTTTTTGTATTTTTACTAGAGATGGGGTTTCACCATGTTGGCCAGGCTGGTCTCGAACTCCTGACCTCAAGTGATCTCCCCACCTCAGCTTCCCAAAGTGCTGGGATTACAGGCATAAGCCACTGCGCTTGGCCTTAAATTTAATTTTTAATTAACAAAACTTGAAAAAAATAAATTCAGGTTCTCATTTGTACTAACTACATTTCCAGTACTCAGTAGTGACTTGTGGCTAGTGTATGTGACAGCACAGATGCAGAACAGTTCCCGCCATGGCAGGAAGTTCAATTGTACCACGCTGGGCAGTGCTGAGCTCTGGCCTTTGGGGTGGAGTGATGGGAGTCAATGAGGCAGCTTATTCCTGACACTTCAGAGGTCAGGAAGCAGAGAGGTCCTATAGTCGCCTATGTTTTGTGGTGGGATGTAAGAGGCAGCAACAGGACTGCCCTCCCTCACTTCTGCAAAACACTCGTGGTTGCTCCCTTCCATGTGCCAGGATTCCTGAAAGCCCCGTGGACACTCCTTTAAAGCACTGCCTCCAAAGAAGGCCTTGTAAAAATACACGTGTGATTTTAAAATGTTCATGCACTTGGATCCGATGATTCTACTTCTGGAAATATATCCAAAGGATATACTCATAGATATTCAAATAGAGATCCATAAAAGGAATATTCTACATTACATTATTATTTTTCTCGGGTCAGATTTAGGTGGGGTATACTTTACATACAATAAAATTGATCCTTATAAGGTAGACAGCTGGATAAGTTTTGCCAAACGTATACAGTCATGTAACCACCCCCATAATAAAAAAGCTTCCCATCATTCCAAAAAGTTCACCCATGCTACCCTTTGTGGTCAATCCCCTGCCGCAATCCCTAGCCCCTGGCAGCGCTGATCTGCTTTGCAGCTTGTAGTTTTGCCTTTTGTGAACGTCACACAAATGGAATTACAGGTGTGGCCATCTGCACCTGGCTTCTGTCATTTAGCAAATGTTTTTCGATGCATCCATGGTATTGCATTCATGGGTTGTTTGCTCCTTTTATTGGTGAGTAGTATTCCATTGTGTTGTCCTATAGTTTGTTGACCCATTTTCCTATCGGTGGGCATTTGGGTTGTTTCTGGTGTCTGGCAATCAGGAATAAAGCAGCTAAAACATTCATGTGCAGGTCTGTGTGGACCACAGGGCGCAGACATGCAAATGAATGTTGGTCTTCACATGAATGATTCCAGAAGTTGAATCATTTATTTACAGAGCGAGCTTCCAAGAAAAACCAGAATGTCTAACATCTAACATCTGATACCCTAAAGAATGGAGCAACCAAATGTAACCACTGACATTGCATTTTGAAAGGCTACTTGTGGCGTGGAAATATTTCACTTGTTTAGTGTTAAAAAGCAGAACACAGAACAATACGCTTTCAGGAGGAAACAATGGTCATCTCTGGCTCGTGGAGGACTTTTACTTTGTTCTTTCTTGACCATTTCTCTGTTGGGGTCTCTGAGCTGTCAGGAACCAGAAAACCATCCAGGTCTCTTACATGATGAGGTTGACCGTAAGAGGCTGCGGGACAACAAGGAAGGCAGGAAGGAATCTTGTCTGCAGAGGAGGCTGGAAGGGGCCATGTGGATGATGGCAACAGCAGCCCCTCAGAGATCTGCAGGAGCAGCAGGCTGCAGGCCCGGGGGGGCTTCCAGACACCCTGCCTGCTCTGTGCTCTCTCTTCCGTCTGTCCATCAGTCCACAAACTCTGAAGGAGTGACTTCCATCTGCCAGGCACGGCTTATCTCCCGGCATGTGGACGTGAACAAGGCACACTTGGCCGCTTCCCTCATGAAGCTGGGAGTCTAGTGTTGTCTCTCTCTCTCTCTCTCTCTTTCTCTCTCCTTCTGCTCCCACCAGCTAAACCCTCCCCTTCCCTTTTTTCTCTTCTGTGGCTTCTGCTTCGTTCCTTCCCTCTGCGGGTCGTAGGCAAATGCTCTCCTGCACCCCTCAGTCCTGCGAGACGGTCCTGCGTGTCTCGTCGCTCAGCTCCCGACAAGAGGGCCTGAGTGCAGTGCAGTCAGGGCAGAGCCTTACAGGAGCCCACGCTGCAGCCACGCCAGCCGGGGTTGCTGCCTTTGAGACAGGCACTCTGCCCTGGGGCTGACAGGATGCTGGCACCCAAGCTACTTCTGGATCCTTCTATCTAACTGTGTATTAATCAACAAGAGTGTATACATTTTCTGAATTATTTTGGGGACCAATCTGTTGAGTTCCAGGGCCTGCTCCATTCACAGCCATGCGGACGGGCTTCTCACCCACAGTTTGCCATGAAACAAGAAATAGACATAGAAGAAATCTGACCCAAGAAAAGTAATAATGTCACACAGAAAGTCCCTTTTACAGGTCTCTATTTGAATATCTATGAGTATATCCTTTGGATACATTTCCAGAAGTAGAATCATGGGATCCAAGTGCATGAACATTTTAAAATCACACGTGTATTTTTAGAAGGCCTTCTTTGGAGGCAGTGCTTTAAAAGAGTGTCCATGAGGCTTTTGGGAATCCTGGCACGCAGAAGGTAGCAGCCACGAGTGTTTTGCAGAAGTGAGTGAGGGCAGTACTGTTGCTGCCTCTTGCATCCCACCACAAAGCATGAGTGACTGTGGGACCGCCCTGGTCAATCCAGCGGGCAAGGGCAGGGGCAGAGTCAACAGACACACAGCTCAGTAGACTGTGGGTAAGAAACCCCCTTGGGACAGCTGTGAATGGGGCAGGCCCCAGAACACAACAGACGGGTCCCCAATATAATACAGAAAATGTATAAACTCTCATTGATCAATGGGTACAAATATGCAGTCAGATAGAAGAAATGAGACCTAGTGTTCGATAGATCAGTAGAGTGACCATATTTGACAATAATCTACTGCACAACTCAAAATAGCTAGAAGAGAATGATTGAAATGTTCCCAGCATAAAGGAAAGATAAATATTTAAGGTGAGGGATAACCCAATTCCCCGACTTGACCTTTACACAATATAGCAATGTGTCAAAATATCACATATGCCCTGAAGATTTGTACAGCTCTTATGTAACACTAAAAAAGATTAAAATAATATTACAACATTTTTTAAACTGGAAGCTTTTTATAATGAGCACCTGCTACTTTTCAAATTGGAGATGGGGGCAGTAGAAAATAATATTGCACAAGAAAAAAACCTATTTCCTGAGAAGGATAAGAACATTCTAGTGAGTCCTGGCTAAAGATATAAGCAGACGTGACTCCATCCATGTTGGCTGTCTCCCAGGAGCAGAGGGCGAGGCTAAGAGAAGGGTTCAGGGAACTCGGTCTGTGGAAGGTTAGAGACAGAAAGAGGACGGAACACTGGGACCTCGGGGAGGGCGGAGCTGGGGGAGGGCTGAGAGCATGAACTCACTTCTTATGTTCTTTCTTGTTGTTTTTTGCACTATAAATATATTTTGTTATCCATGAATAAAGCACTTGACATTTACTAAATATTTATAATTCTTCTCATTTTTACTTTTCGAGGCAATTTTAATTGAAAAAAATGTTTCCAGCTTTACTGAGGTATGATTAACAAATACAAATCATATATATTTGGTGTATACAATGTGATCTTTTGATACATATATATATATACACTTTGTGAATATATACACGATCAAACTAATTAACATATCCATCACCTCCCATAGTTACCTTGTGTGTGTGTGTGTGTGTGTGTGTGCTGAGAACACTTCAGCTGGTGACTGTAGCTAATAATCACGGATTGTGTACTTGAAATTTGCCAAGACAGCAGATCAAAAGCGTTCCTCTGTTGCCCAGGACAGCCCTGAAGGAGGTTTGAAAGCATGGCCATGCTGTTCCTAACAGAGCCCACATCCATTAGATTTGCTATTTTGAAACTTTTTTTTCTGTAGAGATTTACACTTCACACCTTCCCTAAACACAAATAATTCTTTCAGTTGAAAACTTGAACGATTTACCTATCTCTACTGTTTTCATTCTTATCATTGTATAAACATAATTTTCCCCAGTTGTAATCAACGAATATGTGTCTTTGTTCTTTTTATTCATACATACTTTTCCACATATTGACAGAGTCCATATATGTATTATTTTATTTTATTTATTTTAATTTGTTTTGGAGACGGAGTCTTAATGTCCCCCAGCCTGGAGTGCAGTGGTGCGATCTCAGCTCACTGCAACCTCCACCTCCCAGGCTTAGGTGATCCTCCTGCCTCAGCCTCCCTCCCAAGTAACTGGGACCACAGGTATGTGCCACCATGCTTGGCTAATTTTTTGTATTTTTGGTGAGATAGGGTTTCTTCGTGTTGGCCAGGCTGGTCTCAAACTCCTGAGCTCAAGTGATCTTCCTGCCTCGGCGTCTCCCAAAATACTGGGATTACAAGAGTAAGCCACCATACCTGGCCTACATATTATTTTAATGGCTTTGAATATATTTTTTCAAATGAATATATTCTTTCAAATGAATATATTCTTTCAAATGAATGGCTGGGCATTTGAATTGCTTACAGATGTTTTTGCTATTATGAAAAGCATAACTTCAAACTATGCATCTAACAAAGGTGCATATATATATATATATATATATATATATATATATATATATATATATAAGCATCTATAAGGAACTTAAATTTACAAAAGAAAAAACAACCCCATTAAAAAGTGGGCAAAGGATATGAACAGACACTTCTCAAAAGAAGACATACATGCAGCCCACAAGCATATGAAAGAAAGGTCAACATCACTGGCCATTAGAGAAATGCAAATCAGAACCACGGTTAGATACCATCTCACACCAATCAGGATGGCTATGATTAAAAAGTCAAAAAATAACAGATGCCGACGATGTTGGGGAGAAAAGGGAACACTTACACACTGTTGGTGGGAGTGTAAATTAGTTCAATCATTGTGGAAAGCAGTATGGCGATTCCTCGAAGAGCTGAAAGCAGAACTACCATTCCACTCAGCAATCCCATTACTGGGTATACACCCAGAGGAATAGAAATCACTCTACTTGCATAAAACACATGCATGCAAATGTTCACTGCAGCACTATTCACAATAGCAAAGACATGGAATCAACCTAAATGCTCACCAATGACAGACTGGATAAAGAAAATGTGGTACATACCCACTGTGGAATATTATGCAGCCATAAAAAAGAATGAGATCATGTCTTTTGCGGGAGCATGGAAGGAGCTGGAGGCCATTATCCTTAGCAAACTAACGCAGGAACAGAATATGAAATACCACATGTTCTCACTTATGAGTGAGAGCTAAATGATGAGAACTTATGAACACACAGAAGGAAACAATAGACACTGAGGTCTACTTGAAGGGGGAGGGTAGGAAGAGGGAGAGGAGAAGAAAAGACCACTACTGGGTACTGGGCTTAATACCTGGGTGATGAAATAATCTGTACAATAAACCCCCGTGACATGTGTTTCCCTGTGTAACAAACCTTCACATGCACCCCCAAACCTAAAATAAAAATTAAAGAAAAAAGAAAAGCATAACTTGAAATAATTTAAAAATTGGGCTTGTTTTCATTTTGATCAGTAATAACTATACTCTTTTAAAAACCACTTTAATATGTTTTGTTTCCTATTACAAAATTAAAATATGTTTATTGTAGACGTTTTAGAAAATATAAGCTACTTGGCATGTTTACTTACAGTCTACTTGGGGCACAATTGCAGACTCATTTTTTATTTTTTGGTTAACAGTTTGAGACTTGGCTCATCGCAGTTGGGGTCTCCTTTCCCCTCAATTGCATGATAATCCCAGGGCTCCGGAAGGGTGGGTTCTTATTCCAAACACAAGACACAGAGGATGCTGGGGAGCCTAAGCAGCCCTCCGGGGCCTGGCTGACCTGCTATCCTGCCCTCTTATTAGCTGTAGTGTCGTTGTAGAAAATTGGTATGGATTGGCCAGGCGCAGTGGCTCACACCTGTAATCCCCGCACTTTGGGAGGCCGAGGCGGGTGGATTACGAGGTCAGGAGTTTGAGACCAGCCTGGTTAACACGGTGAAACCCCATCTCTACTAAAAATGTAAAAAATTAGCCAGGTGTGGTGGCAGGCACCTGTAGTCCCAGCTGCTTGGGAGGCTGAGGCAAGAGAATCATTTGAACCTGGGAGGAGGAGGTTGCAGTGAGCTGAGATCACGGCACTGCACTCCAGCCTGGGCAACAGAACAAGACTCCATCTCAAAAAAAAAGGAAAAAAAGAAAATTGGTGTGGATCCTAGCGCAGAAGCTTCCCACACAAGTCACGGTGATGCCTGCAATCAGGCTTCCAAAGCTACTAGTGTCTTGTTTTTAAGCCTACACTCATAACTTAGCCACTGCTTCCAAAAGAGGGTGCCAAGTCTAGCAGAGAGCCCTGGCTGAGCCATGCCCTGTGGAGCTACTGGATCCATTTGCTGAGCCCACATCACCTGTCTTGACTTCTTCCCCAACGAATAGGAACCATCCCAATTCATCTAGAATGTTTTAGTAATGTTGACCTTTGAAAGGGAGCCTCGGTGATTCCCTATACAGATTTTCCTTTTCTTCTACCCACATCCCAGGGCTTTATACACCCTACAACTCACTACTTCCCAGTTATTCAGCTACAGTTGGATAAGAGACCCAATTCTAACCCATGAGACATCAGATAAAGTTTTCTGTGATTTCTGGGGAAGTTTTTCTTTCTTGATAAAGAGACAGAAGATGCCATCATTCTTTCTTTTCCCCTTTTCCTCTTTAAAGGTAGACATGGTGTCTGGAGCTATGGTAGCCATTATGTGCTGATGAGGTGACAGGCATGAGCCAACAGGGAGAGATTTTCACAGAGCCACTGGACAAATATCAATGACCACCTACACCTGAACTATGTGTTATGTTGAAGCCACTCTGAGTTGGGGTTTCTGTTAATTGCTGCTGAACCCATTCCTAATATTTTGATTATTAGAAACTAATATGCAATAAAAAACTTGCAGTTAAATCTCTGTGCATAGTTTTATAGAATAAATTCACATAAGAAAAAGTAGGGGATGTTCTGGGCTGAACTGTGTTCCTCCCCACACACAAATTTCTATGTGGAAGTCCCAACCCCCGGTACTTCAGAATGTAGCCATATTTGGAGATAAATTCTTCAAAGAGTTCATTTAGCTAAGTTAAAATGAGGCCTTTAGGGCGGCCCTAATCTAATATGGCTGGTGTCCTTTTAAGAAGAGGAAATTTAAACACAAATGTGCACGCACACACAGAGGAAAGACTATGTAAAGACACAGGGAGAAGGTGGGCCAGGCGCAGTGGCTCACGCCTGTAATCCCAGCACTTTGGGAGGCCAAGTTGGGTGGATCATTTGAGGTCAGAAGTTCAAGACCAGCCTAGCCAACATGGTGAAACCCTGCCTCTACTAAAAATACAGAAATTAGCCAGGTGCAGTGGCACATGCCTGTAATCCCAGCTACTCGGGAGGCTGAGGCAGGAGAATCACTTGAACCCGGGAGGCGGAGGTTGTGGTGAGCCGAGATTATGCCATTGTACTCCAGCCTGGGTGACAGAGGGCGACTCTGTCTCAAAAAAAAAAAAGAAGAAGGTGGCCATCCACAAGCCAAGGAAAAGGGTCTTAGAGGAAATCAACATCACAGATGCCTTTTTTTGTTTCTTTTTTAAGAGACAGGTTCTGCCATCATACCTGGCTGCAGCCTTGAACTCCTGGGCTCAAGTGATCCTCCCACCTCAGCCTCCATACTTGGCTAATTTATTTGTTTTTATTTTCAAGATGGGGGTCTCACTATGTTGCCCAAGCTGGTCTCAAACTCCTGGCCTCAAGTGATCCTCCTGCCTCAGCCTCCCAAAATACTGGGATTACAGACGTGATCCATCATGCCTGCCTGCTGATACCTTGATCTCAGACTTCTTGCCTCCAGAACTGTGAGAAAATATCTGTTTTTTAAGCCACCCAACCTGTGGTACTGTGCATGTGTGTGTGTGTGGCAGCCCTAGCAAACTAATACAGGGGACCAAAAATATTTTTCTTATCTGTAAAATAAGAATAATCATATTATAAAGTACTTAGGTGGATTAAATGAATTAATGCATTAAAACATACAGATTGATATGTGATATGCAGTAAACATTTAGTAAATGATGGCTGTTACTACTAGGAAACCTGAAGACAAAATTTTCTGGACAGCTCTTTCCTGTCAACTTTTCCAAAAATTAACTGAGGACTTTGCTGGCCTCAAAAAGGACGACTGAGCTCAAGAGAGCGGTGATGTTATTGTAGCAGAGTCGGTGCTATGTGGTAATTAGACCATTTTCTTCTCCTGTGGAGGTGCAGGAAGGATGCCTTTCCCAGGTTCTCCCTCACGCCTCTCGATGGTACCACGCAGGTCGCTCTTGCCATGGAAGGTGAGCAGGAGTGCCATGCCATTTCCGGTTTGTGGCTGTGTAGATCAAGCGCCTTCTCTGTCTTCTCTCTCTTTTCTACTCACATGCCTAGAAGGAAGGAACTCCAAGATGGTGAAATACCAAGAAGGAAGGAGACCCTGAATGACTTTTGGAGGAGGGCCAGGCAGGAAAGCCGCCTGACCTACAAGAGCAAGACAGAATCCTAGGTTGAGTGAAGCCATTGAGATTTCAGGATTTATCCTTAGGGCAGTTGCCTTTGCTTTATCTGACTAATACAATCAATGTTCTCTTCTATGAACTCCTGACAATACAACACTACTACCAGTGAGTGAGGTGTTCAGAGTGAGGGGACTTTGCAAATTCATGGCTAGGTTTCAATCAATCTGCTATAAATTGATATGGTTTGGGGCAAATGGGAAGAAGAGGATATTCAGTTGTTGTTACTTATATTGTCGTGTGTAGGATGCTGTATTTCCTTGATCCTCTCTTCTTTGGGGCAAAGAGCAGACTCATACTCAGAGGATAAGTGAGAGTGGATAGGAAATGAATTCCACAATCATCTTTATATATGGGTCTCTTTTTGGGCCCAGCCCAGTGAGATTGGATCTGATTATTTGTTGATGTTATTTATGTCTGCAATAGATGTCTGAGAATACAGCATAAAGGTGCCCAGGTGCTCGGCCCTGAACTGAGGTGGAGAGAGGGCTGAAGGCTCACCTTTTTTGCATTGCCATGGACCACGCAGCCATGGAGCAGGGAGGGGTTGACAACGCCAGGAGTTCAGCCTGACACCTTCCACTCATGCCTCCTTGGACCCTTCCTGTGCTAATTATGGTCCTCTTTGGAAATGAAAAACCAAACATATGACAGCAGATACAGACAATGAAATCCTATCCAGCCTTAAGGAAGAGTATTCTGACACATGCTACAACGCGGATAAGCCTTGAGGACATCATGCTGAGTGAAATCAGCCAGTCACAAAGGACAAACACTGTGGGATTCCACTCATATGAGGTTCCTAGAAGAGCTGAATTCATAAGTACCAAAAACAGAAAGGTGGTTGCCAGGGGCTGGAGGGAGGGAGAGAGGAATGGGGTCAGCTTCCGTTGGGAAGATGAGAAAGCTCTGGAGATGGATGGTGCTGATGGTAGCACAACAATGTGAACATACTTAATGCCACCAAACTGCTCACTTAATAATGGTTAAAATGGTAAAATTTGTGTTAAGTATTGTTTACCATGATAAAACTTTAAAAAAAAAAACACCCTGAAACCATTTGCACAGCCTCTCTTACATGGAGGAAGGTAACCTGGAGGGGTAGAGAAACGTGGTTAGTGTCATGGGAACACAAAGGAAGGTGACAATCCTGTCCTTGAGGGGCTTGCAGGTTGGTGGGGGAGAGATGGATTTGACAACAATAACTGGGAAAATGCAGATGCAGAAGGAAGGAAAGAGGGAGGAAGAATCAGAACTCAGAGGAGGGAGCTATTGGCGCCTGAGGGCTCAGGGCAGGAATTCTGGAAGAAAAGATGCTTGCCTGGGGCTCCCATGGTGTATTAGTCTGTTTTCAAACTGCTGATAAAGACATACCTGAAGCTGGGCAATTTACAAAAGGAAGAGGTTTATTGGACATACAGTTCCATGTGGCTAGGGAGGCCTCACAATCATGGTGGAAGGTGAAAGGCACATCTCACATGGTGGCAGACAAGAGAAGGGAACTTGTGCAGGGAAACTCTCCTTTTAAAAATCATCACATCCTGTGAGACTTATTCACTATCATGAGAACAGCACAGGAAAGACCAGCCCCTATGATTCAATTACCTCCCGCTGGGTGCCTCCCACAACACATGTGAATTCACAATGAGATTTTGGTGGGGACACAGCCAAACCATATCACATGGTCTGGTGGGATCTTACATTTTTACGAGTGGGAGTGAGGCTGAGCTCAGCGAGGTGGGGACCAGAGCAAAACACCTGCTGGGAGCTGGTGCTGAGGCCCTAGAGGAGCAACCTAGGCAGAAGAGTGGGTTCCTAATGAGAGCAGAGGGAGGTGGCCGTGGCTACAGACTATGGGAGTCCTGACTTTTTTTTTTAAAGCGAACTTTCTAATTTTGGAATAAATTTAGAATTTCCAAAAAGTTGCAAAGATAATACAGAGAGGTCCCATATACCCCTCAGCCAGTTTCCCCTAGGGCTAAGATCTTACATTACTGTGGTACATTTGCACAACTAATGAGCCAATATTGATATATTCTTAACTGAAGTCCTCACGTTATGAAGATTTCATTAGTTTTCCCTACTGTCCTTTTGCAGGATTCCATCCAGAATACCCAATTTGCACCCATCCAAAGTTGCAAAGCTATTCCAGTACACTCCACAATCAGTTTCCCTTATTATTATGAATATCTCATATTAGGGTGGTACATTTGTTACAATTAATGAACCAGTATTGATACATTATCATTAACTAAAGTCCATGCTGGATTTGGATCTCATGAATTTGTACCTAATGCCCCTTTTCTGTTCCAGGACCCCACACTGGATTTAGTTGTCACGTCTCCCTCAACTCCCCTTGATGTGACAGCTTCTCAGACTTCCCTTGATTTTGATGACCCAGACAATTTGAGGAGTCCTGGTCAGGGATTTTGTAGCACAATCCTTAATTTGGGTTGATTTGATATTTTCCTTATGATATTTTCTCATTCAGCTCTCACAGGGGTTCTCAGTTTTTGGAGAAGCATGGAGGTCCAGTACCCCGCTCCTCACACCATACATCAGTTTGCCTTCTGGTTTCTATGTTATCTTCATCACCCGGCCAGAGGACTGGTTCTCCACTGTAAAGTTATTTTTTTCATTTCCTGCACTCTAGTCTTTGGAGGTAGGCATTGGACAGTTTTAAGTGAAGAACATGACTTGATGAAAGTGGCATTTTGGGATGAAAAGTCCCTCCACGTCTGATGTGCTGGGCGGGAATATCTCAACCTTCAATAGCTTTCATGCTGGACTACATGCTACATGCCACAGACTTCACACATATGGCGGCATTTGATCCTCATGTTGACGCCCAGTAGAAAGATGAGGAAACGGAGGCACTGGGAGGTTAAATAATCTGTTAAAGGTCATGCAACCAGCGAGTGATCACCCCGGGATCTGAACCTGAGGAGTGTGGCTCCAAATCCACGTTCTCACCAAATCCCCTGGTGATGGATTAGCACAATGAATTCAGACTGTGCTGAGCATTGGGATTTACACTCGAAGTCAGATTTTCCAGTCCCACCTCCAAGATTTGGTGTCAGCAGGTGTGTGGCAAGACCCAGCACTTTGTAACTTAGCCAGTTCCCAGGAGACTCAGGAGGCCCAGTCTGTACCCAGTAGATTCAAGAATGAGGCTGGAGGCTGAGAGACCTTTTGGGACCTGCTAGTGACCATTTGGGTCATCACCCAGTGAGGCCTGGCCCGAGGGACAGTGTGAAAGGTGAAGACAACTGGAGAGGTGCTGCAGAGGGAGGCTGCATGGCCTGGTCATGACTGGCTGTGGGGACGAGCGAGGGGCAGGCGACACTCAGCCTGGCCATGGAGGGATCCCAGTATCCAAAATAGAAATGCGGGATCCTGAAGGACAGCCATGGAGGACAGGTGATAAATGAGGCTTTGAACTTGATGCTGGGCAGCTGTAGGAGGCATGGGAGGAAATACTCAGCCAGATGAGGGCGGCGCCCACAGGGTCTCCAAGGACCTGGGGATGCCAACAATGTCCCAAGTATATGAGCTTTCTATGTGACAACACCACTATAAAGGGTGGAACATTGGAAAATGCCCCCTATTTAGACAAGAGGGCAAGAAAAGGGGTGTTGCAGGAATGTGGGGCTCAGTTTGCCTCTCCCTCAAAACAACAAACCCAATTGAACCCCTGACCCTTTATCTTATAGGCAGAACCCCACTGTCAGTGAAAGACGAGATGGGAGCATCAGTCTTGAACGGTGCTGACAGGAACAAGGGGAATTTCTGGAGTCCCATAAAGGATGTCCCTCCATGGGGGTGACACCTAGTGCCTTGAAGGGCCTTGAACCCAGGAGGCTCCACTGTGTCTTGAGTCACTGATGCAGAGAAGCAATGCAGGTAGTTAAGTAGAAGGCAGCCTTGACACCTGCGGTCTGAAGCCACTTCGCAGCCCTGGACTCTGGCATGGGCTTTGCAGCAACCCTGGAAGAGAAGGCCAGGCTCCCAGGTATGGAGTCAGCTCAGCCGTGGGGTCCTCATGACCCAGAGTCCAAAGTGGCTTTGCTCTAGGGATCATCTCCCTCAGCCTGCACATACCCTGCACTTGCCAGGCCAAGCCGGTGCCAGGACTGGTTTCTCAGCTGCCTCCTCACCGCCCTGGAATAACCTTTCCCCTGTTCCCAGGGCCTGCCCTGCCCAGGGGTGTGGCCACTCCTTGCTTAGGAGGGAGGCACCTCCTCCAGCCTGTGGTTCTGAAAGAAGGACTCACCTCATTTGGGTGAGTCCAGGCAGCCTTTGCTTCTGGCAAACTTTGTCATTGAAGAAGAGAAAGAAAACCCAACCCATATATTTTATCTTCTTTTGCTGTAACCGATTTAGGCCAGTTGTAGAACTACTAAGAGTTTGACAACCTAGTAAAGGGATTCTAGAAAAAGCTCGAATAGATTGTCAGTTGATTTCCTCTAATATTCAATTTCCACACTGTTAATATCAGCTGCTGTTTTTGGTGGGGAGACGGGTCATTCTTTCCTTTTACTATCAAGTATCTCAAAAATGCAGAAAATTATGGAGTAATATGGAGAACAGCACTCATGATAAGCAAGTGAGTTAAAACTGCTCATTCTGACATATTTGATTCAGATGTTTGAGAAAAGAAATATTACAGGTACCCATTTGTGCCTCTGTGTTTCTTTCATTCTTCCCCAAAGCCAACTGGTATTTGGAATTCTATTACATCATTTCTGAAGTAATTCCTGAGCTTTTAAAAAATACTATTATCTCATATTAATGTTCCACCACAACTGTTAACAAGGCCAATATAGAAAATGAATTCCTCTTTCCTTTCTTCCCTCCTTTCTTCCTTCCTTCCTTCCTTCCTTCCTCCTTCCTTCCTTCCTTCCCTTCCTTCCCTTCCTTTCTTCCTTTTTTCTTTTCCTCTTTCCTTCTTTTGTTTGTTTTAGAGTGGGAATATTTAAAATCTACTCTCTTAGCAAATTTCAGGTATACAATACAGTATCATTACCTCTAGTCACCATACCATACATTCGACTCCCAGAACTCATTCATCTTAGAACGAGTAGTATCAACACTGTGTTTCAACTTTAGTGTAAATTTGAAGCCATTAGATTCGAAGGCAGAGAGCAGCAGAAAATGGGTTCTTGTGAACAAACAAGTACGTTTGAGAATGTGCCCTGAAGCAGAAACGAGCGCCCTAGCACTCATCCCAGCACTCCATCCCGGCACTCATCCCGGCACTCATCCCGGCACTCATCCTGGCACTCATCCTCACTCATCCCGGCACTCCATCCCGGCACTCATCCCGGCACTCCATCCCGGCACTCCATCCCGGCACTCCATCCCGGCACTCATCCCGGCACTCATCCTGGCACTCATCCTCACTCATCCCGGCACTCCATCCCGGCACTCATCCCGGCACTCCATCCCGGCACTCATCCCGGCACTCCATCCCGACACTCCATCCCGGCACTCATCCCGGCACTCCATCCCGGCACTCATCCCGGCACTCCATCCCGACACTCCATCCCGGCACTCATCCCGGCACTCCATCCCGGCACTCCATCCCGGCACTCATCCCGGCACTCATCCCGGCACTCCATCCCGGCACTCCATCCCGGCACTCATCCCGGCACTCATCCTGGCACTCATCCTCACTCATCCCGGCACTCCATCCCGGCACTCATCCCGGCACTCCATCCCGGCACTCCATCCCGGCACTCATCCCGGCACTCATCCCGGCACTCATCCTCACTCATCCCGGCACTCCATCCCGGCACTCATCCCGGCACTCCATCCCGGCACTCATCCCGGCACTCCATCCCGACACTCCATCCCGGCACTCATCCCGGCACTCCATCCCGGCACTCATCCCGGCACTCCATCCCGACACTCCATCCCGGCACTCATCCCGGCACTCCATCCCGGCACTCCATCCCGGCACTCATCCCGGCACTCATCCCGGCACTCCATCCCGGCACTCCATCCCGGCACTCATCCCGGCACTCATCCTGGCACTCATCCTCACTCATCCCGGCACTCCATCCCGGCACTCATCCCGGCACTCCATCCCGGCACTCCATCCCGGCACTCATCCCGGCACTCATCCCGGCACTCATCCTCACTCATCCCGGCACTCCATCCCGGCACTCATCCCGGCACTCCATCCCGGCACTCCATCCCGGCACTCCATCCCGGCACTCATCCCGGCACTCATCCCGGCACTCATCCTCACTCATCCCGGCACTCCATCCCGACACTCCATCCCGGCACTCCATCCCGACACTCCATCCCGGCACTCATCCCGGCACTCCATCCCGGCACTCCATCCCGGCACTCATCCCGGCACTCCATCCCGGCACTCATCCCGGCACTCATCCTGGCACTCATCCTCACTCATCCCGGCACTCCATCCCGACACTCCATCCCGGCACTCATCCCGGCACTCCATCCCGGCACTCCATCCCGGCACTCATCCTGGCACTCCATCCCGGCACTCATCCCGGCACTCATCCTGGCACTCATCCTCACTCATCCCGGCACTCATCCCGGCACTCCATCCCGGCACTCATCCCGGCACTCCATCCCGGCTCTCATCCCGGCACTCCATCCCGGGACTCATCCTGCCACTCCATCCCGGCACTCATCCCGGCACTCCATCCCGACACTCCATCCCGGCACTCCATCCCGACACTCCATCCCGGCACTCCATCCCGACACTCCATCCCGGCACTCCATCCCGGCACTCCATCCCGGCACTCATCCCGGCACTCATCCCGGCACTCATCCTCACTCATCCCGGCACTCCATCCCGGCACTCATCCCGGCACTCATCCCGGCACTCATCCTGACACTCCATCCCGGCACGCATCCCGGCACTCATCCCGACACTCCATCCTGGCACTCCATCCCGGCACTCATCCCGGCACTCCATCCCGGCACTCATCCCGGCACTCATCCTGGCACTCCATCCCGGCACTCATCCCGGCACTCATCCTGGCACTCATCCTCACTCATCCCGGCACTCCATCCCGGCACTCATCCCAGCACTCATCCCGGCACTCATCCCGACACTCCATCCTGGCACTCATCCCGGCACTCATCCCGACACTCCATCCCGGGACTCATCCTGCCACTCCATCCCGGCACTCCATCCCGGCACTCATCCCGGCACTCATCCTGGCACTCATCCTCACTCATCCCGGCACTCCATCCCGGCACTCATCCCAGCACTCATCCCGGCACTCATCCCGACACTCCATCCCGGCACTCATCCCGGCACTCATCCCGACACTCCATCCAGGCACTCCATCCCGGAACTCACCCGGCACTCATCCCGGCACTCATCCCGACACTCCATCCCGGCACTCATCCCGGCACTCATCCTGGCACTCCATCCCGGCACTCATCCTGGCACTCATCCTGGCACTCATCCTCACTCATCCCGGCACTCCATCCCGGCACTCATCCCGGCACTCCATCCCGGCACCCCATCCCGGCACTCCATCCCGGCACTCATCCCGGCACTCCATCCCGGCACTCATCCCGGCACTCATCCCGGCACTCCATCCCGGCACTCATCCCGGCACTCATCCTCACTCATCCCGGCACTCCATCCCAGCACTCATCCCGGCACTCCATCCTGGCACTCCATCCCGGCACTCCATCCCGGCGCTCCATCCCGGCACTCCATCCTGGCGCTCCATCCCGGCACTCATCCTGGCACTCCATCCTGGCACTCCATCCCGGGACTCATCCTGCCACTCCATCCTGGCACTCCATCCCGGCGCTCCATCCCGGCACTCATCCCGGCGCTCCATCCCGGCACTCCATCCTGGCGCTCCATCCCGGCTCTCATCCCGGCACTCCATCCCGGCACTCCATCCCGGCACTCCGTCCCGGCACTCCCTCCTGGCCATCACACACTGGCTGCACACCTGCGGTGTGCTGGACATACAAAGTCAACAACAGAGGCCTTATCTCGGATCTCTTAGTGCTTTGTACCCAGATGATGGCTGTTACTCAAATACATACATCAATGCATGTATTTATATTCCATTACAGATTGAGACAGGGCACAGCTGTATGAAAACAAAGCCCTAGCTTAGACTAGAGGCAAAAAAAGAGTTTGGATTTCTTACCCTTTGGGTGGGACCCAGGACACATGGCAAAAACAGAAAACTCAACAGCAGGGCACTTTTAGAATTCGTGAAGCTCCATATTGTAAAGATACTTAACTTTAAAATATCAACATCAATTCAGGTTCATGCCATTTCTCTATCTCCAGATAGCATAGGACCTCACATGGGGAATGGAAACAAATCCTATTTAAGCAACTCACAAACACAGACTTTGAAATAACCCACTGTTCTCCAAGCACAGATTCATCCTCCATTTAGGGCACTGCAACATGAAGTCACCCCTTACTATTTCTGAAAAGGAAGCAGGTGACACGTGCCCTGTGGACCAAGAGTTAGTGATTGACAGTGGGAGTGCTGACCGCTATCCAGGTAAAAGGTTACAGCGACGTCCTCTCCTCAAAGTTTTCTGAAAAAATGTAGGTCGTTAGTTGCCATCACAGTTCACTGTTCACAGTGGCTGAAAGAGAGTATGCCGTTTTTCGGTGTTTTTTTGTTTGTTTGAGACGGAGTCTCGCTCCGTCGCCCAGGCTGGAGTGCAGTGGCGCGATCTCGGCTCACTGCAAGCTCCGCCTCTCGGGTTCACGCCATTCTCCTGCCTCAGCCTCCTGTATAGCTGGGACTACAGGCGCCCGCCACCACGCCCGGCTAATTTTTGTATTTTTAGTAGAGACGGGGTTTCGCCATGTTGGTCAGGCTGGTCTACAACTCCTGACCTCGTGATCCGCCAGCCTCGGCCTCCCAAAATGCTGGGATTACAGGCGTGAGCCACCACGCCCGGCCACCTTTTTTACTGTCATCCATTCATGGCACATAGCAGACAGCAATCCCTTCAGTTCCACCAGTGCTAACATGTATTTTCATTGCCTGAGTATTAGACTTAGTATTTCATGTTAAATTAAAATCTGACTCTCAACTATTTCGCTACACTCCAGGTACTTCTACTCAGCTAAATCCATAGACACAAGTAGAAGGGAATTTAGACGTTAATCTAGTAGTTACCAGAGTTTTAGATCTCACAGGCTGATAAAATTTTATAAAGACGATTTGGGGCCTGCTGTGGTGGTTGACGCCTGTAATCCCAGCATTTTGGGAGGCCAAGGTGGGAGGATCACCCGAGGTCAGGAGTTGAAGACCAGCCTGGCCAACATGGTTAAACCCTGTCTCTACAAAAATACAAAAATTAGCTGGGCATGATGGCGGATTCCTGTAATCCCAGCTATGCAGGAGGCTGAGGCAGGAGAATCACTTGAACCCAGGAAGCGGAGGTTGCAGTGAGCTGAGATTGCGCCACTGCACTCCAGCCTGGGTGACAGAGCAAGATTTTGTCTCAAAAAAAAAAAAAAAAGATTTGGAAGAACTGTATTGAGTTGCTAACTTTTTATTCACTCAGATGAAGTAATTAGAATACATATCATCCACCTCACCACTGTGATAGAATTCACATGCAAAGTGAATTGTAACAAAACAGAACTTCTCAGCATTTTAATAGAAATAAATTAGCTTCAGGACAAAATTATTACTTTTTTTGTTATTGTGGTTTTCTCTTTTCTCCATCAACCTGTGAAAATGAATACTTTTTCACAGTCTAGCACCAGTTCTTGCACTAGAATTTGAGAACCCCTGACTTAAATCAGTGATTTAAATCCCTCCTGCCCTTATTTACAAAGGAGGAGGCTGGCCCTGAGGGACCGCATGGGCTGCCCCATCAAAGTTTCCAGCTCACAGCCGGGGAATAGCCCTGGTTCAGGCCGGGGCTTCTGAACCCACGTTCAATGCACCTGCCCTCTGCCTTATTGCCACAAGTTTCTGCAGGGCCCAGCAAGGGTCCCCAACTCTCCGATTATGTGATTGGCACCATATTGTCCAGGGAAAACTGAAGGAGGATGGCTGAGGGACACAGAAGGAGAAGCAGGAGGCCTGTCCCTCTCTCTGCAGCCCTCTGCAGTCCACATGCCCTGGGCTGTATTCTGAGACCGGCTCTTCCTCCTGCCGGCAAGCCTTGATCTTCAGGTATCCTTTAGTTGGGCCCATTGATTCTTTCAGACCATTGGGAAATATTTTGCTCACTACTAATGCCTATAGTGTCCATTCCTCTGCCTCCCTCTCCTCCATAAAGACGGGGCTCCAGGAGTTGTGGACTTCACTGCCTGTGCTTTCAAAGAATTAAATATGACTTCAAAAGTATCCCAGGATGTTCAAGGTTTTATTGCCAAGTCAGGGTTTAACCTAAAACAAAATAGAGTCACTCAGGAACAGAAAATCAAATACCACATGTTCTCACTTATAAATGGGAGCTAAGCTATGGGTACGGAAAGGCATACAGAGTGGGTACGATGGACATTGGGGACTTGCAACAGGGGAGGGAGGGATGAAAAATCACATGTCGGGTACAGTGTACACTATTCCAAGGACGAGTACAATGTGCACTATTCCAGGGACCGGTACAATGTGCACTATTCCAGGGACGGGTACAGTGTGCACTCTACCAGGGACGGGTACAGTGTACACTATTCCAGGGACGGGTACAATGTACACTATTCCAGGGACGGGTACAGTGTACACTATTCCAGGGATGGGTACAATGTGCACTATCCAGGGACGGGTACAATGTACATTCCAGGGACTGGTACAATGTACACTATTCCAGGGACGGGTGCACTAAAAGCCCAGACTTCACCACTACACAATTCATCCATGTAACCAAAAACCACTGGTACCCTTAAAGCCCTTGAAAAATAAATTTTTTAAAATAAAAGAAAATGAGAGATTCTCTGGCATACAGTGCTAGTGGCATACCGCATTTGGGAATTTTAGATTTAAGCAATAGAAAAAGACTCTGGTTCATTCAAGTGGAAAGGGACTGTATTGGAAAGGGTATCGGGTGTCCTGTTGGAATCACTGGAGAATGAGGCCACTTAGGAGCACCACCCAGCCATAGCCCAGAACCTCCGTGGCTGCTGCTGGGACCAGCAGCTGTTTACAGTGCGGTCCCCAGAGCTTCCAGAACCTCTGCAGCGGCCACACCCATCCTCAGGGCGGAGCCGGCCTCACCCCTGCTACCTCCCATCAGCCACTTCCAGTCCACAGCCTGGGCTAGGGCTGGGGAGCAGGCAGAGCCTGGGCCACCGCTCACTGTGGGAGTCCGGGCAGGTGCTCTCCAGCACTTTTATCCTGTACTATACAAGGCAGGCTTTTCCTCCACAGGGCAGGGGGTTCCTGAAATGGACAAGCTGAGATGCTGAGCAGCCAAAAAGAACAGCAGATGTAGGGTTTTCTTTTAAATTAACTTCTCCGAAAGTTGGGGAGGTGGAAAATCTCTTTCAGAGTAGTCAACACAATCCGTGGACTTGGGCCCAGATTTGATCGTTGTTCGAATATTTTTTTCTTGCTTTAGAGAATCCTCTCCTAACAGAGGCTCAGTGCCTATGCATGCCCACCTTAGGGTCACCCGCAGTGACTTGCTGGACTCCCTTTTCTTGGTGACTGTGTGAACCCCAGAGCTCCACTGGGGCTGCTGAGATCTGACAGGGGGTCTGGCGTGCCCAGGAGGGTCTGTTGAGGGCTTGTGAACCATCTCAGAGAATTCTCTTGGTGGGATTTCACTGTGGCACATGAAGCTGTTCTTTTTCTTTTCTTGCATTTCAGCTCCCTTCAGGCTCATTGTAGTCAAAGTCCTTACAAGTGGAGAATGCTAAGCTGTTCAACAGGGTGGGCTACTCAGGTGTCTGGGCGGGGCCTCTAGCAAGGAAGACTTCAACCTGGGCCTTTCCCAAGGCAGGCAACTCCAGAGAGAGTTGACCCCGGCTCAGACTTCCCAAACTTTCCACTCAACTGCTCCTGAAGGCTGAAGGCGAGAGAGCAAAGAACCCCAAAGGGCAGGGATGTCTAGCCAGAAGGGAGACAACATTTCTTTGAAGGCAAGTTCCATCTTGCAAATCTGTGCAGATTTTGAGAGTGCCGCAATGTCTGTGTGTAAGCGCGGCATGCAGAGCCTGGAGATTTTCTTTGTGGCTGGAGGGCTGCCATTTCAAAGTCGCCAGCAGTTTCTGCACTGGAGGTCGAAGCTCTTAATGCCCTAGAAAGGCTTCTTTTGTTTTGAGAAAATGAACCAGGCGGGGTCTTTGGGAGCCATGAACTCGAGGCATGTTCATTATTCTCCTGGGGCCCCCTGCACGCCCTGAGTGCATTTGAGAGTGCCCGCTGAACTGCACCCTGCAGAGTTCGGAGAAATATTTTGTTCTTCTCCCCACATGCAGACTTGGCCTGAGCAGGAAACTGTTGTTGCTCTTGGGAAATGTTTGTGTGCCTTTTGGTCTAAGCTTGCTCACAGGAGGCCTGCAGCCAATGCTGGACTCTGCCCCCAGATCTGGCCTCTATCTCGCCTCACACTGGAGAGAGATGGTGACAAGAACAGTCCAGATGCAGCATGGTGCAACCTGGACTGATTTGCTAAAATTGTGATAAAATGTGCATAAGATAAAAGTCCCCATTGTATTCATTTTTAAGTGTGCAGTTCTGTGGCCTGATACACACTCACATTTTTGTACAGCCATCACCGTGCCCTAGCTCCAAAACTTTTTCATCCAACCAACTGAAGCTTCCTCTGTACCTGCTAAACCCTAATTCCCCCTCCCCTTCCCGCCAGGCCCTGACAACCACCAATCTATGTCTTGTCTCTATGAATGTGACTACTCCATGTACCTCCTAGAATTGGAGCTGACAGCGTTTGTCCTCCTGGACGGATTCCTTTTTCTTTTTGTAGAAACAGGGTCTTCCTACGTTGCCCAGGCGGGTCTCGAATTACTGGCTCCAATGATCCTCCCGCCTTGGCCTACCAAAGTGCTGGGATGACAGGCGCGAGCCACTGCACCTGGCCTGGACGGATTCTTATTGGCATCTGAGACGGAATGGACTGGGCTTTGTGAAATTCATCATCAGTTACTCTATTGACTGGCACCGGCCGGCAGAGACCAGAACCTGTGGGTCGGAGTGGCTGTTTCCTTCTGAACAAATAGATGCTTCCACTGTTAGTCATCCTGAAAAGAGTTTAATCCCAGAGTACAAAAAGAAGTGGACTGAGACTGGGGAAAGTAAGGCTTTCCTCTCTGCAGCTTGCTTGGCCTTCATTCCAAGGTGTGGAGCTACCTGGGGATTCTTCCTGGTGGGGTGTGGGTGGTGGCGCCTGTGTCCATGGAGGGAAGCCTGCTGCGGGCAGTACAGCAATTGTGAGGGCAGCCAAGCCCTTTTAGTGCAGGCATCTCTTACGCTCTGTGTGGTCCTCCAGCTAGCCCCAAGGCTCAGCACCACGTGCTTACATCAGCTCATCATCTCAGCCAAGCTGCAGGGATGGGAGAGGTGGATGTCCTGGCCACCAGGCTGCAGGTGGGAGGCAGTGGGGGGCATCAGCTGGGCCCCACCGGGCAGACCTGTCATGAAGGTACAGAGGCCGGAGACAACACAGATAAAAAAGTGAAGCCAAGCGAGATGTCCCAGAGTACCGTGGGCAGCGTGCTGGAGCATTCACGGAAGTTCCAGCAAGCAGCCTGGTGTGAGCTCACGACATCATCACTTCCATCTGAAAAGAGAAGGATAATTTACTTTTTAGACACAGGCTTGTGTCTAAAGAGGCCAGAGACACTGAGTTAAACACATCTGACTTAATATCATAATCTTTCAAATTATTTTCCATGAACTAAAGTGATGCTCAAGGAAGACCATCCCTGCAACCCGCCTCTACTCACCGCTGCCCCAGCACCCTGGCTGGAGACACAGAGCCCTGGGTTCATTCCAAAATGCAATGACAATTTGCTTTCACACTCAAAATATGGGAAAGACTTTAGAGTGTGCGGTAGTTCCCGTTTCTGTGTAGCTTACATCAGGGCGGGTATCTCCGGGGCCCTATTCAACGTCGTGCTCAAGCAACCCCAAGCAGTATTCAGGAGCCACTTGGAAGGAGCTGCAAGGTTTAAGCAGTTAATGAACATTCAAATCATATAGTAGAAAATAAAACCTCGAACACGGGGTTTTAGTATCTATGGAATCTGATGGGTTTGAAGATAAAGTGCCCACAGAGAAGCCACAGCTTCAAGATTCTTCGTGGTATAGTTATTCAGGGAGCTTGCCAATTGTGAGCTGCAAAATCATAACATTAATACTTAATAATAGGCTTATTCCTGTTACTCTTTATTATCCCAATCATGTTCCCAGCTATTATCTCCTTTCTCCCCTTATACCATCCCTGGGGAGAGGCTGACATAAATTATTATCCCTCCTTTAAGGGGGAAGGCATTAAAGCACAGAGAGATTAAATGACATGCCTGAGGCTCTAAAATTAGTGTGCAGCACAGGCGAGGTGAGAGCTTGTGTGTCTGTTTCCCCCAGTGTTCCTCTGCTTCTCTGGCTAGCTCTGGGTATCCAACCTCTCTAGGTCCAAACATCTCAGCCACCCTCATAAATAGCCATGAAGTCTTGGGAAAGCCTGCTGCTCTGCACCCGGGCCTGTTTCCACCTCACATTAACATGCCTTTAGAGCAATGTCTAGGAGCCACCTCTTCTCAGAGGCTTCCCTACCCACCTCCTGCTGAGATGGTCGCCACCTCTGGCAACCTTCAGCCACACCTGGAATTAGCCCCACACCAACAGCGCGGGGCATGTAATTACACGCTTTCTAGAATTATGTGCTCATGGCTTGCCAACTAAAGGGTGAGCTTTCTGAGGGTTGGCCTCCAGCTGCATCCCATGCGTCTTCTTTGGTGTCCTTCAAGGCCTCTGGAAGCAAGTTGGGCAGCACGGGGGCCTAATAAACTTGCTCAGTGATGTGTTGGGTGCTGTAGGACATGAGTGATGGGCAAGATGGATTCTCTGTGAAAGCTCTGCTGCTTGTTCCAGTCCCTCTCCGTCCTCCGCTCCATTTCATTCCGCACACATAGCTATCACTACCACTGTGCTATGCATCTGTCTGTCTGCACATTTACGGCTGTCTCTCCCACTGCAGTGTCAGCTCCAGGGGAGCAAGGCCCTTCTTGCTTCTCCAGATCCTCACACACATAGCAGCCGCTTGTTCCATCGGGATGTGTATCCCTCCAAGTCTCATGATGTGATCCCCAGTGTTGGAGGTGGGGCCTAGTGGGAGGTGTTTGCGTCATAGGGGCTGATCTCTCTTGAATGGCTTGGTGCTATCCTGGCAAGAGCGAGTGAATTCGTGTGAGATCTAGTTGTTTAAAGAGTGCGGCACCTCCAGCTTCTCTCTCACTCTGCTTTCACCATAGGATGCACCTGCTCCCCCTTCCCCTTCTCCCTCAATTGCTTGTAAGCTTCCTCAGGCCCTCAAGTGGCACAGATGTCGGTGCCATGCTTCCTGTATGGCCTGTAGAATCGTGAGCCAATTCAAACTTTTTTCTTTACAAATTGCCTAGCCGCAGGTGTTCCTTTATAGCAGGGGTCTCCAACACCCAGAACCAGGAGGTTAGGAACCAGGCTGCAGAGCAGGAGGTGAGCAGCAGGCAAGCGAGTGAAGCCTCCTCTGTATTCACAGCCACTCCCCATCACTCACATACCGCTTGAGCTCTGCCTTCTGTCAGATCAGCGGCAGCATTAGATTCTCAAAGAAGAGTGAACCCTTTTGTGAACTGCGCATGCAAGGGATCTAGGTTATGTGCTCCTTAAGAGAATCTAGTGCCTGATGATCTGTCACGGTCTCCCGTCACCCCCAGATGGGACCATCTAGTTGCAGGAAAGCAAGCTCAGGGTTCCCACTGATTCTATACTATCATGAGTTGTATAATTATTTAATTATATATTACAATGTAATAATTATAGAAATAAAATGCACAATAAATGAATCATCCTGAAACCACCTCCCACTTCCATGGCCTGTGGCAAATTCGCCTTCCATGAAACCAGTCCTTGGTGCCAAAGAAGTTGGGGGACTGGTGTTTTTTTTTTTTTTTTTTGAGACAGAGTTTTTGCTCTTGTTGCCCAGGCTGGAGTGCAATGGCGCAATCTCGGCTCACTGCCACCTCCACCTCCCAGGTTCAAGTGATTCTCCTGCCTCAGCCTCCCGAGTAGCTGGGATTACAGGCGTGCACCACCATGCCCAGCTGGTTTTTTGTATTTAGTAGAGACGGGGTTTCACCATGTTGGTCGGTCTGGCCTTGAACTCCTTACCTCAGGTGATCCACCTGCCTTGGGCTCCCAAAGTGCTGGGATTACAGGCATGAGCCACCATGCCTGACCAGGGACTGCTGTTTTATAGTAACAACCAGACTAACACAGTGCTCAAACACTTCTTTTTTTTTTTTTTTTTTTTTTTGAGACGGAGTCTCGCTCTGTCCCCCAGGCTGGAGTGCAGTGGCACGATCTTGGCTCACTGCAAGCTCCGCCTCCTGGGTTCACGCCATTCTCCTGCCTCAGCCTCCCAAGCAGCTGGAACTACAGGCGCCCGCCACCATGCCCGGCTAATTTTTTGTATTTTTAGTAGAGATGGGGTTTCACCGTGTTCGCCAAGATGGTCTCGATCTCCTGACCTCGTGATCTGCCCGCCTTGGCCTCCCAAAGTGTTGAGATTACAGGCGTGAGCCACCGTGCCCAGCCTCAAACACTTCTTGAATGAATGAATGAAGGTCCAGACCAGTACTCCACTTGGCATGCTCACCAGCCCATTTGCATCCAAATCACCTAAGATGCTTGTTTAAAATGCAGGTTCTTGGGCCTCATCTCACAACCTCCAAATTAGAATTTCTGGAGGTGGGACCCAGTGTGTAGCCATCATTTTGATATATGTTAAAGCTGAGACGTGGTGCCCATTTTATAGATGAGAAGGGTGAATCTCAGAAAGAGGCTTGCTCAAGGTCGCCAGACAGGTTACGGCCAAGTTGTTATCAGAACCCAGATTTCAAACTCTCCATCTGGAGCTCTATTCCTCTAGGCTGCCTCATCTTTGTGATGGTAACATTTTCAGAAGGATCGAGTCCATAGTTTGTGTGAGGTCATTTGATGTTCAGAACAACCCAGTGTGGTAGATACTATCATGACCTGAAGCGTAAAGACCAGAACTGAGAGCAGTGGCTGGCACTGAGGCGTGACCACCCAGCCTCCCGTGGGGTGGGGCGGCTGCCTGACTCTTGCAAATACAAGGCCCTTGCTTGCTCCGGACACAGCACTGCTTTCAGTGATGGCATTTTTTTTTTTTTTTTTTCAGATAAAGACAACTAAAAATCGCTTGGGTAGGTAAGCTGTAGATAATGTTCATATTCTGTATACGCAAAGGAATGGATGTCTTCAGTTGGGTGCATCCATACAAGAAAAATATATATAATTAAAAAGATTTAGACTCCGGGATATTCTTCTCCAGTTGTCTACCAGTGATTCCAGGGGAACCCCTCCCTTAAGTTGGAAAAAAAATCAGGATACAAAGGATAAGACTTCTTCTTCCTGCCAGGAAGTGTGTGTTCTTCAAGCTCAGAGGGCAGGAGGGCTCAACACATGCCCGGGGCCAAGGCTGAGTTCCCCAGAATTCCTCAGGAGGTCTGGGACCAGTGAACCTGCCCGACTGCCCTTCTCCCTGCCCTCCTCCCTCCACACACACATGTGCTCTGTCCACTTGTGCATTTGAGCATCTGTGGGAAGACTTCTGAGTACATTCAAAGAGGAAGCCAGAGGGCATGCTCCAAACCCATGCCCTGGGTTGGCCCTTCCCACTCAAGGCTCTTTCCCAGGCAGGAATTCTTCCTCGCCTGCTGGTCTGAGGGTCACGAAAAGAAGGACTCTTCCATGTACTCACCGGTCTCTGCTGACACAAGCCGCCTCTGTGCATCTGGCAACAAGAGCCGGGAGAAAGGAACCCATGGGTGTGGGTGGCTCTATTTCTGGGCACACAGGTGGCTTCTTGGCTTCCCAGGCAGGATGCAGAGCACCCTGGGGACCAGTCCCGGCTTTGAGAGGAGCGATGGTGTCCCTAAGCGCCTGCCTGCACTCCCAGGATGTAGCCTCTTCTCCAGAAGAGGAGGAGGAGCTCACCAACCTTGGATATTTCTATGGGCTGAATCGTGTCCCCCGAAATTCCTGTGTTGAAGCTCTAAACCCCAATACCCCAGATTGGGACTGCATTTGGAGACAGGCCTTTTAAGAGGTGATGGTTAGGATGATGCCGTCAGGGCAGGCCCTAATCCAGTGTGACTGGTGATCTTCTAAGAGGAAATGTGCATGCACAGAGACAGCAGAAACGTGCGCACGCAGAGGAAAGGCCCTGTGAGGACACCGGGGAGACGGCGATTCCTGGCAAGCCAAGGAGGGGCCTCTGGAGAAGGTGGCCCCACTGACACCCTGACCTGGGACTTGGAGCCTCCAGGACTCTGAGAAGTCACTTTCTGTCACGTAAGCCACCCCACCTGTGTTTTCTCGTTAAGGCCGCTCTAGCAAATGAATACAAATACAGGACAAAGAAGTCCTGATGGTTGTGAATCTGTTTTGTCTTTTCACATGTGTGGGATGTCTTACGTCTTCTCTGGGCTGAGGTCTGCTGGTGGATGGATTCACACTGCAGGCATTCCTCCTGGGAGCTTTCCTGGGTCTTCTCTCTTGAGTCCCAACCTCAACCATCCCTCCATGCTGACAATGCCCAAATTCCCAGCTCTGACTTCTCCAGCCTGTATTTCAGCTTACTCCTCCCATTGTCACACACAAGTCCGAACAGGAATTTATTATCCGAACTTCCAAACCCACTCGTCCTTCCAGTGAATGGCATCAGCATTCTGCCCTGCAGGCTTGAAAAGGCAAGTATCGTGGGGTGCCTTGAGAGTGGCGCCTGGAGCCACTGTCTTTCCGGAAGTTACTGAACTATTTTCAAACTGTGCATTGAATATCCGTTTGTAGCACAGCGATTTCTACTGTGTGACACTGAAGTTGAGTCGCTGTCCCCAGTTCAGGGGATTGCATCCAAAACATAATCATCAAGCCCTCCCATCTCAAGGGCAACTTGTCTGGAATCACAGTCCCTGTCTTGGTTTCTGGTACCTCTTCCTTGTTTCAGTTCTTCATCTCCATGTTACCAGACTGTTGAAAGGCTTTCCAAGAGGCTGGGTGTCCCTGGTTTCAACTCTAGATATTTATGCCCCTGCCAGAATAATCTTCTGGATTTACTTTGAAGGCTTTTGATTATGTGCAGGATAAAATCTAAATCCCTTTCAATGGCATTCAAGGTTCTCCAGCTCTGATCCTAACCGGCCCTCCCAAGGCTGTTTCCCATTCTTCCTCTTCTCACGCTGCATCCTCTCACTCAACAGACGCAGCCAGGCTTAAAGCCGGACAGCCTGGGTTCAAATCCTGGCTTCGCCACTTACTTGCTGTGTGACCTGGCGGCGGTTTCTTAAGCACTGGGTATTAATATCAATATCTAACTCTAACCCAGCACTTAGCTTGTATCAGGCCCCACGACAAGGATCTCATGGATTATTTTGCTTAATTCTCCTGCCAGCCTGATTCTGTAGGGAACCCTAGGTCTTACTATTATCTCCCTTCTATGTAGAAGCCATTTAGGTGACTTGCCCAAGGCTTGAAGCCTCAGTTTTTGCATCTGTAAAATGAAAATAATCATTGTTTCTCCCCGTGTTAGTCAGGACTTTACGCAGTTGCAAGTGACAGAAACCAACTCTAAGGAGCTTAAGCAAAACAAAAGAGGCGCTCCTTCCGGGGCCAAGGGATGTCCTCGGTCCGCTCCAGCTCTGCCCTCGCCTGATCCAGCCTCCCACGGATGGATGTTCTTAGGATGCAGAAATCCAGCCTCACATGATCCCTGATGCCTGTGATCTCAGAAGGCAGGATACCCTCTCTCCCAGGGCCCAGAATCACCCCTGAGAAGGACCCTGATAACCCAGGTCAAGGCGCCAGCCCTGCATGCGGGAAGGGAGCCCGTGTTTAGAGGTTCCACTGGGCAGTTCCCCAAAGGAAAAGATTCTGGGGCTGCTCAAAACTAACAAGTGTTTGCTAACTTGGTAAATTTATTCAGCTGAATAGTTTTGGAGTGCCTGCCATGTGCTGGTGTGGGGAACCAGTATGGAGCCCACGTGGAGGGAACTCCATGAAGGCACCACTCCTGGTGGCTCCTCCAGGAGACATGCCATACATTGAACAGGGGTCAGCTCAGATTTCTCCTGCCAACACCAGGAAACACCTCCATCCCTGGGCCTGTGGTTTACAATGCGGTGCCCACGTCACCCCTCCCCTCCTCCTCTGTGACAGAGGACGGGTGTGTGTGTGTCTCAGCGCACATGGCAGGACCTGTGCTCTGCATCCCTAAGCAGTCTCAGATAAGGGCTATGCTTACTAGATGCACTGATGAAAGGATGGAGAGGCGCACTGGGCTTTTTTTGCCTCAAAACTGGCATGGAAAATTCAGGTTGTATCGCAGTTCAAATGCAGAAACATGAAGCTGCTTTGTATCAATATGCTTTTCTTTGATTTTGCTTCATCCACTTTATGGAACATCAGAGTGTCTCAGTGCAGAGGTCCCTGTGGGTCAGCGTGTCCCCAGAACCTGCATCTGTACAACACTCCTCTCCCAGGTTCTACTGCATGCGTCCCCAACCCCATGCACACCAGGCGCCAACACGCACGGCCACGCGTCCCCCACCCCATACACACCAGGCGCCAACACGCATGGCCACGCGTCTCCCCACCCCATACACATCAGGCACCAACACGCATGGGCACATGTCCCCCCCATCCCCATACATACCAGGCGCCAACACGCATGGCCATGCGTCCCCCACCCCATACACACCAGGCACCAACACGCATGGGCACATGTCCCCCCCATCCCCATACATACCAGGCGCCAACACGCATGGCCACGCGTCCCCCACCCCATACACATCAGGCACCAACACGCATGGGCACATGTCCCCCCATCCCCATACATACCAGGAGCCAACACGCATGGCCATGCGTCCCCCACCCCATACACACCAGGCACGAACACGCATGGCCACGCGTCCCCCCACCCCATACACACCAGGCGCCAACATGCATGGCCACGCGTCGCCCCATCTCATACACACCAGGCACCAACACGCACGGGCACACTGCGCCCCGTTCAGTGGTGTCATTCAAGGCCCTTTGGTGGCTATTTATTTTTTAGATACAATTCACACACCATAACATGGGCCTTTGAAAGGTACAGTTCAGTGGTTTTTAATCCTCACAACATTGTGCAACCATCACAGGACCCAATTCCAGCACGTTCTCTCCATCCTGAAAGGAAACCCACATCTGCTGAGACAGCCGCACTCCACTCCCTGTCCTCCCCGTCCCCTTCACTAATCTGCTTTCTGTCTCTATGCATTTGCCCGTTCTGGACATTTCACAAAAAGGGAATGGTTCGTTCAATACACGGCATGAGTGACGGGCTTTTTCACTCGGCATCGTGTTTCAAGGCCCTTCCGTGTTTCGTGTGAGTCCGCACCTCATGCCTTTTCACGTCTGAATAATAGTTCGCTGTCTGGATAGACCACATCTTGCCTCACCATGGACGTTTGGGCTGCGTCTATGTTTTGGCTCTTGTGAATAATGCTGCCACCAACATTTGGGTACAGGTTCTTGCGTGGACATGTGCTCTGAGTTTCCTTGAGTGTATGTCTCGGAGTGGAGTGGCTGGGCCATATGGTGACTCGATGTTTGACTCCTGGAGGAAGCACATGTCACATTCCCACCAACAATGCCTGAGGCTCCTATTTTCCCACATCCCCACCAACACTTGTTAGTGCGCACTTTTGGTGGTAGCCATTCTAGCAGGTGCGCCCACGGGTCTGGCTTCCTCACACAGTGGTGAACGGCTCCTCATGCACCGTGCCAGTCCTGCCTCTCCCCAGCATTTTAGGCCGGCTTCAGCTTCGTCTCCTCCGGGAGGCTCTCCGTCACCACTCTGGCCCTCTGGATCTTGTTTGTGACTTTTTCCAAAAGGACTTGAAAGGGCACGCCACCTGTCTGTCTTGAGACTTCGATTTTATTCTGCCTGAAGTTCCTGTTCTGGCTTTTTGGAAGAATCTCTCCTCCTGCCCTGCCACTTTTCTGACCAAATATTGCTTCTCCTTTGAGATCTAGCTTCTCCTCTGCCTCAGATCCTGGAATCTTCGTCCCAGGCTGGGTGCTCACTCTTTCCTGTGAGCCACCACTCTGCTCCACAATAGTAACCAGCATTTTATTTATTTATTTTCTGAGACAGGGTGTCACTCTGTCACCCAGGCTGGAGTACAGTGGTGCAATCATGGCTCACTGTAGCCTTGACCTTCCAGGTTCAAACAATCCTCCCACCTCAGCTTCCTGAGTAGCTGGGACTACAGTCGCATGCCACCACGCCTGGCTAATTTTTGTATCTTTTATAGAGACGACATTTTGCCAAGTTGCCCAGGCTGGTCTCAAACTCCTGGGTTCAAGCAATTCACTCATCTTGGTTTCCCAAAGTGCTGGGATTACAGGCATGAGCCACTGTGCCCGGCCTGCAGGGACAAGATCCTGATCATTGTGCTATCCAGGGCCTCCATGGAGTTTGGTAAGTGCCCCGTGCTTGGAAACCCTGTCACTCACAGCAGCTGTGAACTTATCCCCCAGTTCCACAGTCCTGAAGATCTCAGCAGTGAGCCTTCACCCCCTGCAGGGGATCGTGACCTATAACCTGCCCAATCCAACGCTCTTCCCAGGAACAGCCTTGCCCATGGGTGGACCAGGCAGCTGCCCATCTGGTCTTCTCTGGGGGTCTCAGGCAAAATATTCCCCCCCCCCACTCCGCAGCCTGCCAGGAATGCCTGCTTTGCCAGCAGGATTTTGCTTCTTTGAGTTAAGGATGAAGGAGCAAGAATCACAGCACCTTGAGGTGGTCTTAATTTGCACTACAGCCTCACACTTACTACCTCTCGTGTCTACCCCTGCCTCCATGGAGAGATTTTCCCTCAATTCTCTTTCTTCTTCATTCTGTGATGCATTCCCTCACTCCTGGACTTTGAATAGAGAAAATAGATATTAGCTGCTATGTAGCATTATATGATTTGGGAATCATGATATAATCCAAAATCTCACCAAATATGTGAAAACTGCCTCCAGAAAATAGCAACGATCCTTCTGCGTCTGCTCTTACATCACAGAAGATGGAAAGGGCACCCATTTAGTGGTCTCTATTAACCGCAAGTAGCCCTGGGAGGGTAACACATTAAAATGCTGTCATTCAAGTATAAACATGTTCATGGGGACCTTTGCAGAAGACCTTTGGCCAAGAGCATGGGTTCAGAACGAGTTAGGGAAAAGAGACACAGTGGGAAAGCTAATGTTTCGGGAAAGCCTAAATTTATGCACAATTCTGCATGATTTTGACAGAGTAATTAACTCTGAGTCTGACCCTGTAGGGACTGTGGAAAACCACAGAGGAAGAATAGAAGCTTGGCAGAGGGTGGGATGGGGCAGTTGGAAGGATAGGGATGATGTGGAGATGGAGGCAAACTACTCAGTGCCAAAACCGTGGCCAGGTGCAAGGTGGGACACTGTACAGAGTGCCACCAGAGTCTGCTGCTCTCCTCTTTCTACCCATCATCCCGTCATCATTTCTGCAAGAGCAAGAATAGATGGGTAGGAAGAGAGGAAGGAAATCCTCAAGGCCAGCAACACCCACAGGAGCAAAACAAGCTTTAACTTACAAGTAACCTACATGTGGCCTGAGGGGTGTTCCCAGGCAGATGCCATTCATTGCAGAGCTGTTGACAGCCAACCATGTTCAAATACATCTGGAGCACATCTCTCTGCTGTGTACACTCTGGGCAGTATTTGGGGAAATCTTAGTGCAGCCTGTGCCTGAAGTTAAAAATCGATGCCAGTGGAATGGAATTGAACAGATGCAAGGGCTTTGCTCAAGCAGCGACTCAAACGGCCTGCCTACCTCTTTTCTTTCCTTTCTCTCTTCCTTCCTTCCCCCTTTCCTTTTCCTTCTTTTCTTACTTTCTCTCTTTTTTACTTTTCATTTTGAAATAACTTTAAACTCATCAAAAAGTTGTACAAAGAACTCCTGTATGCCCTTTATTCACTAACATTTATCATTGTGCTACATCTGTCTTACCATTTTCTCTCTTTACAGCTATTTTTTTCTGAGCCATGTAAGAGTAGTAGGCAATACATATATCATCCCTTAATTCTTCTGTGTATTTTCTAAAGGAAAAAGGACAATTTTAAACATAACCATAGTACCATTATCACATTCAGGACATTTAACATTGACATTGACACAATACATTTATCTAATCTAGAGCCCATTGTCTCCTTCATCAACTATCCCAATAATGTAATTTCTTACAATTTTTTTCTTCTGAAACAGGATCCAACACAGGGTCATATTACATTCAGCTGTTTTCTCTTTATAGTTTCCTTTAATTTGAATCAATTCCTTGGTCTAAACAAATCCTGATAATATAATGTACACGACATTAAATAACTGAAGGATACAGGCTAGTTACTTCATAGAATGGTCTTCAATTTAGGTTTGTCTGAATTTCATCATGACTAAATTCAGATTTTTCATTTTGACTTGAATACTACAGAGCATCACATCCAGACGCCCATTATGTCCATTTGTTCCTCACTGCTGTTATACCTCCCTTTCTTTTATCCTTAAATTAACTGTTTTGGAATACCTGTATGTGTGTAATAGAAGAAAATTAAAAGCTTCTTCCCATTTCAAAAATGTTACTTTTCTTTATCAAAATAATCTCTTCCTTCTGGATTCTCTATCCATAGGAGAATATTTGATTGTCTATTATCTCAGAAAAAATTGACTTATCTATACTAAAATTTATAATTATAGATGGAGTTTTCAATATCCTTCTTACTTCAATTGATAGGACTAAGGAGACAAGGAGACAATTGGTGAAGCTATACAAAATTTGGGCAACACTGTTGTATTAGCCCGTTTTCACACTGCTATAAAGATACTAGGTAATTTACAAACAAAAAAAGGTTTAATTGACTCACAGTTCCACATGGCTGAGGAGGCCTCAGGAAACTTACAATCACAGCAGAAGGCAAAGGGGAGGCAAGGCACGTCTTCACAAGGCGACAGGAGAGAGAGAGAGAGAGAGGAACAGTAACAGGGAAACCGCCCCCATGATCCAGTCACCTCCCACCAGATCTCTCCCTTGACATGTGGGGATTACAATTTGAGATGAGATTTGAGTAGGGACACAGAGCCAAACCATATCAATTATCAACCAACTTAACTTAAGTGACATTTATAGAACCTTCCACCCAACAATAGCAGAACACACTTTCTTGAGAGCACATGGAATATTTACCAAAGCAAACCATATTGTGGGCTATAAAACATATTTCACACCTCAATAAACTTAAAAGGATTAAAGTCAGACAAAGTATGTTCTCTGGTCACATAGTATTAAATAATAAATCAATTACCAAAAAACCCTCTTTAAAAATCCTCAAATATTTGGAAGCTAAATAGCACACAACTAATTAACTCTTGGATCAAAGAAGAAATCAAAAGATAAATCAGAAAGTAGTCTGAAGTGAAAGAAAATGAAAACATAACATATCAAAATTTGTGGAATGTGCCATTAAAGCAGTACCTAGAGAGAAACTTAGAGCAATAAACACATTAGAAAGGAAGAACTGTTTTCAATCAATGACCTCAGCTTCTAATTAGGAAATTAGAAAAAGGAGAGCAAATTAAACACCACATAAGTGGAAGAAAGTCCATTAAAGCTAGTACCATTAAAGATCAGAGCAGAAATCAATGAAATAAAAAAAGATATAGAAAAATCAATGAAACCAAAATTGGTTCTTTGAGATCAATACAATTTATAAATCTCTAGACAGATTGATCAAGAAAAAAAAGAGAGAAGTTACAAATGACCAATATCAGGATCGACAGATATGCCATCACTATAGATTCTGCAGAGATTAAAACAATGGCTTTCAACTGGGGGCTATTTCCCCCACAGAAGATATTTGGCAGTGTCCGGAAACTGGGAAGCTGAGGAGAGGGCATCACTATGACATCCATCCAGTGGGTGGAGATCAGAAATGTCATTAAACATCTTACAACGTGTAGGATATGCTGCCTCAGTAAAAAATTATCCAGTCCAAAATGTCAGTCATTCCCTGTTGAGAAACCCTGCTTTAAAAGGATTTAAGGGAAGCCGGGCATGGTGGCTCACGCCTGTAATCCCAGCACTTTGAGAGGCTGAGGCAGGCAGGCAGGCAGATCACATGAGGTCAGGAGTTAGAGACCAGCCTGGCCAACATGGTGAAACCCCGTTCTGAAAAAAAAAACAACCAACCACCACCACCACCACAACAACAACAAAACAAGCAAACAACAACAGAAAGATTTAAGGGAATATTATATGTAACTTTATGCTACTAAATTCAACAACTTAGTTGAAATGGACAAATTCCTTGAAAGACACAAACTATTAATCTCATACAAAAAGAAATAGATAGCCCAATATTTATGAATGAAATTGAACTTGTAGTTTAAAAGTTTCCCACAAAGAAAACTCCAAGCACAGATACCTTCATTGATGAATTCTATGAAACATTTAAGGAAGAAATAATACCAATTCTATATAAACTTTTTCAGAAGATGGAGGCTGGCATTGCCCTGATACCAAAATCAGACAAAGACAATAAAAGAAAAAGAAAACTACAGATCAGTCAAATCCAACTACAGATGTGGGTGTGTATATGATAATACATTATGTGTATGTATGTGTATACATATAGATAATATATTATGACCAAGTAGGGTTTATTCTAGGAGTTCAAGGTTAATGTTTGAAAAATTAATGAATATCATTCGTTAAGTTAGTAGAAAAAGAAAAACCATATGATCATCTCAATATATGTGAGGAAAGGATTTGACAAAAATCCATCATCCTTTCCTGATAAAATCTCTAAGCACACTAAAAGTAGATGGAAACTTTCTCAACCTGATAAACGACATCTATGAAAATCCTATAGCTAATGTCATACTTAATAATCATAAAAGACTGAATGCTTTTCTTCTGAACTCATGAACAAGTCAAGTATATCTGCTCTCACCATTTCTACTCATCATTGTACTAGAGGTTTTTAGTTCAATAGGCAAGAAAAAATAAAAGGCATCCAGATCAAAAAGGAAAGATGTCTTTATTCACAGACATGATCATCCATGTAGAAAACCTGATGGAATCTACAAAGAAGCTAGTAGAACTAATAAATGAGCTTCGCAGGACATATGATCAACATACCAAAGTTAGTTGTATTCTATATATTAGCAATAAACAATTAGAAATTTAAATAAAAGTACATTTGCAATAGCATTAAAAATATGAAATATTTAGGAATAAATCTGACAAAAGTTGTGAAAGACCTGTACACTGAAAACTAAGAATCACTGCTGAGAGAAATTAGAGAAAACCTACATAAGTAAAATGATAGGCTGTGTTCATGGGTTCAAAGATTCATATTAAAATAGCAACTCCCCAAATCTATAGATTCAACACAATTCTAATAAAAAATCTCATAGCAAACTTTTTTGTAGAAATTGAAAAATGGATTCTAAAAATCATGACAATGCAAAGGACCTGGTATGGCCACAATAATTTTGAAAAAGAACAAAGTTGGAGGACTAATACTACCTGATTTTAAGACTTATTATAAAGCTAAATTAATCAAGATGATATGGTATTGGCATAAAGATAAACAAATAGATCAATAGAACAGAACAGAAAGACCAGAAATAGACCAACACATATATGGACAACTGACTTTTTGGCAAAGGTACAAAGGAAATTCAATGAAGAAAGGATAGTTTTTTCAACAAATGGTGCTGGGATAATGATATCTACATGGGATGAGATGAATTTGAACTCCTACATTATAAATATACAACAATATATTCAAAATGGATGATAGCTGTAAATGTAAAACCTAAAACTGTAAAACTTCTAGACATGGCCAGGTGCGGTGGCTCATGCCTGTAATCCCAACACTTTGGGAGGCCAAGGCAGGTGGATCACCTGAAGCCAGGAGTTCCAGACCAAACTGGCCAACATGGCAAAACTCCATCTCTATGAAGAATACAAAAATTAGATGGGCATGGTGGCAGGTACCTGTAATCCCAGCTACTCAGGAGGCTGAGGCAGGAGAATCACTTGAACCCGGGAAGCAGAGGTTGCAATGAGCCAAAATCGGACCACTGCACTCCAGCCTGGGCGACAGAGCGAGATTGTCTTTAAAAAAAAAAAAAGAAAAAAAAACTTCTAGATGAAAATATAGGATAAAACCTTTGTGAGCTTGGTTTAAGAAAGGATTTCCTAGATTTTGTACCAAAAATACAATCCATAAAAGACAAGTTGATAAATCGGACTTCATCAAAATTAAAAATTTCTGCTCCACTAAGAGAATGAAAAGATAAGCTGTCTGAGGTTTGCCCCAGCACTTGTCTTGGCTCTGCATGGTGCTCTCTGTCTGTGCCATTCTGTGCTGAACATCGTGTCAGCACACAGAGCATTGGCAGGTCACCCCCATCTTTGGTGAAGAGGGAGGTTGGTTATTTTTGTAGGTACAAATCTTTGTTATAGTAGACTCTTGACAGTTGAGTATTTAAGGTTTGTGTTTCTCACTGCTGAAGAACAACATTCATTTTATGAATGCAGTGACTCAACTGACAAACTTGAATTGGGGGCATTATGGGATCAACGTAGGGGAGTGAGTTCCATCACCCCAGCGAGGTTAAACCGCCGCCCAGCTCCCACATCTCAACATGGCTTGGTCTGGACCTTTACGTTTCACAGGGAAAACTGTGTTCATGCTGGTGTTTGCAACTTGGGGAATACTGAAAATTCTCGGGCTCTGTTTCAAGGAAACGTGACTCCTACTGTGTGTATCATTTCTGTGGGAGGTACCCCTTTCAATATGTACGCAACATGTCCAAAGCCGGGCCTCTTGTTCTAATGTAAAAGCTCTCTCCCACGCTTGTGTTCTTTTCTCTGTGCTGGGCTGCTCGAGAAAGGGGTTGATTCACATTCCTTTTCCCTGGAAGAGCAAGAGCTCCTGGAACCTTCCTGTGTGTGCCCTTTGAGCATCTCCTGGACCTCAGCTACTGGGGGTAGGCCGTGTTCCTGAGTCATTTTCTGCCAACAGGGCTGACCCCGCAGAGTGGCCCACACAAAAGGCTTCGCTCTCTTGCTCTTGTGAACTCTGCCACCTCCTGCTTCAGCCAGATGTTGATGAGAATTTCCTTCTGTACAGGCTTCTGCTGGCCTTGAAAGCATTTAGGTGCCCTGGTCCCGTGCATGGAGGAAGCAGCGGTAACTCGAACTACAGCGTATCTTCCCTCCACCAGCAATGGCTGAGTCTGATTTCCTTCTGAATCCGTCTAAGGGGAAACACGCTTTATCCACAGATGCAAGAACTTTCTTCCAAATATCAACATTCTAGTCTTAGGCAAAGAATTCGCATTCTTTCTATTATTTTGACTCTGCTTCTTGCAAAATAAAACTCCTGGCATCATGGCGCTGACGGAGCAGTCACCTCCTTCCTGGGCTATTTTACTGCAAATGGTTCCTGCATTGGCGGAGAATGCCTCTGTGATGTGGTTTGGATATTTGTCCCCCAAAATCTCATGTTGAAATGTGACCCCCCAATGTTGGAGGTAGAGCCTAGCGGGAGGTGTTGGGTGATGGGGCCGGATCCCTCGTGAATGGCCGGGTGCCCTCTCCATGGTAATGAGTTCTTGCTCTTATTAATTCAAGCAAGATCTGGTTGTTCAAAAGAGTATGGCATCCTTCCCCACCCTTGCTCCCTCTCTCGCCATATGACATGCCGGCTCCCCTGCCCCTTCCATCATGTTTGGAAGCTTCCTGAGGCCCTCACCAGAAGCAGACCCTGGGGCCTGCTTCTTGTACAGCCTGCAGAACCATAAGCCAAATAATCCTCTTAGCCTTGGTACTCCTTTATAGCAATGCAAATAGACTAACACTCTCTGCCTGAGCTGTCCAGTTTGGGTAGGTGCTGGAGGAAACCACAGCTCATTCCAGCTATCCTGTAAGACCTGATGCTCTTTGTGTCTGAGAAATCCTTGACTGCTGAATGTAACAGGCCCTAGAGCAAAGGGAACTAAGAAGGTGGCAGGTAAGGGCTCTGGTCTAAGTTTAGGAGGCGATATCTTCAGTGCTCTGCTTCTGTGTGCCCAGCCCACATCTGGAAAAGCAGATGTGGTTTAGAAGGAGCCACCAGTGAGCGGAGGAGAGGGATGACTTAACATCGAGAAGGATTATAAGGCAGAAACTCCACATCTGGGAACTCTCTAGCAAATATGATAAGGGTCATAAACTACACACCAAGATGCTTCATACTTTATTTTTATTACTATCTTGGATTTGCTCTTCAGGTGCAAAAAAAGTTTCATTGGTTCAAGGTCAGAAAGTTTTTTTTTTTTTTAAACAGCAGTTTTTAAAGTTTTTAATAGGATTCCGCTTACATTCCAATGTAAACACAGCATTTCTTTCCTACATCAGGACTCTGTATTATTTTGTTATTTCTGTGTTAGTTTTTTTTCTTAAGCAATTCACATTAGTTGCACAGCTGCAGGCAAAGCCTGCAACCTCTCTGCATCTCGGTCATCTCCTCTGTACAGTGGAGGCAGTGGGAGCGGGTGTGATGGGAAGGACACAGATGTGACGCTGTCATCTAATTCTGTCATTAATTTTGCTGTGTGGTTTTGCGTTGTGAATACTTATAGAGCAAAATAAATTGTCTTTGGGTCCCTCCTGGGAATACACTTCCAGCATGTCATGACCCTGCTCTGGTCTTCATTTCTTAATTGTAATATCAGGGGTCACAAATAGACAGTGTTGAAGGTTTTCTCAGCTGTTTCATCATCTCATGCACGACTTTCCCTTACTTCCTTTAAGCAAGCATTGCTCGCATAAACACACATGCACAGGCAAGCACACAGAGACACACTCACACCCTCACTGCCCCCCAAGCAAGGGAAGGCAAGCAGGTACCTAGAGAAGCAGGGTCCCATGTCCCACGTGGAGAGCTTTCAGACCCTACCTGCGGGTGTCCTGGTAGTCTTCGGTGCGTTAGAGAAACAGCTCTGACCTCGATGGGTAGCACTTTCTGTGAAGGCCAGGAGGGCTTTATATAGATTCCAGGTCACACGCACCATCAAAAGTACATGGTGACTTCCAGATAAGGATAGCAGGTTGAACATACCTCTCTCCTGATATCTCTCTAAAACTATGGTAAAGGAGATTTCTAATGGCATGGGAGAATGTGAGAGGAGAAAACGACAATAAATTTTGGAATCCAGAAAGCATACACATGACTGTTAACTGACTTAGCAGACATAAAGAAGCTGAATCTTAAATCAGCAGTGAGGAAAGCTAATTTGTACCAGAGTCTCTAAACAGCTGTGAATTGGTAGCACTGAGGGTCCCGGCCTAAATGAATTGTTGAAAGTTTTTAGGAAGTAATTTGGGCCAGGCACCATGGCTCATGTCTGTAATCCCAATGTTTTGGGAGGCTGAGGCAGGAGGATCACTTGAGGCTAGGAGTTTGAGACCAGCCTGGGCAACATAGCAAGACCACCATCTCTACAAAAACATTTGTTTTTAAGTTAGTTGGGCATAGTGGCACATGCCTGTAGTCACAGCTACTCAGGAAGCTGAAGCAGGAGGATGGCTTGAGCCCTGGAGGTCGTGGCTGCAGTGAGCTGTGATCAAGCCCCTACTCCAGCCTGGGAGACAGAGAGAGACCCTGTCTCAAAAACAAGAGGCAATTTCACCTCCACATCACCTCATCCAATTTGTGCAGTCAGACAGTTGCCCCTCCCCCTACTCACAGACTATTAGATATTTATTCTCTGTAGAGAAAATACAGGTCTTCTGACTAGGGGACAGTAGGCATAGGTGGAAGTGGGTGCTATCCCAGAAATAGGGAGACTAGGTAAGTAGATTCTCACTGGATTCTGAGACCTGCAGTCCTCTCCGTCTTCCTTAGCTCAGAATGCTGTCAACCTAGCCAGGCAATTATCCTCCAGGCAAGAGACTAAAAAAAGTCCTGTGGGGATCTGACCAGCCCAAGAAGATCTTACAGATACTGATTATGAGTTTCCCGTGAAACAGTTCGGCCAGCTCAGCCCAGGGTGAAGTTCACTGTTAACGACCCACATACTCAGTTTCCTCTTGCTCTTATGAGCACGTGATCATGGATTCGAGCCACGTGAGGAAAATTCTAAGTGAAAGATCCAGACCAAGACAAACCAATGTAAAAAACAATGTGGACAAAACAGAGCAGCTCTTTTAAAAACTTACCAGTACTAGCTCAAGAGACACGAAGAGATATTTCACCCTTGGAACAGCAATAGAATGACACAAAAATGAGACTTTTGAAGAACGAGGAGCTTTAAACATTTAGAACCATTCTAGAAAATGTTTAAAGCTTACTTAATAAATTGAAAGATAAAATTGAAGAACTCTCCCAAAAAGTAGAGCAAAAAAAAAAAAAAAAAAAGAACAAATTAAAAAATTAGAAGACTAGTCCAGGAGGTCCAATATCTAAATAATAGGAGATTCAGAAAAAGAGAACAGAAAAAAATGGAAAGGAAAAAATCATTCGTTAATATTTTGGTAAGTAATTTGAACAGTTTCCCAGACAAGAATGATGTAAGCTTTTAGACTGACGCATGGTAGATAAAAACAGACATAAATCAAGGCATGTCACTGGGAAACTTTAGAACTGCTGGGATAAAGAAAGGATCTGAGAAGATTAAAGGATACAAAGGATCAAATCAGAATGTCATCAGGCTTCTCAACAGTAATGGCAGAGGCTAGAAGACAAGACAGCAAGGCCTTCAAACATTTGAAGAAAAATAACTACTATCTTAGAATTCTTTTTTTTTGTTGTTTGTTTGTTTGTTGAGACAGAGTCTCGCTCTGTTGCCCAGGCTGGAGTGCAGTGGTGAGATCTCGGCTCACTGCAAGCTCCGCCTCCTGGGTTCACGCCATTCTCTTGCCTCAGCCTCCCAAGTAGTTGGGCCACAGGCGCCTGCCACCACGCCCGGCTAATTTTTTGTATTTTTAGTAGAGACGGGGTTTCACCGAGTTAGCCAGGATGGTCTCGATCTCCTGACCTCGTGATCTGCCCACCTCGGCCTCCCAAAGTGCTGGGATTACAGGTGTGAGCCACCCCACCCAGCCAGAATTCTATACATAGTCAAAATATCAATTAAGGGCTGGGTGTGTTAGCTTACACCTGTAATCCTAGCACTTTGGGAGGCCAATGTGGGCGGATCACCTGACGTCAGGAGTTCGAGACCAGCCTGACCAACATGGTGAAACCCTGTCTCTACTAAAAATACAAACAAATTAGCCGGGCTTGGTGGCGGGCGCCTGTAGTACCAGCTACTTGGGAGGCTGAGGCACAAGAATCACTTGAACCTGGGCGGCGGAGGTTGTAGTAAGCCAAGATCACGCCATTGCACTCCAGCCTGGGCGACACGGCGAGACTCTATCTCAAAAAAAAAAAAAAAAAAAATCAATTGAGTATGAGGATTGAATAAAGACATCTTAGAAAGGCAATGTTCCAGATATTGTATTTCCTATGCACCTTTATTCCTTCATAGTAGGAAGTTGCTAAAAGATATGCTTCACCAAGATAAAGGAGTAAATCAGGAAAGAAGACGTACAGGAAACAGGAGATCCAACATGAGAGAAGTGAAGGGAATTCCCAGGAAGATGGAGAAGTCCCAGGTTGACAGTTTGGCCCCAGTTGTTGAGAACGGTCTAGACTAGGGGTCCCCAACTCCTGGGCTGTGGACTGGTACTGGTCGGTGGCCTGTTAGGAACCGGGCCACACAGCAGGAGATAGATGACAGGTGAGTGAGCATTACTGCCCGAGCTCAGCCTCCTGTCGAATCACTGGTGGCATTAGATTCTCACAGGGGCATGAACCCTACTCTGAACTGCACATGCGAGTGGTCTAGGTTGCATGCTCCTATGAGAATCTAATGCCTGATGATCTAGGGTGGACCAGTTTCATTCCAAAACCATCCCCCATTGTCTGTGGAAAAATTGTCTTCCATGAAACCGGTCCCTGGTGCCAAAAAGGTTGGGGACTGCCGATCTAGACTGAAGTATGTTGGAGAATCTGGGAGAGATTTTGTGAAGATTGGATTGATAAGATATGTGATGCTCTGACTGTCTTAAGAGGATGTTTGTATAATTAAGTGAGTTTGTGTTTGAATTAGTGATAAGCATCAATAATAATAATAAAATTTTAATCCAGGGAAGCAAAGAGTGGCTAGGATAGGAAAAGTCATTATAGTTTGATGCATGGCTTAGTTTAGTATTTTCATGGTTGTAATCATATAAATGCTCAACAAAGAGCTAACAAAAATTATGATATAACCAGATTAGAAAGATAAGCAGATGAGAAGGGTGTGTGTGTTTTTCCTGAGAATAAGAGAAGGAAGGACAGCCAAATTCTTCATTTGCAAAGGGATAAGCCAATAGATGAATGCATAAAGCTGAAAAATCAAGGAAAGCAATATAAGCATTTTATTTAGAGATGTAGAGGTTACTGACAATAGCATTAGCTAAGATAATTGAAAGTGGTGTTTCTGGAGAAGAGGCAAGGAGCAACTACTATTTGTGTTAATGAACATTGTAGAATTGTTTGGCTCTATAAAATTCATGCTTGTATTACTTTAATAAAAGTTAAAGTAAAAATATAAATAAACAGCAAAAAGCTTGCATAGCACGCCACTCTAAACTAATAAATGAAACTAAGTGATGAACATTTTATAGCATCTGATTTCAATCAGCATCATTTGAAGCGCTTTGAGTGCAGAGTCAGCTCAGCATCTATCCCGGAAGAAAAGCTCGGCCCTGGTGCTGACAGACACAGAGAGGAAATGGAAAGCAGCACCCCGCGGAGTGGCAGAGGGCATGGCTGGATAGGAGCATCTGTCTGCGTTCATCATTAGACGCCAGATGTAACCTGGAGTTTCAGCATTAAATGTTTATATGAAATGATGCCGAGGTGGAAATTTTGCCTTATAAAGTAGCTTATCTTGGGAACAGAGAGTACTATAAAAAGATGAATAAACGATTAAATCAAGGTCCAGACATGAGCTGATTTTTCTTAAAAGCAGTATCTTTACAACTTCAGAGTTTGAACTCTCTGATGTGGAACCAAGCCAAAAATAGCACAAAGAAAATATTGACCATGAGAGTGGTGACCTGGCAAGCTCAACACTGTCCACCTGTTAATCACTTGTCCCTGTTGATTTCAGCTTATGACTGCATACTTTCTAGCCTAATCCTACTGTTGGTATACTCAGGTGCAATAGAAGTTAAAGAGTGAATAAATCAACCTACTAAAAGAGATTCATGGGCACGGGGTGGGTGGAGAACAAACATATTACATTCCAAAATTCCTATGGCTCAAAGGATCAACTACTAAACAAAGCATGTACACCTGAGCCACTGTGGGAGCCAGCATGAAACACTTCCAAGGAATGAATTCAAGGAATGCAATTAATTCCCAAGCTCTTTTTCCCCAAAACTCTATTTTTGTTTCAAGCTAGCATTCCCATACTCTGTTCAGACTTTAATTCCATACTGTAATCTGTCCAGCTTTGGTAACCACCCAGCTGTAATTTGAACTGGCTGGTCAACAAACCAAACACCATCAAAGATTCTCATTTGTCTTGCTAAAGTCAAAAACACTGAAGATATTTAAATGTAAATATAATCTTTTACTGATCACACAATCTCAGGGAACTTTTCCCCCTTTGCATAGTGTCACAATTGGGGTTCAAATTGTGAAGACCAAATGTGTAACTTATACAAAAGTAATCACAATAGTTTGTTGCAATAGAAATGAGCTGTTCTGTGCATTGCTGACAAGCCACTTTTTAAAGTTTACTTTTAAATGTATGTATAGTAAAATTCACTCTTTTTGGTGCACAGTTCTTCAAGTTTTAACACATACATAGATTCAAGTAATTACCACCACAGAGAGGATACAGGACAGCTCTATCATCCTATACACCCTCGTGCTGCCCCACCTGGAATCCCTGGGAACCACTGATCCATCCTCTGTCCCTAGTCCGACCTTTTCCAGAGTGTCATATAAATGAAGTAATTTGGGATGTAGCCTCTTGTGCCTAGCTTCTTTCACTTAGCATAATATATTTGAGATTCACCCATATTATCGTATCATATTGATACAGCTCTGATGAATGGAGGAATACCAGGTTCTTCCTCTCGAGTTGAATTGGAAAAAACGACACGGACACACCTGGTGTGATTTTAAGGAGCAGAGAGTTTAATAGGCAAGAAAGATGGGAGAAGTCAGAAGGAAGAAGCTCCTCCATACAGAGACAGAGGGAGGGGGGCTCCAAAGCTGAAAGAGGAGACCCCACATGCCAGGATACCAGCCAGCTATATGAAGAGGCTGGAGGAGATGGTGTTTGATTTGCACAGGGCTCAGGGGATTGGTTTGACCAGGTAAGTCATTCATGTAGCCCTCGAAAAAAACTGACCCTCCCACCCTAGTCTTTTAATATGCAAATGCAGGGTGCCATGATGTTCTACATACTTGGGGATATGTGGGGGCAGCCATGTTGCCAGGAACGTGTGGGGCAAGGGCAAGAGGACAATGATGGGAATCGCCATGTTGGGTGGATCCAGTTTCTAATGGCTGGCGTTTGCATACTAAAGGTTGCCAGCTCAGCTCTAAGAGCCGGAGCTTTTCTGCTAGACAAGAAACGTTTTTGGAGGTGCTTTAAAAGAAATGAAAACTTCCCAAGGACCCCTTCTCCTCTCTATCTGCCTAAAATAATTTCTTAGTAACTCCTACAACAATATGTTTATGAATGCATGTGTGTATATACATGCATGTTTGTGTGTGCTTATATGTATATGTAACATATACATGATATATAACTTTATTATCATATATATAAGCTTTTAATTTTGAGGTAATTATAGAGTCAGAGGAAGCTGCAAAGACAATACCAAGTGGTCCCTTGTACCCTTCAGCCAGTTTCCTCCAATGGCTACATCTTATACAATTACAGCATGCCATCAGGAGCAGGACATTGATGCTGACATTGTAGGAGTGGAGGGAAAACTGCCGCTTTGCCCTCTGAATGTTTGCTGAAAATCAACTGACAGAAGGCAGATTAATAGGAGAAAAGGGATTATGGTGGCTCACACTTGTAATCCCAGCACTTTGGGAAGCTGAGGCGGGTGGATCGCTTGAGCCCAGGAGTTTGAGACCAGCCTGGCCAACTATGGTGGAATCCCGTCTCTACGAAAAATACAAAAATTAGCCAGGCGTGGTGGCGCGTATCTGTAATCCCAGCTACTGGAGAGGCTGAGGCAGGAGAATTGCTTGAGCCTGGGAGGCGGAGGTTGCAGTGAGCCAAGACGGGACCACTGCACTCCAGCCTGAGCAACAGAGTGGGACTCCGTCTCAAAAAAAAAAAAAAAAAGGAGGAAAGGCATGCACATTTATTTAATCAGAGTTTTATGTGACATAAGAGCTCAAAGATACAGGGGAAACCATCCATTTTTATGCTTAGGTATGGGCAGCCGTGTAGAGATACTATTGGACAAAAAGGGTAACATCTAATGCTGAGAGACTGAGTAGGGAAACCCGGCGAGGCCTGTCTGTCCGGATTCTTCTTGGCCTCTCTGGGCAGCATTCTTTCTTTCTGGGTGTGGGGCAGGGCCCTCTCTGGAATGGGGTTCTCATGACCTAAAGTCAAACAAGGTGGGTCAGATAATTTCCTTATGTCCAGTTTTTACACAGAAAGGCCACTTGGGTAGGAGGGATTCTAGTTTCCATGACTAGCTTCAGGGGAGAATCAGGGGCCAGTGACAGGAAGACCGGAGAAGGTGAGAGAGAGCTGCTTCTGAGGTCTCCCTTTGGGGTGCCGTTTTCTGAGCCCCAACAATATCATGTTTGCCATTTTATCACATGTGCACGTTCCCATAACCCCACCTCAACCAGTATCAGAACCGCCTCCACCACCACTGACATCTACCCCGTGCGTCGCCTCTGTAGTCTCTCTACTCCTTCCTTCCCCGCCACTTATAGTCCCTGGAAATCACTAATCTGTTCTCCAATTCAAAAATGTTACCTAAGTGGAATCACACAATATGCAACCTTTGAGATTTGTTGATTTCACTTAGTGTAACACCCTTGAGAAGTTGCTGTATGTATTCCTAGTTCATCCCTCTTTATTACTGGGTATATCTCATTGTATGTATTTTCCAGTTCGATTTCACATTCACCTGTTAATGGACAGTTGGATTGCTTCCAGTGTTTGGCAATTATGAATAAAGCTGCTATAAATATTTGCATACAGATTTTTATGGAAACATACATTTTCATTTCTCTTGGGTGATACCTAGGAGAGGAATGGCTGAGTCATATGAAAAGTGAATGTTTATCTTTAAAAGAAACCACTAAGCTGTTTTCCAAACTGGTTGCACTATTTGCACTCCCCAGCAATGTGTGAGGGTTTTACTTAGCTGCTTCCCATCTGTACCAGCACTTGGTAATGTCAGGGGTTTTGTTTTTGTTTTTAGACATTCCGCTAGGTGTAAAGAGGTATCTCCTTGTTTTAATTTGCATTTATCAGGATAAATTTGAAATAAGAAAAAAGAAACCTCACTTTGAAGGGATATTACCTTGATTTCCCTACTTCATGTTTGTATTATTACTTAGCAGAGAATCTAATAAAGATTCTGAGGAGTTGCCTCTCCCCGCAACCGCCCCCACCCCAGCCTCAGAAACCTGAAAATGGAAGTCATCAAGACAGTTGTCTGCTGTTTTCAACAACGGATAATCACTGCTGTCAACTAGTTTGTAGGCTGAGTGAGAAAAAAAAAAAAAAGCTGATCTAGTTCATTATAATTTACTTTAAATAAAAAAGCAATTTTTCTTCTAACTTCACACAAAATGTGTATTCTAGAGGCACTGTGTGAATATAATTTATATTCCTTGAATTTCATTCCAAGAGCACTGGAAATGCTTGATGTTTTGAGGACTTTACAGAGGAATTCATCTGTTATAAAAGGAAACTGCCAGGTGTGATGGCATGCACCTGTGTTCCCAGCTACTCAGGAGGCTGAGGTGGGAGGACTGCTTGAGCCTGGGAGATCCAGTGAGATGTGATCTCACCACTGCACTCCAGCCTGAGCAGCATAGCAAAACCCTGTCTCTAAAAAACACAAAACAGAGAATCAGCAGGGGTTCTTCTGAATCTGGGTCCAGGGGGCTGCTGGCCTTTCCCTGCCCTTATTCCCATCTGAGAACTGCTCCACGTGGTACCACTTCCAGGCTGGTCCCTGAGGAGACTGGTAGAGCTCACAGCATCACCAAGGAGAAACCTCAGTTGGGATAGAGCTAAGAGGTACCAGAACCCAGAGAGAATCTGAAGTCAGGCAGCCACACATCCTGCAGACAGGACAGATCAGGGCCTGCATCAAGAACTCAAAACTATGGCCAGGTGCCTTGGCTCACACCTGTAATCCCAGCACTTTGGGAGGCCGAGGTGGGCAGATCACAAGGTCAGGAGTTCAAGACCAGCCTGACCAATATGGTGAAACTCCGTCTCTACTAAAAATACAAAAATTAGCTGGGTGTGGTGGCCCGCACCTGTAGTCCCAGATACTCAGGAGGCTGAGGCAGGAGAATTGCTTGAACCCGGGAGGCGGAGGCTGCAGTGAGCCAAGATCATGCCACTACACTCCAACCTGGGCGACAAAGCCAGACTCTGTCGGGAGAAAAAACAAAACAAAACAAAAAAAACCCTCAAAACTAAGGGGCCTGGGGGCTGTGCTGGATACCGGACACAAACAGAAAATTCTGTGGGGTGAGATAAACAGAGACAATTTGCCCTCACTTCTCATTTCCTCATGGGGATAAATGATTTAGGGTGGGGGCTATCTCTCCATATGGCTCAGACAGAAGTATTCTCCAATAATTGGAGGGAGAGGAGTGTCTTTTGAAATAAAAATGGGCAGAGTAGGTAAAAATCACCTTTCTCATGGGACACTAAACAATTTGGTTTTTGGAAGGTAGTATTCGTGGTAATGAGGTGAGGGTAAGTTATTCTTAGGTAAATTCCAGAGGCTACCAGCAGCTGGTTGTAAGTGGGGAGATGGTGTGGAGATAAAGCCTCCACAGGCTCGCTCTCTCCCCTCTTCTCTTACAGAACCTGGGCTCCTCCCAGCCCTCTCAAAGCCAGCAGAAGCCAGACAGCCAAAGCACAGCAATAGGACGGCAAAGCCCCAGCTGCAGTCAGCAGACTCCAGGGGAAGGCATAAGAGACAGGGCATTAGAGAATTCTTTGGCATTAGAGAAGGGGCCGGATTTCCCTAGGGAAGGCTCTGCGGCTGGGCTGGATGGGCTGCAGCTGTGCGGCACGGGGCAGGGTGGCACTGCGGGTAGAGATTTCTTTAGGTGAAGCCACAGTTCCTTACAATTGCTGATATTGAACACTATGGTGGTTTCCTCTGGGGGCAAGTGACCTTTCCTGGGGGAGGGAGACCCCTTCTCCCAAGGCAGCAGAGGCTACAACAGTCCCATCCCACCCTTGTCATAGAAGGTGAAGGGGTGCACTGGAGTGATCACATGGGGACCCTCGTTTTCCTGCCCTAATTCTAGTTGACTTCATGTATCAGTATTTTTGTCTGAGGTAAAAAGCAACTAGCAATTCAACAGCTTATTTAAACATAGTTGTCTGTGTGAATAGACAACTATGGGAATAGTCCCTCATGGGTCTCTTCTACTTTCCTGCCCCACAGTGCTTGGTGTCTCATTCTGTGAAGGTGGTTAACTCTATTATTTAATACACATTAAGTCCCAGCTTATAACAAAATAACTTTCCTTGAATCGCTGAACCCGGGAGGCAGAGGTTGCAGTGAGTGGAGATCGCACCACTGCACTCTAGCCTGGGCGACAGAGCAAGACTCCATCTCAAAAGAAAAAAAAAAAAGAGATGGATTAAAGACTTAAATGTAAGACCTGAAACTATTAAAATACTAGGAGAAAACCTAGGGAAAACTCGTTTGGACATTGATCTAGGCAAAGAATTCATAACTAAGACCTCAAAAGCACAAGCAACAACAACAACAACAAAATAGACAAATGGGACTTAACTGAAAACCTTCTGCACAGCAAATAATAGTAATAATAATAATAAACAACAGACTGAACAGACAGCCTGCAGAATGGGACAAAATACCTGCAAACTATACATCCAACCAAGAACCACTATCTGGAATTTACAAGGAACTCAAAAACAAATAATCCCATTAAAAAGTGGGCAAAGGGCATAAATTAACATTTTTCAAAAGAAGACATGCAAAAATGGCCAACAAGCATATGAAAACGTGCACAAGTTCGCTAATCATCAGAGAAGTGCAAATTAAAACCATCATGAAATATCATCTTACACCAGTCAGTAGGGGTGTTAAAAAGTCAAAAAATAACAGACGTTGGTAAGGATGGGGAGAAAGGGAATGCTTATACATTTGCTGGGAATATAAATTAGTACAACTTTTATGAAAAACAGTACAGAGATATCTCAAAAGACTAAAAATAGATCTACCATTCCATCCAGCAATCTCACTACTGGGTATCAACTCAAAGACAAATAAATTATTATATAAAAAAGACACTTGTACATTTATGAATTGCAGCACTATTCACAGTAACAAAGATATGGAACCTACCTTAGTGTCCATCATTGCAAGACTGGATAAAGAAAATGTAGTCTGTATATATGCAATGGAATACCATTCAGTCATAGAAAAGAATAAAATCAGCCAGGCGCGGTGGCTCACACCTCCTGTAATCCCAGCACTTTGGGAGGCCGAGGTGGGTGGATCACCTGAGGCCAGGAGTTCGAGACCATCCTGGCCAACACGGAGAAACCCTGTTTCTACAAAAACACAAAAATCAGCTGGACAAGATGGCGCATGCCTGTAATCCCAGCTACTCAGGAGGCTGAGGCAGGAGAATCGCTTGAACCTGGGAGGCAGAGGTTGCAGTGAGCTGAGATTGCGCCATTGCACTCTAGCCTGAGTAACAGAGTGAGACTCCATCTCAAATAAATAAATAAATAAATAAATAAATAAAATAAAATTCCATCCTTTTGTAGCAACATGGATGGAACTGGAGGCCATTATCTAAAGTGAAACAACTCAGAAACAGAAAGTCAAAAACTGTATATTCTCACCTGTAAGTGGGAGCTAAATAACGTGCACACATGGAAGAGAGTGTGGAATGATAGACACTGAAGACTTGGGTAGGGGCACAAGCAGGGAGGTTGATGAGAAATTACTTAATGGGTGCAATGTACATTATTCCCATGATGGATACACTAAAAACCAAGACTTCACCACTATACAATATATACATGCAACAAAATTGCACTGTAATTCCAGTACTTTGGGAGGCCTAAGTGTGAGGATTGCTTGAGCCCAGGAGTTCAAGACCAGCCTGGGCAACATAAGTCTAGATGTTGCTTGGCTCACAGGCAGTTCCTTTATATAGAGTCCTTCCAGGTCCAAGGAGTACCCAGGGAGGCCAGCCCCAACCTGAGTCATCCTGAGAGCCACACCAACTTCCTAGGGAAGCCCTCCAACCAGGGCCTGCTTGACCACTATGGGCTTATTCAGGAGGGGGTCCCACAGCCACCCCTGCCCTAGTAATCACAGATTCTAGCATCTTGGAAAAGTGCCTGCTGAGCCCCCAGCTCATGCACTGTAAAGTGAAGCCAGTGTTCCAAGAAGCCCAGTCTGCAAGAATGATGAAAGCTGATGCTATTTTAGGGAACTGAGATGTGTCTTTCTGTCAAAAGAATACGATACAAATGACCCTTCTGTGGCAAGATCACTAAGAATAAGCAGTTACGGAGAAATTTTCAACTCTTGAAAGACTAATGGATGTAGAAGTGAAAAAATAGACTAAGGCCTCCCATCTGCCCACTGGTGATGTGTGTGGGCAGACACGGTTACTTCTCGCCACCTCTACAAAGTGCCACTGAGGTGTGAAATAGCAGCATTTCGAGATTAGCTTTTTGTCGGGCATGGTGCCGTATGCCTGTAATCCTAGCCCTTTGGGAGGCTGAGGCAGGAGGATCGCTTGAGCACAGGAGTTCAAGAGATTAACTTCTCCCCCAGAGTGAGGTTGTTGCATCTTTGTATGGTACTGAGGGTCCGGCTCCCCCACCCGGATCTAGGTGTGTTTCAGTCTTTGGATTCAGTGGCTGGATTTTTGTGTGAGCAGCAAGGGGTCACTGAATTCTCTCTTCAGCATGCCCCTCTACATCAAGAGTCAACAAATTCTGTAAAGAACCAGTTAGTAGGCCGGGCGCAGTGGCTCACACCTGTCATCTCAGCACTGTGGGAGGCCAAGGCAGGTGGATCGCCTGAGCCCAGGAGTTTGAGACCAGCCTGGGCAACATGGTGGAACCCTGTCTCTACAAAAAAAAAAAAAAAAAAAAAAAAAAAAAAAATTAACCAGGCATGCTGGCGCACACGATGTCCCAGCTACTTAGGAGGCTGAGGCGGTAGGATCACTTGAGCCCAGGAGGTCAAGGCTGCAGTGAGCCAAGATGACACCACTGCATTCCAGCTTGGGTGATAGAGTGAGACCCTGTTTCAAATTTAAAAAGAGAAAAAAAAGTTGGGGAGGAAGGGGTAGCTATCTATATTTTGGCCTGCAGGCTATAGTTTGCTCACCTCTTCTCCAGAGTCAAAGAGATGAAAAAATTTACCCCTTTTCACTATTTTTGGGTGATGTCTGGTCATTTTCATTCAACAAGTACTTATTGAGCAGTCTACTATTATGCCAGGCTCCATTATGTGAGTTTGGGATACAACAGAGAAGAAGATATACAAAGATCTCTGCCTCATGGAATTAGCAAGGCAAGACGTGTTCAAGGAACAGCAAGGAAACCAGTGTGACTAGACGGAAGGATTTGAGGGTCAGGGAAGAATTGTCAAAAATATGTCCTTTAGTAGATGAGAAAGATAGAATTTGGCACACAGAAGGAGGTTTTAGCGTTAGGTAGCTTTAGATAGTTGCTTAGAGGAGGGCCATTTCTGGACTTGCTCTCTTGCTATAAACAATTAGAAAATTAGGAAAGAATGTAATGCCTGAGAGAAGAGAAATAAATGAGTGAACCCTGCAGTCATCCAGAGATTCTGCCTGGAGGCATATTCCCTTGTGCAAGACAAGGAGGGAGAACTCAGGTAGAGCAAGGCAGACTTATTGAGTAGAGATAAACCAGAGTCAGAAGAGGCCGAGGCATCTGGAATTTGCAGGATGGAGTGCCAGCGAGGGGGATACTATAAAGATAAAGTCTTCATAAATCTGTTGGGTGGGGGTCCTCCTGAATCTGAATAGTAAACTGTGGATGCCCAGAGTCGACCTCCACAATGTTGGATGAGGAACGATCGCGAGCTATGAACTGAACAATTCTCAGGACTCACACGCGGGTGGGAGAGGTTTGAGTTATGATCAGTTAGGGTGGAAAGACTTCATTGCGCTCTCATAGCATTCAACAGAGACCTCAGAAGGGTTACACCTTAGTAGTAAAGGTTAACTATTAATCCTCAGTTATTCACTAAAGTAAAGGCTACTCTAGAATTGCCCTAGCAAATCTTTTTTTTTTTTTTTTTTTTTTTTTTTTTGAGGCAGAGTCTCCCTCTGTCGCCCAGGCTGGAGTGCAGCGGCGCGATCTCGGCTCACTGCAAGCTCCGCCTCCCGGGTTCACGCCATTCTCCTGCCTCAGCCTCCCGAGTAGCTGGGACTACAGGCGCCCGCCACCACCTCTGGCTAATTTTTTGTATTTTTAGTAGAGACGGGGTTTCACTGTGTTAGCCAGGATGGTCTCCATCTCCTGACCTTGTGATCTGCCCGCCTCGGCCTCCCAAAGTGCTGGGATTACAGGCGTGAGCCACCGTGCCCGGCCCCTGGCAAATCTTAAATGCATGATGCAAAAGGATCAAGAAAGTAACTTTACCTATCAAAATAAACTTTAACACTCTTCAAAGAAAAACAATAAAATCTAGGCTTTCAACAAAACCAACATTTAATAAAAAGCTACTAGACATGTGAGGAAGCAGGAAAACATAGCCAATACCAGGAGAAAAAATAGTCAATATAATCATACCCAGAAATGACGGAAGTGATGGTGTTTGCCAACCAAGACATTAAAAGAACTCTTATAACAGCTCAAACATCAAAGAAAAACATGACTATAATGAGGAGAGAAATAGAAGACATAAAAAAGAATCAAACATAACTTCTAGAATTAAAAAATATGATACTGTAAATAAAAAATTTACTAGATGGGCTTTATAGCAGATTAAACTGTATATTTAAAACAGATCAGTTAACATGAAGACATAGTAATGGAAGCTATCCAAACAGGAGCACAGAGAGAGAAATACATGTTGCGGGGAGAAAACTAACTTAGCTTTAGTGACCTTATGACAATATAAAACAGTCTAATGTATTTACAATTACAGTCTCAGAGAGGAAGGGAGGTAAAAAATATTTGAAGAAATGGTGGCAGAAATGTTTCCATATTTAATATAAACTCTAAACCCACATATTTAAGGAGTTCCACTAACCTCAGGCAGGATAAATTTTTAAAAATCAGGCTAAGGCACATCATAATCAAATGTTGAAAACATAAGGAGAAAAAGTATTAAAATAGCCAAATTAAAAGATGTCAGATTTCTCATCAGAAACAATGCAAGTCAGAAGACAATGGAATGGAATCCCTAAGATGCTGAAAGAAAAAATCTGTCACCTCTGAATTCTATATTCCAAGAAAATATCATTAAAAAGGAAGCAAAATACTTTCAGACAAGCAAAAGCTGAGAGAATTTGTTGACAGAAGAGTTGTAATGCAAGAAATATTAAAAGATTCTTTTTTAGGCTAAAAAAGAAAGGATGCCAGATGATAACTTGGATCCATAGGAAAGAAAAAAGAGTGCCAGAAATAGTAAACATATAGGTAATCATAAAAAGTTTTTTCTAGTTTTCAAAATTTTATTAAAATATATTTGCTTAAAAAAAATAATAACCGTGTATTGTTAGTTTTATAACATATATAGAAATAAAATGCATAACAGTAATAATCCAAAGGACAAGAAGGAGAAAATGAAAGTATATTATTGTAAGTTTCTTATCTTTTATGGGAAGTGTTATAATATTATGATAAACCCTAGAACAACCACTAAAAAACCTCAAAGAGATATAAGTAATAACCAATGGATAATGTATTAAAAATATATTAATCCAGAAGATGGAAAAAAGAAACACAAAGAATGGATAGAACAAATATTAAGATGGTGGACCTAAACTCAACCATACTGACAGTGGCATTAGGTGTAAAGGGCCTTGGCTCTCCAATAAAATGACAAAGACCAAAAAGCAATATCCAGATATATGCTGTTTATAAGAAATGGAGTTTAAAAATAAAGATATTTGAGGTGATAGATATGCTGATTAGCCTGGTCTGATTATTTCATAATGTATGCACGTATCAAAATATCACATTGTACCCCATAAATATGTACAACTATTATTTGCCAATTAAAAATTAAACTATAAAAATAAATTCATACCTATAAAGATATAGATGGGTTAAAAGTAAAAGGATGAAAAAGGACATACCAAGCAAATGCTAATCATATAAAATCTGAAGTGACCACATTAACTGATGCAAAGTAGACTTCAGGATAAGGAATCTTTCCAGGGATAAAGAGAAATATCTCATAATGATAAATAAGTCAATTCTTCAAAAAGACAATAAATAGCCCTAACTGTGCAGACATCTAATAACAGAGTTTCAAGATAGATGAGGCAAAAATGGGTGGAACTGACAGGATGAATAAGCAAGTCCTCAGTTACAGCCAGAGACTTCAACACTCCTCTTGATAACCTTAGATCAAGTAGACAGAAAATCAGTATGGCCATAGGAGACTCAAACAACTCTATCAACCAACCACCTTGTCTCATGTGTTTTTTTTTGTTTTGTTTTTGTTTTTGTTTTTGAGACAGAGTCTCGCTGTGTCACCCAGGCTGGAGTTTAGTGGCCCAAACTCGGCTCACTCCAATCTCCACCTCCCAGGTTCAAGCAATTCTTCTGCCTGAGCCTCTCGAGTAGCTGGGACTACAGGTGCGTGCCACCACACCTAGCTAATTTTTTATATTTTTAGTACAGATGGGGTTTCACCATACTGGCTAGGCTGGTCTCGAATTCCTGACCTTGTGATCCACCCACCTCAGCCTCCCAAAGTGCTGGGATTACAGGTGTGAGCCACTGCGCCCAGCCCCAGCCACCTTGTCTTAATTGACATTTATAGAACGCCCCACCTAATGACAGCAGAAAATATATTCTTTTTGAATGTACATTGAATATTCACTAAGTAGAGCACATACTGGGCCATAAAATAAGTCTCAATAAATTTAAAATAACCAAAATTATACAAAATATATTCTCTGACCAAATATCTGAATTTAAATTAGAAATTAACATTTAGGAGATATATGGGAAATCCCTCAATATTTAGAAATCAAACAACTCACTCCTAAATAACCCAAGGGCCAAAGAAGGAATCACCAGGAAAGTTTTTAAAATACTTTGAACTGAATGATCATAAAAGCATCATATATTAAAATCTGTAAGAAGCAGCTAAGTAGTGCATAGAAGAAACATATATTGCTTTAGTGCCAAAGTAGAAAAGAAGAATGATCTAAAAATTATTTAAGCTTCCACCTTAAGAAGCTGGACAAAGAAGAACAAATAAATCCAAGTTACAGATTTAAAGCAGTAATCAAAATAGAAAACTGAAAAACAATGGGGAAAAAACCCCCAGTGAAACTAGAAACTGGTTCTAGATAAACATGTCCAGATAACAGAGTATGTGGGTTCAGATGCTGGGGTGGCTGGAGTGGGTGCATCTGTGGAAGCTCTTTTCTGACTGCCTCAGTAGTCTCAGTGAAATTGGAAGCAAGGGCAGCCACAAGGTAAAGAAAGGAGAGGAGGTGCTGGAGCTTTGAGGGGAAAGGGGAAGTTGCAAAACAGGCCTCTGAAGAGTGTGGAATGGTGATCATAAAAGGTCTCTTGTATGATGGCCTGGTAGCAACTAGGCTCCCGTGACATCCAGTGCACCTTCACACCAGTATTTAATTATATTTAATAACACCTTGTAAAATACAAGTAGGGTAGGTAAGATTGCCCCATTGTATGGACGAAGAAACTGAAATACCAATAGACTGCCTGGCTGGGCCCAAGTCATGAAATCTGTTACTGGTAAATGAAGGTCTAGAATCCAGGCTCTGGGCTCAGCCCTTGGCCAGCCCCTTGCAAGCATCTCTGCAGAATGAGAAGTCAGAGAATTGGCAGAATCATCATTTGCATTTGGGCAGTTGGTAATTCATCCTCCTATATTTGATAGTTGCTTTTTTAAAGTTTGTTTTTAAATAGGCTTTTAAAATAAAACTCCAATCTCCACTTCAAATTTTTAAGACTTCCTTCTGGAGTAAACAGTGTCAGTTCTGTAGGCTTGAGAGATGGTGAGGTCAGTTGGCTAGAAACGTGATATGCAGAGACAGGTATCGTTGGGCTGTATTACTGCATAACTCACTCTGACCTTTATAATTACATTGCTGTTGACAAATGTCAAACAGCACATCTCACCTGTCTCTTGGGGAATTTTTTTTTAAACTTAAGGTCCTTGATAAAAACAGATATTAAAACACCATCTTTAAATTTCACCTTAGCTTCAGACATAATTACTTCCAAAAATTTTAGTAAGCAGTTTAAAATTTGTTTTATTATATTTCCTTAGAGTCTAATTCATATAAAAGGGAAAAAAACACTGGATCAGGTGTCACAGATGTGGGGGTTTCTAATCTCAGGCCTTCCCCTGCTGAATGCAAGACCTCAGCAGGATCTTGTCCCCTGGTGTTTGGGTTTCTTGTCTAAAGGAGGCTGGAGTCCAAGGGCTCGAAGGCCTCTTTCATCTCTTCCATCCCACCATTCTTAACAGCAGCCACACATATGAAACACAAATTCTACCCAATTTACTTGTAGAAGCAATATTTTATCAGTTGCTGAAATCTAATTCATGATGATTCATAAGAATGGATAGATACTTAAAAGTAAGAAAAGGCAATTACATTCTTTGGAAGGAAATGACAAAGTAGGAAATGAATATTACTGCTGATTAATTCAACATATATTTATTATGTGTCTCCTATGTGCTAGGTATGGCTCTGGGCACTAAAGACATAGCAGCAAATAACACAAATAGACATTCTTTCACTGATCGCCTTTTAGTGGGAGCAGGTAGTTGATAAGGGAATAAGTAAAATGTGGATGATAAGTGCTAAAAGGAAAAACAAAACGTGGAAAGGAAATAGGGAATAATTCTGGTGTAAGGCCTAAAATTAAGGCTCAATATTAAGTGCTGCCTTGACATCTGGTGGAACTGAGAGGACCTTGAATGACTGTTAGAAATGCTTGTTCCCCGGTGCCATAAAGAAATAGCACATTTAATTTCCTCAGCAAGGCCATTTTTACTTTCTGCAGAAAGGGTACACTCACCAGGAATTTTGCCACGTGAGTACACCGAACAAAGGAGATAGGGTCATTTATAATCTGACATGTCCACCCTACTGCTATGTCCGGTTTCCGTTGGCTAGAACGGGACCTCACATTCTGTATTTGTCCTGACTGGCTAGCAACTTAGAACTTTTTAAAAGAGGCAAAGGCAGAGGAGAACAAAGGAAGGAGAAAGTAACTTGTGGAATGCCGAGAAAGGTAAAAACACCTTCAAATAAGGAAGAGGAACAGGCTATGACCTAATGCTTGCTTGGACCAGTATAAATAAGCATGCTAGGGCAAATATTTAGGCTAAATTGTGGGGGCTAAGAACATGAAGTACATTTATTTCCTTATTACGCCTAGCAGATATTTAAGAACATTAGCACAAGTCTTTGAATCAATTTTGCTTCTGAGAGAAGTTACTATTTATTCCTAATTAGATGGGGAGGAAAGTCTTTGAAGAAGAACCTCTACTTTACTTTTTACGATGACCTAACTTCAAGGTCCCCTCCCCACTCTGCTTCCCTGGGTAAGGCCTCTTACCCAAAGAACCCTCCTTATCAAGGGGTCAGGTTCAGCTCCTGCTCATCCCTGAGTAGGGGGCTTCAGTTCCCCACCAGCCCATGGAATTATTCAAACAAGCCAATCACACCTTCCTTTGGGAACAGGGGTCACTCACCACCTTGATACTACAAAACCTGCCTCCCCCAGCCCCTCAATCTTCCCTCTGTTACAGAGTGCAGTCCCGTGTGTGTGTGGCATCCTTTTCCTCCAGGCTGTGACTACATGTGACTAATGAATTGCTGCTGATCTCACCTTTCCAGTGTCAAGTGTCAAGTGCTTGGCCATCCGGTAACCCCAGGGTGGGAACCCCTCCCTCACCAATAGGGTGAGTAACAGGCCGTGGACATGGCCGTGAAGTGGGGTTCCAATTTGGGATGATGAACACGTGGCCAGTTAGCTGGTCTCAGCAAACTCACCTTGAAATGGTCCTGGACATATGTTAAAGGTAGAACTGACAGAATTTGAAAGCAAATTGGATATCTTGTAGGATGGAAATGGATAGAGACGATACAATGTTTGAGTGTACTTAGTGTCAAAACTTGTGTACTTAGTGTCAAAACTTGTGCACTTAGAAATGGTTAAAATGGTCAATTCTATATTACATATATTTTTCCACAATAAAAATATTATTAAAAAGACAATGATGAAGGGAAAGAGTAACATTTTCAATAGGATGATAAGGAAAGACCTTCCAGAGGAGTTGACATTTGGACAAAGATCAGAAGAGGGAGCAAGCCATCTGCGTATCTGTGGGGCAAGTAAGAGCAGGTGCAAACCTGAAGCCAAGCGCGTAACTGGACGTTCAAGGAATAAGCAGGACCCATGAGGAGCAAGCAAGAGGAGAGGATGAAATGAGCTCAAAGATGTGCCTGGGAATGGAATGGGGTCACCACAATGCCTAGCAGGCCTTTGTAAGAACCTTGGCTTCACTTGGCTGAGGCGTAAGCACAGATGTAGCATAACCTGACTCAAATGCTACAGGATCACTCTGACTGCTCTGTTGGGTATAGACTGTAGAGGCAAGGGTAGAAGTAAGACCAGTTAGTTGCTGTTCCAAAATCCAGCTGAGAGTGGAGGCTGGCTGGGACTAGGGTGGTGGCACAGGCGATGATGATAAATGGTTCTGGATATATTTTAAAGATAGAACTGACAAGATTTGAAGGCAAATTGGATATCGTGTATGAGAGACAGCAGGAAGAGGATGAGTTGCCCTTAATAGAAATGGGGACAACAACAGGGCGAGCAATTAGCAGAGGAGGAGAACAGGACCTCTGCTGCATTCTAATAGCTAGCAATGAGTCACTAAGTCCAGCCCGCAATTGTGGGGTGGAGGGAATTAAGCTCTGCCTCTTAAAGAAAGGGTCATTAAACCACCACAACATAGGAGGTAAGATAATACAAGGCACATCAGCATGTTTTTGCAATAAACTTGAAGAATGAGCCAGGCATGGTGGCTCACACCTGTAATCCCAGCACGTTGGGAGGCTGAGATGAGAGGATCGCTTGAGCCTGGGAGGATGAAGCTGCAGTGAGCTGTGATCATGCCACTGCACTCTAGCCTTGGCAACAGAGCAAGACCCTGTCTCAAAAAAACCCAAAAAACAAAAAACAACTTGAATAATAGATACCTCGAATGAGTTTGCTGAGACCATCTGACTGACCACAGGTGGAGCAAACCATTGTCTGCATGGGACACCTCTGGGCTCATCACTGTGGACACAGTTTTTCCTCCAACAGGGAATATGGCAAGACACACATAAAAGGAGAGCCTGTAAAAACTGACCTGAAAACGTGTGAGTTCCTGGAAAACACACTTCATGGTGAGAAGCCATTTTAAAACCACACACATTCAGAGCTCGCTAGCACATTAAATAACAGAATAATCTCTGGCTCCGCAAGAGGAAAAATAAAGTACTGTGAGAGGAAGCCTACTTACTGTTTGTTAATCAAGTTCAGCATGGATTGGAAGTTGGATTTCTAGTTTTTTCTTTTCCTTTTTTTTTTTTTTTTTTTTTTTTTTGAGACAGAGTCTCATGCTGTTGCCCAGGCTAGAGTGCAGTGGTGTGATCATGGCTCACTGCAGCCTCAACCTTTCCGGGCTCAGGTGATCCTCTCAACTCAGCCCCTTGGGTACCTGGGACTACAGGTGTGCTTCACCATACCTTGCTTGGAGGGATGTCATGCTACTGTTAGATCAAACCCTGGCCTTTAATGAAAAGAATGCAGCTTTAGCTGCAGCCCGAGAGTTCGGAGATACCTGGTATCTTAGTCAAGTAAGCGATAGAAATGACAGCCAAAGAAAGGGACAAATTCCCTACTGGTCAGCAAGCTGGATGGCGCACTGCCCCAGAGTGCAATGGTTCTCTGTGCCAGAAGCCCCCGACCAGATGATCCAACAACAGGACTGAGGGTGCCCAGGGCAAGCACCAGCACATGTCATCACTCTCACGGGAGCCCCAGCTATGCATAACCATTGAGGGCCAGGAAATTGACTTCCTCCTGGACACTGGTGCCGCCTTCTCAGTGTTAATCTCCTGTCCTGGACAGCTGTCCTCAAGGTCTGTTACCATCCGAGGAATCCTGGGACAGCCTGTAACCAGATATTTCTCCCACCTCCTCAGTTGTAATTGGGAGACTTTGCTCTTTTCACATGCCTTTCTTGTTATGCCTGAAAGTCCCACACCCTTATTAGGAAGGGATATTTTGGCCAAAGCTGGAGCTATTATCTACATGAATATAGGGAACAAGTTACCCATTTGCTGTCTCCTACTTGAGGAGGGAATCAACCCTGAAGTCTGGGCATTGGAAGGAACAAACTCAAGCTCCAGCCTTAAGCCTTCCCACAGAATGAAACTTTTCTTTATACGTCACAGAGAGAGCAGGGATAGCTCTAGGAGTCCTTACTCAGACTCATGGGACAATCCCACAACCAGTGGCACACCTAAGTAAGGAAACTGATGTAGTAGCAAAAAGCTGGCCTCACTGTTTATGGGTGGTTGCAGTGGTGGCTGTCTTAGTGTCAGAGGCTATCAAAATAATACAAGGAAAGGATCTCACTGTCTGGACTACTCATGATGTAAATTCATACTAGGTGCCAAAGGAAGTTTATGGCTATCAGACAACCGCCTACTTAGATACCAGGCGCTACTCCTTGAGGGACCGGTGCTTCAAATACACAAATGCGTGGCCCTCAACCCTGCCACTTTTCTCCCAGAGGATGGGGAACCAATCGAGCATGACTGCCAACAAATTATAGTCCAGACTTATGTTGTCCAAGATGATCTTTTAGAAGTCCCCTTAGCTAGTCCTGACCTTAACCTATATGCCGATGGAAGTTCATTTGTGGAGAATGGGATATGAAGGGCAGGTTATGCCATAGTTAGTAATGTAACTGTACATTACTGTACATTGAAATTAAGCCTGTTTCCCCAGGTACCAGTGCCCAGTTAGCAGAACTAGTGGCACTAACCCAAGCCTTAGAACTGGGAAAGGGAAAAAGAATAAATGTGTATACAGATAGCAAGTATGCTTATCTAATCCTACATGCCCATGCTGCAACATGGAAAGAAAGGGAGTTCCTAATCTCTGGGGGAACCCCCATTAAATACCACAAGGAAATTATGGAGTTATTGCATGCAACGCAAAAACCCAAGGAGGTGGCAGTCTTGCACTGCCAAAGCCATCAGAAAGGTGAAGGAGAAAAGGCAGAAGGAAACTGTCAGGCAGATGCTAGGCCAAATTGCTGCCAGGCGGAACCTCCCATTAGAAATACCTACGGAAGGACCCTTGGTATGGAACAACCCCCTCCAAGAGATTAAGCCAGTATTCCCTGACTGAAACAGAATGGGGACTTTCACGGAGGCATAGTTTTCTCCCCTCGGGGTGGTTAATGACAGAAGGAGGAAAGGTACTTCTACCTGAAGACAGCCAGTGGAAAATACTTAAAATCCTCCACCAAACTTTTCATATGGGTATTGAAAACACTCATCAAATGGCCAAATCCCTATTTACAGGGCCAAATCTCCTCCAGACCATCTGACAGGTAGTCAAAGCCTGTGAGGTGTGCCAAAGGAATAATCCCTTGGTCCATCATAAGGCCCCTTTCGGGGAACAAAGAATAGGTCCCTATCCTGGAAAGGACTGGCAGTTAGACTTCACCCATATGCCTAAGTCAAAGGGATTTCAATACTTGTTGGTCTGTGTTGATACCTTTACAAATTGGATAGAAGCTTTCCCCTGCAAGACAGAGAAGGCTCAGGAAGTCATTAAAGTCCTAACACGTGAAATAATTCCTACATTTGGGCTTCCCCAAAGCTTACAGAGTGACAATGGTCCGGCTTTTAAAGCCACGATAACTCAGGGAATTTCCAGGGTACTAGGGATACAATATCACGTTCACTGCGCCTGGAGGCCACGATCCTCAGGGAAGGTCAAGAAGGCAAATGAAACACTCAAGAGGCACTTAAGGAAACTAACACAAGAAACTCACCTCCCATGGCCTACTCTTTTGCCCATGGTCTTTTTGAGAATCCAAAATTCTCCTCACAAAATGGGGCTGAGTCCATATGAAATGCTGTATGGGCGACCTTTTCTCATAAATGACCTCCTACTTGATCAGGAAATGGCCAACTTGGTCAAAGATATAACTTCTTTGGCAAAATATCAACAAAACCTTAAAAACCTACCTGAAGGATGTCTCAGAGAAAAGGGAACAGAGTTGTTTCAACCAGGGGATCTAGGGTTGGTCAAATCTCTCCCCTCTACCTCCCCATCCATGGGCTCTTTGTAGGAAGGACCATACTCGGTAATCCTCTCTACCCCCACTGCAGTTAAAGTGGCAGGAGTGGAATCTTGGATTCACCACACCCAAGTTAAACTTTGGACATCCCCTGAGGAACCTGCGGGATCATCAGCTCAGGAGTCCCAAGATCAGCCAGACCAGCCTCCATACACCTGTGAACCGTTGGAGACTTGCATCTCCTATTTTGGAAGGAAACATCCCAGACTAAAAAGGCTCCTACCACTGATCCTGAAGAAAAATCCCTTCCTCCTTAAAAAAGATAAGTGAAAATCTACATAATCTTTATCTGTAACACCTCTCTCTACCCCTTTAATGGAATCCTTTTACTATTTCATCATATTATTAAACAGCATATTAACCATACTCTTTGCGATAGGTCTATATACTGTAGCTCCTGCTGGGACAAAAATCCTAATCACATCAACCTCCTTTCTATCTTTCTTCCTTCTGACAGCAATTTACTCCTACCTTTAACTCAGCCTGGATAAAATGATCTCGTCTTCCAGAGCACCCTCTTTACCTCCCTATTTACTCTTTGCCTGTCTATCCCTCCTGCTTCCTTGGATACCTCATACAATCACCCCTCCCCTTCCACTAGCTCCTAATTACCTCTACAAGACTGTCAACTTAACCCACTGTCTGTTAAACCAGTCCAATCCTTCCCTGGCAAATGACTGTTGGCTTTGTATCTCTCTATCAACCTCTGCTTACGTTGCCACTCCCATTCCCGCAAAAAACGGTCTTTACCAACTTAACCTACCACCCTCATTATGAAGGAAAAGACCCTTTCCAACTTCTAAATATGAAATCATTAGCCAACTTCCCCATCTCTGATAGGACCAAGAATACCCTAACAGGACGTGCAATCCAACTTTTACGTTCTTATATTTCCAACCTCACCTATTACACAAGCAATGTAAAGCCCATACATGGCCCTGTTACTATGAATACCATCTTAACTTTCCAAGCCCCTTTATGTATCCAATGCAACCTGTTACCAGGCCTGCCCCTGGGGCACCTACTACCCCATCAGTGTAATTACACCCCACAACTTCAAGCCCCAACTGATCATAGTAACTTCCGAGTCACCCAGACAGCTCCATTCAGACGGCTTGTCCGCTTCTCAGGGCCCCCAAAAATCGTCAACTCCTCCCTACTTAACAAACAGCCAGGTTTTGTAATGGCAAACATACTCCCTGCATGACCATTCACCCCTGGACTCCCTGCAGCAGCGCCCCCATCACTAGTGAATGCCTTCTCATCCCCTTTCAATCACTCTCTTGAATGGTTCCTAGTAGATACGAAATGATTTTTTCTCCAAAGGGAAAATAGAACACAGGGAGCCACTCAGTTTGCTCCCAACATCCCTTTCCAGCCACTCACTGGAGCTACCTTGGCAAGTAATCTAGCAGTATGGGAAAATGAAAACAACAAACTCACACACCTTTTTAACATACACAACCAGTTCTGTCTACCCAGCCAAGGTATATTCTTCTTATGTGGAATGTCGACCTATATCTGCCTCCCCACTAACTGGACAGGCACCTGCACCTTAGTCTTTCTAAGTCCCAACATTAACATTGCCCCAGGAAATCAGACTCTATCAGTACCCCTCAAAGCTCAAGTCCATCAGCACAAAGCCATGCAACTGATACCCCTACTTATAGGGTTAGGAATGGCTACTGCTACAAGAACTGGAATAGCCAGTTTATCTACTTCATTATCCTACTACCACACACTCTCAAAGGATTTCTCAGACAGTTTGCAAGAAATGAAGACATCCATCCTTACTCTACAATCCCAAATAGACTCTTTGGCAGCAGAGACTCTCCAAAACTGCTGAGGCCTAGACCTCCTCACTGCTGAGAAAGGAGGACTCTGCACCTTCTTAGGGGAAGAGTGTTGTTTTTACACTAACCAGTCACGGATAGTATGAGATGCCACCTGGTGTTTACAGGAAAAGGCTTCTGAAATCAGACAACAACTTTCAAACTCTTATACCAACCTCTGGAGTTGGGCAATGTGGCTTCTCCCCTTTCTAGGTCCCGTGGCAGCCATCTTGCTATTACTCACCTTCGGGCTCTGTATTTTTAACCTCCTTGTCAAATTTGTTTCCTCTAGGATTGAGGCCATAAAGCTACAGATGGTCTTACAAATGGAACCCCAAATGAGCTCAACTAACAACTTCTACTGAGGACCCCTGGACCAACCCGCTGGCCCTTTCACTGGCCTAGAGAGTTCCCCTCTGGAGGACACTACAACTGCAGAGTCCCTTCTTTGCCCCTATCCAGCAGGAAGTAGCTACAGCGGTCATTGCCCAATTCCCAACAGCAGTTGGGGTGTCCTGTTTAGAGGGGAGATTGAGAGGTGAAGCCAACTGGGCTTCTGGGTCGGGTGGGGACTTGGAGAACTTTTCTGTCTAGCTAAAGGATTGTAAATGCACCAATGAGCACTCTGTGTCTAGCTAAAGGTTTGTAAACGCACCAATCAGCACTCTGTAAAAATGCACAAATCAGCACTCTGTGTCTAGCTAAAGGTTTGTAAATGCACCAATCAGCACTCTGTAAAAATGCACCAATCAGCATGCTATAAAATGGACCAATCAGCACTCTGTAAAATGGACCAATCAGCAGGATGTGAGCGGGGCCAAATAAGGGAATAAAAGCCGGCCACCAGAGCCAGCATTGGCAACCTGATTGAGTCCCCTTCCACGCTGTGGAAGCTTTGCTCTTTTGCTCTTCACAATAAATCTTGGTGCTGCTCGCTCTTTGGGTGTGCACTACCTTTATGAGCTGTAACACCCACTGCGGAGGTCTGCAGCTTCACTCATGAAGTCAGCGAGACCACAAACCCACCAGGAGGAAAAAACAACTCCAGATGTGCCACCTTTAAGAGCTGTAACACTCACTGCGAAGGTCTGTGGCTTCACTCCTGAAGTCAGCGAGACCATGAATCCACAAGGAGGAAGAAACTCCAGACACATCTGAACATCTGAAGGAACAAACTTCGGACACACCATCTTTAAGAACTGTAACACTCACTGCCAGGATCCACAGCTTCATTCTCAAGTCAGCGAGACCAAGAACCCACAAGAAGGAACCAATTCCAGACACACTAGTACCTGAATGATGAAATAATCTGTACAATAAACTCCTGTGATATTTTAAAAATATCTCTTGTAAAATTAAAATGCAGCTTTCTCTTACTGCAAACTTTCTCTGTCACTGCCTTGCTAAGCAGAAAATGAAATGCTATCCGTTTCAGACAAATTTTGATTTTAAAAGACAATAGTTTACATTGTTGAGTGCTTTACAATTTGCAAAGGACATTTCAAGCATATTATCTCTTGTAATCTTCACAAAATCCTCTGGCGGGTGGGAGACACTAAATTAACATTTCAATCTCTGTGTCTAAATGCCAGGAGAGCCCTATGATAAGAACATCCATTGCCCAGGGCTGGCTTCCTGGGCAGGGGACAATTGGGGGCCCACCTGGGAGGGGAGCTTGGTGCCTACACTCACTGGATCCTACCTCCCACCTCCCTGGGCTGGGTTCTTGGCTGTGCTCTCCTGTTCTCTGGGTATGAGGAGCATGCTGGGGTCTTCACTTGCCCACCCTATGATGAATCTATCTGTGCCTAAGGGAGTTTGTCACAAAATACCCAGACAGGTGGAGACAGTGAACATTGGAGGAGGAGAAAGCTTTTTTCCTGCTTTTTGAACAAGGGGCCCTGAATTTTTATATTGCACTGGGCTGGACAAAATATGTAGTCAGCTCTGAACTTAATAAATGCCATCTCATTTAACCACTTCACAATTAAAGCTATTTTATAGGCATCAGAGCATATAAAGCTCTAAAAAGTTAAATCATTTGCCAAAGTACACACACCTGATCACTGCTGGAACTAAAACTTGAACTCAAGTCTAAGTTCAAATGAACTTTTCACCTCACCTTACCTGCCAGGAAAAATATATGTTAAGAACATTGTGTAATAAGTGAATTTAATTTTAAACTTTTTAAAAATTTAATCTTTCATTTTATATTCAAGGAAAGAGATGATCCTTCTAACTTAAGAAAGCATTTGTATTTCTTAAGTGGATTCAAGTAGGCTGGTTTTATTTATATTATTATGCAGTTTTTTTAAATTAAAAAATAATTTGTTTAATATCTTTTAACCCATGTCAAAGATTCACCTGACTCAAAATAAACTGACTTACCAGATTGTTTGTCCAGTTTGCTTGGCACATATTCTATGTCTCTGCTTGTGCTTTCTGTCCAATTCTCAAGGCAGCTTTGTGTACTTATTGCAGGATAACATCTGAGCCAGCTCCCGGGTTGCTATACATAATACATAAATCTCAGCTACTGCTAATTCTGGCCAGGCATGGTAGCTCATCCCTATAATCCCAGCAGTTTGGGAGACTGAGGCAAGAGGATTGCTTAAGTCCAGGAGTTCAAGACCAGGCTGGGCAATACTATGAGAACTCTACAAAAAATTGAAAAATGAGCTGGGTGTAGTGACTTGTGGAGGCCGAGGTGGGAGGATCTCTTGAGCCTGGGAAGCAGAGGTTGCAGTGAGCTAGATTGTGCCACTGCACTCCAACCTGGGTGACCTAGTGAGATCTTGCCTCAAAAAAAAAAAATCCTTATGAATTGGCCTCTGTACTTAAGATTTTTAGAGAGAAACATGCTGAATCTGATATTCAGAGGTTGGTAGGTGTTGGGAAAAAGCTGAGTGTTGGGAGGGAAACTGAGGCAGGGCTTGCATAATGTCCTCCAGAGTGTGTCTAGACTAACTGGCTCCTTGCTTCTAGCCCTCCTAGGCTTCCAGATTGATTGCATTCCCATTATCTCAAGTAGCAGAACATGTTCCTTATAAATGCTAAACCATCACAGCTGTAGCTCATGTGCCTGCCCTTTTGACCTCCACATTGTCACCACCTGTTTCTTTGTTGGATTACCAATAAATAGCATGGGCTCCCAGAGTCAGGGATTTCGCAGCCTCCACACACTAGCGATGGCCCCCTGGTGCCACCTTTCTCTCTCAAACTGTCTTTTTTCTCAATCCTTTGACTCCCCCGGACTTTGTCACCCCCACGACCTGGTGTTGGGTCTGATCACCCCAACATTTCTGGCGCCCAATGTGGGGCAACAAAGATCCTGGTGAAGGAATACCAGAGCATGTGAAAGCAAAGGACGCCTCATCAAAGGACACCTGAGGATGTCGAAAAGAAGCTTGGCTGGAAAGCTGAGCACTCACAAGAACCAGGGTAACAAAGGGACAAAGTGAAAGCAGACATTCTGCTTGTTTAAATTTCCTAAGGCATTATTACAAAGAGGGGGAATGAAAGTTAGTGCTCAGAATTTATCACTCACTCTTTAGCGCAGTAAGGCAGTTTTGCTCATGGTTCCCAGAACAAGGGACTATGGAGCTGGATGAATGGGAGAGAATTGGCAGAGATTTTTAAAAAGTGTATAAAGATGGAGCAAAAATTCTAGTCTCAGTTTGGTCAATGTGGGCACTAACAGAAGCAGCTCTTGAGCCATTTCAAACGGATGATGAGGCAGATTCAGATGAAGAAGAGGAGGACGAGTGTAAAAACAAACTTCAGATTCTGAATGTGAGGAACAGGAAATGGAGGAAATTAAAGAAAACAAAGGGAATCTGAAAAAAGTATTTTTTAGTAGCCCGTGGGCTCCACCTGCTGAATTAAGTGAATGGCCACCTCCTCTCTCTCCCCTTAATGGGCAAGTAAATGAATTAGCTGCAAAACTTACCTTTCCTATAGTTGCAACATTAAAACCTGGAGCAATTGGTAGTATGAAGACCCAGTGGAATCTGAGGCTTGTTTATTTAGAGAGCATCTCAATAAACCGAGGCATATCTGGCACAGCCAGGGCCCTTACAAACGGCAACAATTGTTTCCCGCTGCAGCGGGCATTGCTGCTGTGAACCTTTGCAGCACAGTTCCCCGTTTCCCTGCTTCCTGGGGAGCCACCAGAGAGGGTCCCCACAGGAGCTGGGGAACTCTTGTCCTCAGGAAGTCGGTCTACTACTTGAAAGAGCTAGAGGTGTCACTCTGCATACGGGAATGATTGGTTCTGATTATACCAGAGAAATTCAATTAGTTATTAGTTCCTCAACTCTGTGGTCTGCTTCCCTAGGAGAAAGAATTGCTCAGTTGTTGACATAAAGCTGGGAAGCAGCTTGGTGAAAAGAACAGGAGGCTTTGGTAGTACTAATCCAACAGGAGAGGCTGTATGTTGGGTTAATCAAGTGTCTGACAAAAGACCTACATGTACAGTAGACCTGCTGTTGCATGCTTACAGATTGACACACAGGCCTGGTTGGCAGTAGTCCCGGAAAAAATAAATCACAGGCTGCTTTGCGTAGGGCAAGTAAAGTCATCTTGAAGCTTCAGTTTCATGGTTAACCTGCCTCTGCTAGAGAAAAACAGATTTAACGAGCACACAGGCATGATATGGGCTGAATGTGTTCATTGTGCTGTTTGTGGTCTTTATGATGGGAATGTTCAACCTCTTCTCCTACATTGGTGCAAGACAAAATGAAGCCTTCACAACAGAGTTTTAAGACACTGTTCTGGGCTATATGTGGACTTTCTGAAGTGAAATCAGTGGTTACAATGATAACCACAAATTCATTGAAAACATTGGTTATGTTCTTTATGGAGTCTATAATGTTACAATGGTCATTGTTTTGCTAAATATCTTAATTGCCATGATCAACAATTCATTCCAGGAAATTGAGGATGACGCTGATGTGGAGTGGAAATCTGCAAGGGCCAAACTCTGGTTTTCCTGCTTTGGGGAGGGGAGAGCACTTCCTGTTCCTTTCAATCTGGTACCAGGTCCAGGGTCCCTGTTTTGTCTCTTGCTGAAGCTTAAAGGGTAGATTTCTGAGCTCTACTCAGGGTCATAAAAAAGGTTTCCAGGAAAGATGTAGAGCTAAGTAAGTAGAACTAAGCAAGTAGAGATAAGGGAGATAAATATAGAGATAGAGATAGAGATAAATAGGTAGAGATAAGTAGAGACAGAGTTAAGTAGAGAGATGGAGATAAATAGAGAGATAGATGAAGACTAGCAATATAAGGTCAGTGCCCTAAAGAGGTACTGATCAGTGCCCTAAAGAAGTACAAAAGCAAAGACTAGCAATATAAGGTCAGTGCCCTAGAGAGGTACAAAACTAGAGACTAGCAAAGACTAGCAGAGATTTACAGGAACAGACAAGAACATTCTGAATTATGGAAATTAGCTATGGCTCAAAATCCAATCAAAATCTGAGAGGGCAAATATAAAAGGAATAGAGGGGATGGAGGTAAGGATAAAAATGCTCTTTCTTTTCTCTCCTACAGGACCTTTTGGTCCTTTAACTAAACTTAATCAAAGGGTGGATGCACTGGTGTCTGCAGTCTCTGCTGATGCACAAGCATTCCATTCTTTAACTCATCTTAATGCCGCAGGCCTTAGAAAAAGATATGGTCACAAACAAAGAGCTGGGAAAAAGGAAAGATAATTATATGGCAAAGAGGATTTGCTTGTGTATCTCCAGGTGACAATCAGGTGCCTGTGTGGGTGCCCACCAAACATCTGAAGATCTATCATGAGCCATAGCATCTAGTGGACCCACCTGTACAATGCTAATTGAAGTTTTGAAAAGCCTTGATTTGCTTTCCCTGTGCCTTCTGTTAGAAGGGGCCTATTTCTCATTATCAGTGGTCTCCCAGCTACAGCCACGAAAGTTTTTGCTTCTGTTTCAGTAGATTTACTAACGTGGGGGTGAGGTTATGCTTGTGTTTTTGCAGGAGATGAATGAACTGTGTGGATGCCCTCAAGATGTGTATGACCATGGAATGGGAGACTGGAGGGACCCATAGATCCCAACCTTGGACCGGGTCCCCCCAGTACAAGCCATGAGCCAGTTGAATCTGAATGCAAAGAAGGAATGAGGACCGACCAGAATCACGATGTTTAATAGACCAATGCTTTGTGACTCAGCTCCCCTCTACCCTGAATACAAGAGACCCTAATAGTTGGGCAGGAATATCATCACCCCTATTCAGCATGAAGAAGTTACAGAAGACGGACCTTCATCCTTCTGCAACCCCTAGGATTAAGGGTCCTCTTGTGAAAGGGAAAGGGGAGATATGTGGGAAGTATTCAAACCAGAGCGACTCCAGTTTCAATAAGAGCTAAGAAAAATAAAGCTGGATCACCAACTGGCAATTAAGGGCTGCACAGCCTGCAATCGTCTTGCTCAATTAAAAGAGGCCACCTTTTATGCTAGTAATAAGGATAGTAATAACGATACCTTCTCGTTTTCAAAAAAGAGAAATGGGGCATGTTGGGAAAAGGCTGAGTGTTGGGAAAAAGACTGAGGCAGGGCTTGCATGACTGACATAATGTCCTCTGAAATGTGTCTAGACTTGCTGGCTCCTTGCTGCTAGCCCTCCTAGGCTCGTATTCCCATTATCTCAAGTAGCAGAACATGTTCCTTATACATGCTAAACCATCACAGCTGTAGATCATGCACCTGCCCTTTTGACTTCCACGTTCTCACCACCTGTTTCTTTGTTGGATTACCAATAAATAGTATGGACTCCCACAGCTCGGGGACTTCGCAGCCTCCATACACTAGTGATGGCCCCCTGGTCCCACCTTTCTCTCTCAAACTGTCTTTTTCTCAATCCTTTGACTCTGCCGGACTTTGTCACCCCCACGACCTGGTGTTGGGTCTGATCACCCCAACAGGTAGGCCTATGAGAATCACAACTATCCTGTTCTTTGGAAGGTTTAAATTGTAAAAACAACTTTTGGGGGTTTTGTCTTGTTTTTTTCCTTAGAAAACTTTGCTAATACTTTCCTTAAGATGAACAGTCCTATAGATTTAAATAAAACTTGTAGAATGCACCAAAGATTACAAAGGACTTTAAAAGCAACCGTGTGAAGTCAGTGTTATGATTGCCATTTCACTGATGTGTGTTCACATCAATTTTCATTGTACATTCAGATGGACACACATTTCATTGATGTGTCTTCACATCAACTTTCTTTCTTTTTTTTTTGTTTGTTTTTTCTTTGAAAAAGAATTTCACTCTCGTTGCCCAGGCTGGAGTGCAATGACACGGTCTCAGCACACTGCAACCTCTGCCTCCTAGGTTCAAGCGTTTCTCCTGCCTCAGCCCCCTGAGTAGCTGGGATTACAGGCACACGCCACCACACCCGGCTAATTTTTGTATTTTTAGTAGAGATGGGGTTTCACCATGTTGGCCAGGCTGGTCTCAACCTCCTAACTTCAGGTGATCCACCCATCTCGGCTTCCCAAAGTGCTGGGATTACAGGCATGAGCCACTGCGCCCGGCCTTCCACATCAATTTTTATTGTGTGTTCAGATGAACACATATGTCATTGTGTGTTTGGATGAACTGTTGTGGAGTAAGGCCAGGCAGGACTCTATTCTTACCCCAGTGCCCTTATTACAGCAATACATCTTTTTCTAGAGGTACCACAACAGGCCAAGGGCTCAGGCTAACATGCTGGCTAGATGGCCTTCTTAGAAAAGGGCATCCCTTGACACTGCCAGTTGTTTGTTTTCTGGGACTCCTATTTCATTTAGGGATAATACCCAGAACATTGGTTGGACCACTCTATCACCTTTAAGAGACAGGAAGGGATAAGGATCCTAGTTGGTGTGGTTGAAGACATAGTCAAATTAAACAGTTCTCTTGGAGAGGTGGATCTCCAAGACTTCAGAGGACATAATGTCCTCTGAAGGTGTGAGGTAGTCTGGGCTCTCTTGAAAAGCACAGGGATGACAAGTACTTTTAGGGTGGGGCAGGAAGTGTGGGTTTACCATCCCTGTACACTCTGCCCATTGGTCTGTCTTCTGGGGTATCACTTAGTTTGGGAGGTAGAAATTAGCCTCTTCAACCTGAGCACTGCTAAAATTCTATGGGCTAATGTAAAAAGTTGGATCACACAGCACAGACAGAAATTGTGTTTCCACAGGAAAGATTAGGAACGTTTCACAGAGGACTGCTGGTTGCCTTAGTAACACGACAGCCCTCTAGGACAGAGCTCCAAATAGACAGGAAGTGAGGACACCAGGGCCAATGTCGGCAGAACAGGCATTCTTACCTAAAACACAAGAGTCCCGAGGCCGTGTTCGGGAAGTCTGTGCAACCCTTAGCATGAGAACAAATCACAGATCTGGTGTGATTTGCTTGAGTGAAAGAACACGCAGTCCATGTTTCCCATTACCCAGCTCCATTTGGATAAATCCAGAAGAAAACACACAGAATCACATCCTTCTTGTCCAGTTAACTTGCTGCCTCCCTGAAGAGTATGATTTACATAATCATGAGAGATGCTGTTTTTAACAAACACACCAGAACTTACCTATCCACAAGATGGCCACCTTTCACAGACATGGGCTGGGGTAGGGTGAAGGCACAGTTATTGCTGAAGATATAAATGTTGCTTTAAGGTAGTACTTTGGAAAATCTAGTATTTGATCACTAGACATACAAGACAATCTGATTAGTTTCTGAAATCACCCTTCAAGTTTGTTTGTTTTTAACTAAAAATTGAGCCCTAGATTGATGCACCTCTCCCTAGTGCCCAGCACATACTGGTATTCCACTAAGTGATTCATGAATGTCCAGAGATCCATCTCCCTCCATCACTCGAGTTCCCCCAAGTCAGCTCTACCTTCAAAGGTGAAGACTTACCATCAGCAGCAAGTCCAAAGGATATTCGGCAGAGTCTAGTTGGCTTTCCAAAAAGGCATCCCAACAGGGCCACTTCAAGGGGACAATATTCACTAAATGTTATGGTTTTAAATTACAGCCACAAATTCATTAATGCTTTCTTCATGAGAGGTGGGGCTTACGTTCCCTCCCTTTGAAAATGGGCAGGCATGTGTATCTTTGACTAATAGAGTGAAAATGATGTCATGTGACTGCCGAGGCTAGATCATGAAAAATCAAGCTATTTCTGCCTTGTTCACTCGAATCCTCATTTTTGGAGCCATGAGCTGCCAAGTAAGAAGTATGAGTACCCTAATTGCACTATGCTGTGTGGAAGCTCAGTATTATGTGGAAAGGTCAGTTGTGGGTTTATGATCAACAGTCCAAGCTGGGCCAGGCTTTGAGGCATGCTAACACAGGCATGAGACATATGAGTAAAGACACTTTCAGGTGGTTCCAGTACCAGCTGTTCCAGTTCCAGTTGCTTCTAGCTATTTGAGTTTCCCTAGCTGGGATTCAGGTCACTGTGGAAAAGAGATAAGGAATCCTCACTGTTTCTGGCCTAAATTTCTGATTTAAAGCATTGGTGAGCATAACAAAATAGTTGCTGTTCTATGGCAATTTTAGGGTACTTTGATATAAAACAATACGTAACTGGACCACTTGGTTTGACAAAACTGGATATCTAGTAAAAGTAAGTTATGTTATTTTAAAGACATATGATACCTATCTGCCAGAAACCGTGCTGAACATGGATTGTCGAAAATGGTGAATTCATTTTACCAAGATTCAACCAAATGGTGAACCCACATTTTAGATGCTGTGGCCTTGGTGCCTTCTTTTAGGGCTGCCACTGGCGAGAGGTTTGGTGTTTTTGGGCCATCGTTCCCTTCTCTACAACATGAGAAGCTGTGCTACGTAGCCTCTAAGGAGGTCATGATTCTAAGCTTTCAAGCAGGAACTGGGTGCAAAAAGTATTATTCCCACACCAACGTTCGTCGCAGCATTATTCACAATAGCCAAAAGGGAAGCAACACAAGTGTCCATCCACAGATGAATAGATAAGCAAAATGTGGTCTACTCATGCAATGGAACATTGTTCAGCCTTAAAAAGCAATGAAGTACAAGTACCTGCTCCAACTTGGATGAACCTTGAAAACATTATCCTAAATTAAAGAAGCCAGATGCAAAAAGACAAATATTTTATGTTTCCACTCATATGATGCACCTAGAATAGGTAAATTCACAGAGATAGAAATGGTTACCAGTGGCTAGGGCAAAGTGGACACTGGGAGTTGTTTAATGGGTACAGAGTTTCTGTTTGAGATGATGCAAAAGTTCTGGAGATGGATGGTGATGCTGGTGCAACGTTGTGAATGGACATAACACCACTGAAATGTACACTTGAAATGGGTTAAAATGGTAAATTTTTAAAATTTATATTTTTGGTACAGTAAAAATATTTTACAGTCTTCTTCCAGTAGGCTTTAACTCTGGAGTCTGTGCCTCATATCGCCATGTGGAATAAGGATGAGGATGGGTGCCCTCGCCCACCTTCATGCAATCACCCAGGCATCTGGAAATGTCTCTCAACCTTCTCAGTGGCCCCAGGACACAACCCAGATTACTCATCTCATCAGTAGGGATTTCTGGATACACTCAAAGGATAGCTGTAAAAAGCTTCCATGAATATGTGGTACAACACCATGGCTTTGCATATGAGGAAAGAGGGAATATAACTCAAAGAACCATCTTCCATGGAGAGAAAAGCAATCCAGCTAGATTTAAAGCTTAACTTAAACCAAGTCTGGCATTTTCTCTTCTAGGATAGTGGTCCACTTTTCTCTAGAAATCTCATTTTGAACTCAGTTGGCGTTTTTGTGTTCATCTCTGAGCCAAGGAGTTTATAGAACCCAGAATGAGGGTCTAGGTTCTATTAAACCTCTAATTTGATTCTTCTTCTCAACATATTAATCTAGACAGTCACTACCAATTCATTAGAGTCGGCATAAAAGATGAAATCTATTTGCTATTCCCATTACAATTTCATTCTTTTTTTTTTTTTTTTTTTTTGAGACGGAGTTTTGCTCTTTTTGCCCAGGCTGGAGTCAATGGCACTATCTCGGCTCATCGCAACCTCCGCCTCCCGGGTTCAAACAATTCTCCTGGCTCAGCCTCCCGAGTAGCTGTCATTACAGGCATGTGCCACCACACCTAGCTCATTTTGTATTTTTTGCAGAGATGGGGGTTTCTCCATGTTGGTCAGGCTGGTCTCGAACTCCCGACCTCAGGTGATCTGCCCACCTCGGCCTTCCAAAGAGCTGGGATTATAGGCGCGAGCCACCATACCTGGCCTACAATGTGTTTTATCGTAATATGGTGGAGGGGGCACTGAACTTGAAGCCCAATGGCCTGAATTTAAATCTAGACTCTGCCGTGACCTAGGGCAAGTCATTAAATTTTTCTGTTCTTCATCTTTAAATAAAGCAATTGGAGGAGATAAACCTTAAAATGCCTCCCAGCTTGTATGATTCCATTATTCTCTGATTATGCACTATTTTTGTTTGTGCTTTGAAAGTAAGGAAATGACCTTAATACTTGAAAGTTATCATGCATCAGTCGATTCTACTATTCTTCCATGCGTGTGTGAAATGGTGTGTGGACTGGTGTGTAGATTGTCTCACTGTAGTGACAGCTAGGTTGCATTGCCCAGTTTTTCATTTCTGAATGAAGGACTTATTCCCCCAGCTGCCAGGCATGATGCCTGCAAACAGCCCTCAAGTCTCAGTCCCCCTGAGGAGTTGCTCTGGGCTGGAGGAAGCCACTTTGCCTGAGACTTACTGCCTTCCCAGAGGCAGCTTGTACCCAAAGACATTGTATCCACATGGGAATTTAAAGATAGGGTCCCCTCATCCAAACTCAGGATAACTCTGAAAGGTTCTACAAGCTCAGAGCTTCTCATGGGGTTAGCTGAGGCCTTTGATGAGACTAAATTGCAACCCAGTTTCTCCCTCTGTCCAAATTTGCTTCTTTGCCTTCCCCCACAAGGAGTAGATCCCAAAAGCACCCCCCAGTAAAAATCTTGCAGACTAATTTCCATTCAGTCTGTTTCCCAGGTAACCTACTTGTACATCATATAACCTCCTAATGGTATTATAACATAGATGAATGTATTTGGAAGCCGGAGGAAAGTATGTTTCCATGGTCATCCAACTAGAAGATGATAAATCCAGGGTTTAAACCCATGCCCTGGCATCCCTACTCCAAACTACTATAATATTCTGCCTCCTTGACGTTTTATTCATTTCTCAGATTTTATACAAGTTTCCCAAGTGTACATTTAAAAATTGTTGCTTAAGTGTATGCATATTTTCCAAATATTATATATGTTTTCAAGCTAGTCTGCAAAGGTGAATGCAAGTATTGGGAATAGCCCCAATAAAGTGACTTTCAAAATAAGTCACCCCAAAGTTAGGAACCTAAGAAACAACCCAGCAGTCCTAAATCCAGCCACTTCCAAATTCTTTTTAAAATTTTTTTGTTTTGCCATTTTGTGTTTATAAGCTATAGCTCCTTCCAAATTCTGATGAAAATAGCGATGAAGACAAAAAGAGAATGCTGTCTGACAAGTTGCAGGTGAGAAAAACTGAGTGCAGCAAAGTCCCCAGCGGAGCCGCTGAGGGATTGTGCAGACAAGAGATGCTGTTCTTCACACTCCTGGATTGGTATCCACGGTCCTGCCTCTGCTGGGGCCGTGAGCAAGCGTGGGACGGTGAGCATTGCCAGGAGCATCTGCGGTGCTTTCTGCAACTTCTCTCCCACCTTGCCTCCTTGCGCTGAGGCTCTCTGGCACTTTCAGAGACCAGCAGCTGCTGAAATGTCCTGTTCTAAGAGGACCTGTTCACAAGTGGCTGTGTAGGCCGATGCCAGAGGTGGTGATAGTTGACAAAGTTCTAGACTCAGCCCTGCCACTACCACTCAGTGATTTTAGGGAACTGCAGGCCTTGCCATGCCTCCGTTTTCTCAACAGCCAAATGAGGATAACAATACCTGTTCTTCCTTCGTATGAAACAACTATGAAAGACAAATGTGACAATGGCAACGGCATCACTTGATGGTTACAAGTGTTGCCTATTTTCCAAAACCCATTATTACATCCTCTGGTAACAGAAGTGGAGAATTATGAATAGCGATTTATTCATTGTAAGTTAAAAAATGTCTCATACTCTTTTCTTTCTTCTAACAGATGATTCATACCTCACCTCTATCACTACCTATCTTCATGTTTCTCTTTCTGGTATGAGGTCTTGTGCATTAGCCTAATAGTTATCTAATTCCTGGGCCAAAGATCTAAGGTTGGAGGTCAGTGGAACAAATTCAGCTTGCCAACAAAATTGGTTTCAACTCACATGGTGTGGCTGTTATGTTTCAAAACTTGAACTAGCAGAAAACAAAAATTCAGATTTCCAGCTTCGTTCAAAATTTCAAAAATCTGGTTCCACTCCTATATGGCAAGAGTTAGCTGGTGTAGAATGGCAGCTACCCCCTTTAGGTAGGGCACATGAGCTTGAGTTTTCCGCAGTCACCATCATTCCCTATTGCAGCCCTCTCACTGATGCCAAGTGTTCATTGTAGTTTCTCATCTATACTTGCAAATCCATTCTGTTCTTTTAAATTGCCTGACCTCCCCCTGCCCCAGAGTCTTTTAAATCTGTCATCTCCTATTTTTAAAAGTGTCAGATTCATGTACTGGCCAGTGAACCCAAAAGCCTATGTTCTTAGGTGGCACTAAGAACGGGTGGTACCCCAGTGCTCTTTACTGTTTGAGTTGGCTCAGGAACTAGGATTTGTAGGCCCGAAGGACTAATCGGTCTTTAAGACTCAGCTCTGAGATCTCCTCAGATATCCTGGTTGTATAACACAATATACATGTTGGTTGTGTCTATGAGTTGACAGGGCTCTAAAGCATTCATCACACGAATGTCTTTGAGGCCAATGCTGTCCTAGGAGTTTCTCGAATCTTGCTTGGTTTCCTTGTCTGTATCACCACTGATCATAATGAATGCCCTCGTCTTACCCCTGGAAAATTGCATCAGTGGTTTTGGTCTTTTTGTCTCATCTCTTTCTTCTCCAGTCCACTACTTTACTGGAACCAAAGTTAATCTTCCTGGGTTCCAGTAAAATATAATCTGCTCTCTCCTTCATTTATAAACCCCAAATCATTCCTAAAGAATGAAGTCCAAGGTCCCTATGAAAGACCGTCCTCCATCTAACCCTAAACCACTGCTCTGTCCCATCTTCCTCATACCCTGGCTTCCTCCCAGTTCTCCACATGCACCATGGCCTGCCCAGCGGGGCAGCCTGCACCATCCAGCACCTTAGTTTAGAGTGTGCTACGGTAGCCCTCAGACCTCTGCATTTCAAAGGTCAGTACCTTTTTTAAAAAATGTGGGAAACGTGATGTTTTTATTAGGCTAAGTAAGAGAGAATGTAAATGATAACATAGATGGTATCATCTATATTCAGCTTGATTTCATAAGAGAAAGAAAAACAGCAACCCTCCAAAAGTAGAAAGTACATCATCCGAAACCTAAGTTCCTTTCAATTGGATAAATTTAGCTTTTTGAAAAGCTTCCTACCTGGTCTTTATTTTTCTCATGTCCTTTCAGACCAGTGAAAACGTAACCACTGGCATCTGTCCTGGGCTTGCTTTTGAGACACACGAACCTATCCATCTTTTTCATTCTAGAAAATTCTCACCCATCCTTCAAGATCAGTTCTTGAGTGAAGTATTTGCTGACTCCTGAGGCAGAGGTAGTCGCTATCCCTTTGTGTATCTCCTTGTTACGACAAAACATATATCGATTTTTGATGGTGATTTCTTGGTCACATGGAACATGGAATCACTAAAGCCCCTTCAAAATCCTCTTAAGCTGGCCGGGCAGAGGGGTTCACACCTGGAATCCCAGCACTTTGGGAGGCCGAGGCCATGGATCACTGGAGGTTAGGAGTTCAAGACCAGCCTGACCAACATGGTGAAACCCCCGTCTCTACTAAAAATACAAAAATTAGTTGGGCATGATGGCAGTTGCCTGTAATCCCAGCTACTTGGGAGGCTGAGGCAGGAGAATCGCTTGACCCCAGGAGGTGGAGGTTGCAGAAAGCTGAGATTGCACCACTGCACTCCAGCCTGGGTGACAGAGCCAGACTCTGTCTCAAAAAAAAAAAAAAAAAAAAAATCCTCGGGCGGTGGGCAGTGGCTCGTGCCTGTAATCCCAGCACTTTGGAAGGCCGAGGAGGGCAGATCACCTGAGGTCAGGAGTTCGAGACCAGCCTGACCAACATGGTGAAACCCCATCTCTACTAAAAATACAAAAATTAGCCAGGCATGGTGGCACGTGCCTGTAATCCCAGCCACTCAGGAGGCTGAGGCAGGAAAATGGCTTGAACCTGGGAGGCAGAGGTTGCAGTGAGCCGAGATTGCACCACTGCACTCCAGCCTGGGCGACAGAGTGAAACCCCATCTCAAAAAATAAAAAAATCCTCTTAAATAGCCTCTCTTCTCCCACATTTCCATTCCCTATGGCAGCTGCTCTTCCCTCTATTTCTCTTTAAAAAACATCTTTGGGCCAGGCACAGTGGCTCATGCCTGTAATTCCAGCACTTTGGGAGGCTGAAGTAGGTGAATCACTTGACCCCAGTAGGAGGAGTTTGTAGTGAGCCGAGATTGCACCACTACACTCTAGCCTGGGCAACAGAGCAAGATCCGTCTCAAAACAAAAACAAAAACAAAAAAAGCAAAACGTCTTCAGCCCTTCTGGGCACACTTCTACGTCCCCGCTACCCAAAACTGCACTGGTGCACTGGAAGAGAGTTCAGTGAAAGCTACATCTGTCCTCAGCCCAAACGATAAGCCACGGTGCCTGAGCCATGCCCTCATCCAGCATGACAGTGAGCTTTCTAGCCGAAGTCTGTGGTCCCAAGTCAACGATGAGGGACTCATAGCAGAAAGATCTGAGGCCTTGCACATACGCACGTTTTAAAAACAATGAAACAATGAATAAAAGTTCTGTAGTGACGGCCAGTAGTGACAGTCCATGAGGGGACATCCTGGTACTTTCCCCTGTTTCATACTTTTCCTGTTACTATAACCATAGTCTCTACCTTCTCTAGAAAGATGACTAAAACATGTTTAGGACACCTGGGCAGCTGTACTGAGATACCAGCATGTGGCAATCCAGCCATTATGGGAGCTGCACTACTAAAGCACAGGTGCGTCCTGCCCATTCTTAAGCCCAATTAGGAGGCAGGGGTCTTTGATGGTGGAACAGAGTGGACCCTGCTGTGCATGATGTACCCAGGCTGTGTCAACTGCATTTGTGGCTTGTCCCATGACCCTTTGGCCCATGCTGCTGTGAGGGTGGCTGTTGGTCAGGGTTGAGAGGCCAGAGAGGAGTGGGCAGGCAGCTTCAGGCCCCACGTTGGTGTTGGCCTGGGCACCTGTTGGATCAACACAATAACTGTACCCTGGAGTTCCTGGAAGCTGCCTTCTGCTCAGCCAGGCCTGCTTGTGGGCGGAGCCCATGCCAGCTACATGTGTCAAGGAAGCCACAGCTTGGCTAGTGAGCAATGCAATTCTGGGAATGTTCAGGCTCTCTCTGTTCTTTCCTCTCTTGCAAACCATGGGCACCCTTGGGTCCCTTGGGGTCACTATGTTACACCTGCTTTTTATCTGTCTGGGCAAGAGCTGCTCAAGCCACACCTTGTGACACTGAGGTAAGAGCAGAACGTTGCAGAGTGTGCAGGCTGGAGTGTGTGCTAAGGCTCTGTGTGCTGATTACTCCTTGTGTGTCTCATTGCTTACAGGATTTTTTTTTTTGAGACAGGGTCTCACTGTGTCACCCAGGCTGGAGTGCAGTGGTGTGAACATAGCTCACTGCAGCCTCGGACTCCTGACCTCAAGCAATCCTCCCGCCTTAGCCTTCCAGGTGCTTGAGATGAGAAACAGACTTTTTTTCCTTTGAGAATTCATTATTTCTCCCCTTGGGCTGTTTGTTCAAACCCACACAGGAGCAGGAACATTGCTTTCGATTGCCAAAGAAATGACATAATGATGCCAATGATTAAAATGTCAAGAACACAGTGTCTTGGGCTGAGATGGTAAAGGCAGCATTCAGGCAGTGATGATCTGGGGTGATAGGAGTGGCTGTGGGGAGACGGAGGCCTCCCTTCTTGTAGGATGGGACTCGGTCTTTCCTCTGCCTCATTGCTATTATTGTCTTGTTTTATTTTTGCTTTTGTTTGTTTGGGTAGGTGAAAAGGCAGGTCGGGTGAAGAAGAGCAGGATGTTTCATTTTTATCAAGCATCACCTGATTCAAAATGTAGCCACTGAAAAGAAGCCATCGTTTTTGGCCTGCGTCTCTGAGGATAAGATAGTGCGTGGGTGATGGATGCAGCCCAGGTGGGAGCTGTCTGCAAATAACCCAGCTGCTTCCTGTGGCCCTGGTCATCCTGCTGCCCTCAGCTTCTCCCACGGAGGCCACCTGCCCCCCTAACACTGAGCTGCTCACCTAGTCCAGCCACCAGCGACGGCCCCTGGCCTTTGACGTGTCTGTTCTCTCCTCTCTCACTCCACCACCACTAGCTTCCAGGGATCTCCAGCCTGTATAGAAACTTCTCACTACGCTCTGCTCTCGCCCTTTTAGCAGTCTCCTTATGCTGCTGACTCCACCTCCCAGGCAAATCATTCTAATTTAATTCTTTACAAGTATTCTCCCTCCTGGAGTGCTGGGCTCCACCACGGGGGCAATCAAGGCACATCACCCACAGCTTTCCAGACACCCACAGCCTTCCTGTCCTGCTGTGAGCGTGGCTCCTTCAGCCTTCTTCCTTCTTCGCCTGTGGGGAGTCAGACATTCGCCAACCTCGTGCTCAATCCCTGCCTCTGTCCAGGCCTGCTAAGCCCATAAGACATATCTGCATGTGTCAGAATATGTGCAAGCTTTCGACAGGATCCCCGTTTCTCCCCATGGAGCTTTTGGCAAATGAAGGGTGTGGTTCAGCAGCTGGTCTGATGTCCCTTAAGCTCCCCCACACCAGCACACCAGGACTGTCTCTGTCTCCACATTCCAGCATATCTGGGTCTCAGCTTTGACACAATCAGACACTGTTGCTGAAGTTTTTATGTTTATATGACAGAAGAAACTGTCACCCCTCCCCTGCCCCCCGCCCCCACCCACCTGTTATAAGAAAGAGCTCCAAGGTCTTGAGACCACACGCAGGGGATGGGAAAGCTGACATTAAAGGGGAATGAGGTCTTTCTGTGATTCCAGCAGCCTCAGGAGGACAACGTCAGAAACCAAAAGCTCCTCTGCCCAGGGATGGGGACCCGCCGACTTCAAGGGCAGAACAGGTGCCTGGCTAGTGGGGGAGTTCCCCAATGTGGATTTAAACTGTAGTGTCTTCAGAGAACATAACCAACATTTGTCTTTAGGAGATGTGTTTGTTTGAGTAGATCAGCTATGAAAATACCCAGCCGGCCTGCAGCCCTCCCGGCAGATGCTGAAAAGGAAACCCGACTGGGAGATGCCGCCCACCCTTATCCCCAGAGAGCTGCGTTGTTTCCTCTTGCCTTGGCCTTTGGATCCGGCCATAGCAAGCATCCCTGGGCACCTGGCTGAAGCTGGAAACTCGGGATAAGAATGGAAGCCCTGGAAGGGAAGAAGAACCGAGGAGTGAGCTTGCCCTGTGAGGAGGGGTGGAGCTCTTCAGAGGTTGGGGGTGAACTTACGAGACACCTGAGGAAATGGAGGCTGTGCTGGAATAGGGGAGCCTGGATGAAAATCAGAGAATGAGAAGGCTGGGTTCAGAAGGGTGGGAAAGTCCCCGGGCGTCCCCCTCGAGGGGGATGAGGTCATCCAAGGCCACGAGGAGGACCAAGCCTTTAGGCAGAACCTTAGTATTTACCCTCCTGTGTTGTAATTCTGCCTCATTGTGGCTTTCTAAAATTGCGGAAAGATGTACATAAGAGTTACCATTTTAGCCATTTTCAAGTATACAATTCAGTGGCAGTAAGCACATTCACGATGTTGTGCAACCATTACCCCACTGATTTCCAGAACATTTCATCATTCCAAACACAAACTCCGTACCCATTAAGCAATATTCCCCTTTCCCCCAACCCCTGCAGCCCCTGGCGACCTCTGCTCTACTTTTTCTCTTTGAATTTGACTACTCTAGGTATCTCAGATACTCAGGTAAAGGGAATCATATAATGTTTTTCCTTTTGTATTTGGCTTATTTCACTTAGCATGTTTTCAAGGTTCATTCACGGTGTAGAATATATCCAAATGGCATTCCTTTTAAAGGCTGAATAGTATTCCATTTTATGTAGATGCTACCTGACAGTCAATGAATGGGCTCGCTGCCATATGTGCATAGAAACCCATACTGTGGCTTTTTTTTTTTTTTTTTTTTGGAGTCAGTGTCTTGCTCTGTCGCTCAGGCTGGAGTGCAGTGGCATGATCTCGGCTCATTGCAACCTCCACCTCACAGGGTTTAAGCGATTCTCATGCCTCAGCCTCTCAAGTAGCTGGGACTACAGAGGCACACCATCATGCCTGGGTAATTTTTATATTTTTAGTAGAGACGGGGTTTCGCCATGTTGGCCAGGCTGGTCTCACACTCTGACCTCAGGTGATCCACCCACCTCAGCCTCCCAAAGTGCTGGGATTACAGGCCTGAGCCACCACACCTGGCCTGATTTACAGTATTTGAAATCAAATCCGTCCTCAGCGTTTCTCCAAGGGGATCAGAGCAGGGCACTCAGCAACATGCTTCCTTTAGGTGTGTTGCAGAAGCTTAGCTACTGACATGACGCTCTCTCCTGTTGCATTTAAAACTGGAAACAACTGAAATGGTCAGCAACATGAGACGGCTGGGGAAATCATGGTCCATTTCTATCAGCCTTCACCAATAATGTCCTTCAAGATTTTTCAGTGAGATGGTCAAAGATCTCATGATATAAAATTGAATACAAAAAAAGCAGATGACAAAAGACATATACAATGTTATACATTTGTAATACATCTTAATACATCTCTTTCCTACACACACACACACACACACACACACACACACACACACACATATATATATATATATATACATGCAGGAAATGATAGTGCATTGTGGTGAGATATATGTATATATATAAAAGCAGGAAAGAGATGTGTGAAGTATAGTTTGTCTCTGGAAGATGGGGTGAGGAATAGTTTTTATCTTTTCTACATTTTTCATAATTTTTTTACAGTAAGCATACATTATTTGCATAATCAGAAAAAAAGCACTATACATGTGGAAATGGCAGGTATGCATGCATACATCCAGCACTATTCCATCTGGCCAGAGAATCCTGTGTCATCTCCTCACATTCATCTCTGGGTGGTCACCCATGTCAGGACCGTGACTGGCCCATGAAAGAGCCAAAAAGAATCCTCAGAAAATATCTACTCACTAAATTCTCTGCATGACCTAGTCTCAGGAAGGAAAGGGTGGAATCTTGTTACCATATTAGCAAGAGTGGCTGTGCACATGCTTTCAGGGAAGAACTTCCCTATTATGACACTATTTTTAAAAACAGGCTTTCCCGTGCTTAATCTGTTTTGTAAATGATCCTCTCTCTGCCCCTCCCCATCCTACAAAAAAGAAGACATTCGTTTTTACGTGTGTGTTAATGGTAATTCTGTTGGTAAGGTTAGGTCCTATTGCCTGGCCTCAAAGGGGAACCCATTTAAGACCTCTGTCCCTTGTGGTTCCATGGTCTAGGAAGGCAGCCACCACACAGTCCAGGAAGAGAGCCTGACATTCCAACTCAGCTACTGGTTCACTTGGGTTAAAAAACGTCATGGGCAGACAGGCTGGCCAAGTTCTCTTTGGATTCAATAGCGATGTCGTTTATTTTTATATATTTACCTATGCATATTGTATTTCATTAGAACAGGCTTCAAGATGGTATGCTAGCATTTGTTTGCTTTTATTTATTACATTTATAAGTATTGGTTTATAAAATTTTATGCTGTAATAAGATGTTAAAAACAAATCAGAAGAAAAGTAGAAGAAAAGGAGGCCGGGGAAATTAGTGTGCAGAACACTTGCTGTAAGGCCTTGCAGAGCTACCAAGGTTGGATGGGAAACTCAGCTGAGAGCTTCCTAGTGGTTAAGGAGGATCCCAAACAGAGGGTCACCTTAGAGCTGATTCAGCGAGGAGAGGACCATGAAGCAAGCACTCTTGTTGATGGACTGTAACCTTCTTAAAACACTGTCAACCAATAATTGAAAACTCACCCAGAGTCCAACAACAGCCATGTGCAGACACAATCTCCTGGGGTAGGCAGAGAGGACGGAGACACGTTCCAGCTGCCAGATTCATTGCTGCTATCTTCTGAGAAGCTGGCAGTCAATACTACGAACTGAGCAGCGCCCAGAGAGGAGCAAACTAGGGCTGGGTCTTAAAAAGCCCTTGCCCAGCTTTATAAAGTCTAAACGAGTTTTGGTTTGATCCTAAAATGTTGGTAAAATTCCTTAGCCTGGTATTCAAGGCCACCACAAGCCAACACCAACAAATATATATATAGCCTTGGGCCTATTTCTCCACATCACCTGCCATTCCAGTTGAACACTGGCCTCAGGCTCGCCGTGCCTGCTATTTGACATCCCTTCCTCTTCTTTGCGCAACTCTTTCCTTTAACCTAGAATGATCTCCAGAACGATTTCCTTTCGCCTACAATGATCTCCAGATGGGGTCCTCTGGGGCCCAAGGGAAGCCCCACCTAGAAGAGAATGTTAGAGCATTCACAAGGATCTCTTTTACTGATAAGAACACCAAAGCCCCTTGTAGGGTAACTAATGAGTTTCTCTTCTATTTCCGTTTTCTCTTCTAGGAGGACAGCACATTGCACTCTCACCTCCTTTGCAGTTAAGTGTGAAATAGTGCCAATAGAGTGTAAAAGAAAAGAAAGAAGATGATTCACCTCCCAAAGATTCCCCACTGCTGTGTCCCTTCTATCAACTTGATACAAAAAAACACAATGGCCCCGGGAACCACGTGTTGAAGATGAGAGAGCTAAAAGATGGAAAGAGACTGGAGCCCTGAGTCACCACCTGGAGGAAAACTACCCACCCATCAGGAATTTCTACTACACATTTGGGAGTTTTTGGGGTTACAGCAGCTAATTTAACGAAAACACCCAGAGACAAGAGCTATTACTGCACAAATTGGTTAAGTTACCTTTTTGTATGTTTGGGTCCTCTCTATTCGATGAGACTGCGCGTTCCTTTGAAGCAAATCTGTTTAAAATTCTTATATCCCCAGAGGGCCTAGCAGAGAGTATGCACAGAGTGAGCCTTCAGTAAATGCTGAGTAAATAAGCTCCTAATGGATGAAACTGTGTCTTCGAAGTTTGTTCTGACCAGTACTTAGTATAGGATTTTGTGCTGTTGGTCACTTTTCATAAAGGTTCTTGCTATTAAGGAACTTGACATCCAATGTACTCATAGAAAGTAGAAATTCAGGGGAAACAAATAGAAGAGATATGTCCAAAAATCCATTTAAAATTTCATTGACAGATATTTATCTCTTTAATCCTGGAAGTTGTTTCATGTAAGGGAAGGTTCAGTAGAATGAAAACAGGACTGTAAGCTGGGAGGAGATTTGGGGTCTCTTGGCCAACTCTGCCACAAATTGTGTTACCTTCAACTTCCCTGCCTGTAAAATGAAGTCAGTGGTCCCTAAAATGAAATTGGACTAATGGCAAATTAGCTAGCATTTGATTATACATCGATAGTTTCCCCATGTGATTTTAACGCACAAATCAGATTTTGGAACCATTAGGTAGGTGATCTTATCTTATGAGTTTATCTTTTTCAACATGGAAAAATAAATTTGTTTTGCTGACCGAAGGCTGTGTAACTTAGAACTGGAAAGAGACATGTAATTGAATAACCCATCTCTATGGGGCAAAAAAATGAAACACCTTTAGTTTGTTCAAAGATGAAATGGAAAAATAAACATGTTTTAAGATGACTTGGTAGAGAAAATATTTTCTTTGCCAGGATATTAGAGAATTTGTCAAAAGTTATTACACAGGAAAGTCAAAGGTTTCATTGCAGGAACTTAATAAATATTTGTTTATTAGCTGATTAATGTGCTGATCCAAGCAGAGAAGGAATCCTGTCTTTGTTTTAAAGTCAGGATTTCTAATTTCCCTTTCAGGATAAAAATGTGCTCTGTGTTCAGCTAAGCAACCTAAACTGTCTATTCCATTATTCAAACAAACACCAAAAAGGATTGAATGTATCCTCTGGCAACCAAAGATAATACTCCCAGGTCAAGCTTCTTTCAGGCAGATATTAATGGTTACTTTTAGTTATTGAAAAATATTGCATAATTCATGCGCTGTGCTTGACGAAGCAGATCCCACTCTGGGGCCCTCAGGAATTTGAGGCAGAATTCCCTACTCTTTGAGGGTGTCTTCATTCCCCACCCTGGGTGTTTATCATGCCTCTGAGTGAAACCCATAGGATGACAATGGCATAGCTTTTCAAAAAAGAAATCATCCAAAGTCCTTTCTAAAGTGCAGAAGTCAGAACTATTGATTCTGAAATTGAGCCATTTCCAGTGGTACCAAAGAAGTGGTATATTATAGAATTAGAATATGTCTTCTATTCAGCACATTCCAAATCACTCTCTATTCAAACATACTCAAAATGTATTTTTATTCAACATATTCAAAATGTTCATCCTTCAAAAAGTGCTTCCCCCATTAGCCAGCCCCCTGCAAGTCAGTTGTTCCCACCTTTATTCCACTGATATGGAGGTCATTTGAATGCTGTTTGCTCTGTTAAGATGCTGTCATTTGAACAATACACTCACATTTCAGGCAAATTTGAATCATGCAAATTTTAAATAATGCTATGTAAAATAGCAATAAAATACTACTGGAGATTGCTCAATTTCAGAATGGGCAACATTTGAAATAGTCCAAATTCCTCCAAATTTGCATGATTTATCCAGAATGGCATAACAAATCCAGAGCACAGCCAGTGAAACTTACGCTGTGTTTGGACCCTGGTCTGGTGGCTGTGCCACAGTTGCGGTAAACAGAAACCTCCACAGGGAAACCTCCACAGGCCTTGGTCAGTGTGATGGGGAGTAGTACAATGAATCAAAGCAGATGTTTTCCTGAGTGATTTTTGTGGCTATAGTGCTGGGGTTTTTTTGTTTTTTTTTTTTTTTCATTGTGTTAATAATTTAATATCTTTTCTATCCTATGAAAGTATCATGTAAGCTTTTATAATATAGTGGCACTGAAAACGTGCTGTAAATTATGATCCATTCAGTATGACAGGGGAATGGTTCCAGGACCCCCGGCACCTTCCACCCCAGGATACCAACATCTGTGATGCTCAACTAACTGATAGAAAATGGCCTAGGATTTGCATAGAACCTACTTACGTCTTCCTGTATACATTTTTTTTTTTTTGAGACGGAGTCTAGCTCTGTCTCCCAGGCTGGAGTGCAATGGCACGATCTCAGTTCACTGCAGCCTCCACCTTCCAGGTTCAAGCAATTCTCCTGTCTCAGCCTCCCAAGTAGCTGGGATTACAGGCACATGCCACCACACCCAGCTATTTTTTTTCTATTTTTAGTAGAGACTGGTTTCACCATGTTGGCCAGACTTATCTCGAACTCCTGACCTCAAGTGACCCACCCATCTCGGCCTCCCAAAGTGCTGGAGTTACAGGCATGAGCTACCATGCCCAGCCCCTTCCCATATACTTTAAATCAACTCTAAATTACTTATAATATCTAATGCAATATAAATCCTATGTATATAGTTGTTATACTGTTTGGCGTAGGGAATAATGGCAAGAAAAAGCCTGTACATGTTCAGTACAGACACAACCATCTTTTTTTGTTTGCTTCCTGAATACTTTCCATCCATGGTTAGTTGAATCTGAGAATGTTGAACCCCTGGATTCCGAGGGCCAACTGTGGTATGAAGTGACATTAGATGTGATAGACGAAGAAGGCCTGTCACTGGCCGTGATCCATTGGGCCATTAATTTGGGAGAAAGACTCTGCAACATAAAAGAGATTCTGCTAGGAAGTGTTTTGAAGCATCTTTAAAGCAAGGATACCATGAATCTAGATGTAGGCACTCTGAGAACATACTCCCTTCCTGTCTTATGATTATCTATAGGAAAATTAGACTTAGATTAGGCACATCTTGGATGATGCCTTTCTTCCGGAACGTGGCTACCTTTAAATATTTTCATGTGAATATAGTGCACGTGCTTCCTAGATTGTAATCTCCTCGGAAGGAAGCAGAAACCATCTGTTGTTTTTATATCCCACACTCCAGCTAGCTAACGACAATAATGGTGACATTGTGACAGCAGTTTACTGTTTACAAAGTGCTTCTGTCTCAGTTCACCCTTGTGATGACACTGCAAGGTGAGTTTTCTTGGTTTCTAAGTTTGACAGGCCAGGACCCAGAAGTGTAGAGAGAGTCATTGATTTGTCTGGGTCACTCGGCAACAAGTGGTGGGTAAGAAACTGGAGAATGGGAAGCTGCAGGCATGGGATGGGAAGCTACAGGCATGGGATGGGAAGCTGCAGGCATGAGATGGGAAGCTGCAGGAATGGGATGGGAAGCTACAGGCATCCGAATGGGAAGCTGCAGGCATGGGATGGGAAGCTGCAGGCATCCGAATGGGAAGCTGCAGGCATGGAATGGAAGCTACAGGCATCTGAATGGACTTCTTGCATCTGTCTCCCTTTGAAACCCTGCATCTGATTCCGTCTTCCGGGTACAGGCATGTCTGGCAACACGGAGGATGAACACCTCTCACCCTGCCTCCCTGCTGCATGATCTTTGACTGTGGTCCCTCACTCGTTCCTCAGAGCATCAGTTCATCAGGGGGACTCATCTGGGGCTGGCTGGTGAGGAAGAAGGGTCCCTGGTGTGCACTGATGTTCACTGCGTGGAAATGTGTCCCTTGGGATGGAGAAAAGTGGAGGGGCACACTCCATATCAAAGCAGAACTGTCATAGCTGCCAGTCCCGGAGAAAGCAGCAGAAAAAGCCAGGGGACCGGCCACGTTCTATTTCCAGCCATAATGAGTCATGAGATCGTGGAAAGGCCCTTTAACCTCTCCAGCCTTAATTTCCTCATTTGTAAAATAAGAACAACACTTGTCTAAGCCACCTCACAAGACAGTTGTGAATGATGGGAATGGTTTCTTTCTAACGTATGTCACGCTTGGGCAGGGCTGCCCTGGGACCTCCGGTGAGCCTGCTGCAGGAGAGAAGCCTCCCCCCACCATGTGAACACACCCTCCCCACCCAGCCCCCACACTCCCTGGCTGGCACACACGGGACTTCATTATTATTGTTGTTTTAAAAAATGAATTTGGCATTTTGCATTTGAAGAATAAATAACAAATATTCTAGCTAGTCAAATAAACTGAAATACATATTTATAAGCCAACCTATTTTGTTAGTTTTTACAAATATAAAATTATGCCCCCTTTTGGTCTATAAACTAAAATCTATACAATTATCTGAGTGTGAGGAGTGGAATCAGTTTTAAGAAATTTACTTTGGAGGCCAGGCACAGTGGCTTACTCTTGTAATCCCAGCACTTTGGGAGGCTGAGGCAGGTGGATCATTCGAGGTCAGGAGTTCGAGACCAGCCTGGCCAACATGGCGAAACCCCGTCTCTACTAAAAATACAAAAATTAGCTGGGTGTGGTGGCGCCCACCTGTAATCCCAGCCACTTGGGAGGCTGAGTGGGGAGAATCAATTGAGCCTGGGAGGTGGAGTTTGTGGTGAGTCAAGATCATGCCACTGCACTCCAGCCTGGGCGACAGAGTGAGACTCTGTCTCAAAAAAAAAAAAAAAAAAAAAAAGGAAGAAAGAAATTTACTTTGGAAATGCCCAGAACAGGCAATTTAGATGAATTTATGAGGAATCTCTTTTCCTTGACCCAAAGGTACCTAGGGTATAGCTTTACCAAACGAAGGAGATTTGGCAGGGAATGTGTCCTTGTCCTCCAGAAAACAAGGAGTGGCTCTGAAAGCAACACAGGGGAGAAGGAGGCTCACTCCTACACACACATGTACAACCCCAGGAAGGGGGCAGGTGGGAAGCAGGAACACCCCCTTCTCCTCTTCTCAAGCCTCCACCAGTACCCCTTGTCCTTTGGTACCAGCCCTGCCCCTTCCTGGCTGCCTCTGGGGTGCATCTAATTTTGCCTGAGTTAATATCTCTGTCAATGGTTCTACGCAGTGGGCTTTGCTCTGGGGAAAGACAGCAATAAGTTTTGTGTTGTGGTCTTTTGATTCTGGTTGCTGGGAGTGCCATGTTGAAGGTGAGTCTCAGGCGAGCCATGGCTCAGGGAGAGTAGTGAGCACCCATTCCACAGAGCTGCTTTCCCTTCTCCTGGGCCTGAAGTTCCCCTGGGAGGGTCTTGGCTGACAGCCTGTGGCAACCAAGCTTCTTTGTTCACTGTTAGACACACCAGAATTTGACACAAGTCAAGAGTGTGCAAGTGTATGTTTAGAGAAAGAGGGCTTTCCCTCTTACCCGTTGCATAAATGACTTTAAAAGAATCTTCAAACTGCAGATGTTCTAGTATGTTTCTAGGTCCATCCACCACCCCCACTTACCCCCTTTGGTATAGAGACCTGTTCTGAGGTTGGGTAAGGAGGCTTCAGGAGGCCCTGTGACTTGTCCTAGGCCACTCAGACAATTGGTAGAAGAGCCAGGCCTAGAACCAGTTCTCTGTACCCTCCCATCTTGGGACATGGCTAGCATGCCCTGGTTCCCTGGTTATCCCTCGGGAGGGTCAGACTATGTAGGTCAGAACTCAGATAAGGCACCTGGGGAACACATGGAGAGGCCTTTGCCAAGAGCAGTGCAGCCTGAGAAACAGAATGAAATCTTTGAATGTTGTGGCTGCAGAAGGAGGCAATGTAATCGACTGCTGGTGAAACCCAGGAAAGGAAGCTGGGAGCAGGCGACGTCGGAGATTGAGGTGTTTAGTATCCAGGCCGCAGGCACTGGGCCCCATTTTTGGGAACAGGCCTCTTACCCCTGGGAGGGTATCCAGCACTAAAAAAGTCAGAAGCTCAGTCCCATGGGGACTGAAGTTGTTGGCAAGAGGCATAAATGGATATTCAGGTTTAAGAAATAGGGCTGGAACCTCATGATTACATCAAAGATGGGGCTTATGAAGGGAGAGGGGGCAAAGAAACACCACAGCGTCCAGAAAAAGGTGTCTGAGTGTTGGGCCAACCCCGCTAGGCCCATAGATAGGGGTGGTCCCAGAGGTGAGAAGGGGGTTGAGCCTGCAGATTTGGGATAGTTAAGGGGATTGGTGCAGGGACAAAGATGAAGGCTGCTGACCAGGCAGAACTTTGCACTGACTTTTAGCCCAGTGCTCTTTTCTATTAAATATTTATCTATTAGAAGTTCTGCAAGGCTAAGACTTTTCACCCTTGTACCCTATAAAAAAGGAAGGGTAGAGATGTGAGGTTCTGACTCGCTCCTGCCAGTTTGGGGAAAGCAGTCGTATTTACCCAGATTTGGCAATCCCATATTGGATAACTCAAGCAGAGGAAAGTCTTAGCCCATGGCCAAGCTCCCAGTTCTTCATAAATACCAGGAAAAAATGGGCTTTTAAAAGGTGTTACATAAGTCATCCTATTGAAAAGTCAGGTAGGGAGTACAATGTGCAATTCAGTCAGTAAGGCAGTTGCCACTAGACTCGTGGAGGGAAGAGGGAGATTGAGACTTGTATGGGAGGCAAGATAGAGAGGGGAGGAATACTAGTCTTGCAGTCAGAAAACCTGGTTGACTCTGCTATCCCACTGCTCTGGGCAATGTCCTCATCTATAACATGGGGAATACACATCCCAGAGAGGAATAAGAAGTAAATGAAATTGTATCTTTGCAAGTGCATTGAAAGAATTGCAGAGAATTATTCTCCTATAATTTACATCCACCACCCCTTTCCTCTTTCTTGGCTATTCAGATATTCTTGGCTGAGTCGAGGAATGAATACCCAGCTTGATTAGGCAGGTGTGGACTGAGGCTGGTGACCAACCCCACTGTCCCTCAGGAGCTTGGTGGCTGGTTCTTCTAGCAATAGCTCACCTGTGTCTAATCCCACATTTACTCTCTTAGAGCAAGAGAGAGAGGCTAGCATTCTGCTGACTGTCCAGGCACTGAAATGATCATGGTCAAGTCATATTCAACTAACTCCTTTTTTTCTGTAGAAAATACTATATTATAGAGTTGCACATGATCTTGTTGTAGGAGGGAGGTGAAAAACTAATTAAGAACATAGCTTGCTGAATGAGTATTTCCTCAGAGTTGATTAATATCAGTGTGCTAGCCAGAGCGAGATCATTAGGTCTCTGTTTTTGGCCATGGTCAAACTGACAACTTAATGAGTAATGCACAGAAAGCATGCTGATCAGATCTGCAAATGCGGGAAAAATACTTACAACCAAATAGCAAATGCTAACTAAATAGATGATAAACAAAACCAAATAAATGCCCGTAAGATTCTGTTAATGATTTTCGCCCCTGGATGTGCACTAGAATCAACAGGGAAACATATTTTAAAAATATTCATGCCTTCTAATTTAGTTTAATTTCCCCGGGAATTTAAAAAAAAATTAAAGAAAAAAGAAAAATCACATGACTAGGATCCTTTCCCAGAGATTCTGACTGAGTGTGGGGCCAATCTATGTGAAAATCATTTTAGAAGGTAGTAAAGGCAAAACAAAACCAAGATGCGAAGTGGCATACACTTTAGGATACTAAGTATATGAAAATACATACGCAGAAAAAGATGGTAGGAAAATATAAGAAACTGTTAACTGTGATTAACTCAGGATTAGCAAACAGATTGATAATAAGTGACCTTACTTTCACTGTATTTTCCACGAAGCCTTCAATAGTCACAATGTATTGCTTTTTAATCAAGGGAGAAAAGTTGATTTTTTAAAAAGATGTTGGAGTTGACTGATTACTTTTGTGTGCCAACTGTATAATGTTGGTTACTAAAAAAACTATCAGAATCATAGGCTGCCTGTCCATGAACATGGTAGCTACTTAAGATCACGAATGACACCATGGGCTTTGTGCTGGGCAGAACTCACTGGAGTTGTGTTTGCCTCTGAGGACCATATATGGATAGGGATATCATCCGCCAGGAAATGAAGGGCTGCAACACATCATGAGTCAAGAGCAAGATCCTGGTTTGGAAAAGAGGAGACGGGGCTACGGCAACTGTCTCTCTATATCTGAAGTGCTTTACTAGAGAAGAAGGAGCAGGTGTCCTCAAAAGCCATTCATCAGCAAGAACATGCTGGCCCAACCTAAGAAAGAGCCTGAAAGAATAAAAAGGTGCAGCAGCAGGGTTGGCTGCTTCCAAATGTATGAGGTACCCCATTATGCAAAGTGTCAGTGCACGCTCTGAAACTTTATGTATTTGGTAGGAAAAACTTCTGTGTCCTATTTATTCACAAATGTACTGAGATGTTCATTTATTCAATAAATATTTATTGAGAAGATTGTGTGTTGCAAGAAAGTTGGAGTAAGTACCTTTCAAAAGTTCTTTCTGATCAAATCATGCTTCTGCTTAGTTCAAAGGAAGTGTTGGGGCTCTGGTATTATGTTGACTGAAGAAAAGAAAATCGAGCTTTTAAAGAATTAAAGTTAGTTTTATTCAGAAGTCTGACTCAGGACTACGGACTGAGAACTACAGCCTGGGAGGAGTCTTTCAGAGAGGTCAGACTCCTCCAAAGCAGTGTTTTAGTTCATAGTTTATGCAAAATCACATCAAACTTGTTCAGAAGTTACAGTAAAGCAGAAATACATCAAGGTTAGGATGTAAGAGTACATCTGATTATAGGTCACAGAGGCATAATCATTAACCACACCAGATGTTGTCTTACGTCTAGGAAAGGGCAAAGACCAGGGTCACTTACCTTTTCTGGAATACAGCGACCCAGGCAAGAGATGTGGGAGCCGTGTGCTCTACCCTGCCATGTCTTCAAAGCATCCCTCCGGAGAGCTACACTTGCCACAGTGTCAGGGGCTTTGTGAAATTATGCTGGCCAGCAAATTGAGAAAATGCACCTTCTTACATTTGCTACTCTGTCTCACAACTATATTTGTTCAAGAAAGTTTTATTAGGTGCTAATTACCCAAGGAATAATTATTAGTATGTACCATGAATAGGTACAAGATTAAGGTTAAGATGCTGGATTCCAAACCTGCAAGGTTAAGGCCTTTGGTAGCAGTTACAGGAAACTCTGAGCAGTGCTGAGAATCCAGGCCCAATTCCAGATGGAGTCATTTCTGCTTGACTGATCAGGCCAGGGGGCGAGACGGACCCAAGCGGGAGGTGAGCAGCCTTGAGAGAGCCAATGAGAGGGGCTAAGGCCAGGAGACGGGGGCAAGGGCACTGAGAAAACTAACTGGACAAGGCCAGAAGAGAGCTGGACTCTTAAATTGGAGTGAGTGGAAACAGAGACAATGAAAAGGCTGGGAAAACGGTCAGATTTTCTCACAGAGCACCCCTCCCCATCCCCGCCTCCCCACCCTCCCCATATCCGGCCTGCACTGCAGCCCCAACCCCCACACCTCCATTCCTCCACTGCAAGGACCTGATCAGCAGTGAACTTTCTGGCATGTCTTGCATTGCTCAAGGGTCAGTACAGAAAAGGCATCTTTATCTTTTTCACTAACATTTCCCCAAGCTCTTATTTCTTGATTGAAACACACACACACACACACACACACACACACACACACAGCTTTTTTGAAGCTCAAGATCCAAGAAAAGAGGTTCTCACTGTTGATCAGCCCGTTAGACCAAGGCCAAGAGTCTAGAATGAGGTTCCACATGGAATTCCCATAGCTCCTTTGTGACTCCCCCATATAAACTCTCTCATCCCTAATTGGCCCTGGGACGTATCAGTTACCCCCCACTGTGGGGCAGGTATCTCAAGCTGGACATGATCCTCTGGAATTGGCCAAAGCCTGGAGCCAAGGGACTGGCCATGCTCAAATGACCATGGTCCAGCACAGGAACCAGAGAAGGTCCCAGTGGACCTTTTCCGGGAAGGTGGCATTTTTTCCCTGGCATGGTTGCTATGCCTGGCACTGTGCTATCTGTTTTATATACATATGTATTAATTCTTACAAAATCCTTGAAGAATATGCCATTCTAGAGATCAGTAAGATGAGACTGATAGAGTGAAATGAGTTACTTTATATTGCCAGGTAGTGGAGTCAGCATTCAAGCCCAAATCGGCTCGAGTGCAAAGCTCATGCTGCTTATACGATACCACACAACCTTCCTCAGAGCAATGCTATACATCAGCTGCATCTGGAGGACAGGGCCATGAGCCAGAGCAGAAGAACCAAAGGCCCACAGCCCATTAGATCAAGGCCAAGAGTCCAGTACTGACAACTTACACCCTTTCTTCCCTCCTTTCCCTCCCCTCCTCCCTCCTGTTCCTTTACCAGTGCAGGAGAGATGAGACCCCTGGGGAGGTGAGAGAAGCTTGGGCTGGGTCTGGAGGTGCACCTGGAAAGCAAGGTTCTGTAGATCAAACAAGCAAACCAGAGCTGCGTCTTCAGCCCCACAAGGAGCCACTGAACATGGACCAAGTGCTCAATGCAGACAGCTTACATCTTCATTAGACAATTGCGGAGTTGCCCCAAATTGTTAAGTAACACTCAGAGCTGTGTGCAGCCAAGTCCTGAAGGAGACTCCAACAGCCAGAATTCAGTCAGGGCCAAGGTCAGAGGAGAGCAGTGTGGCTAAAGACAGCTGAGAAAGGCGCCGAGGGGCCCACAGTCCCCCACTGGACTTCTGCCTCTGCAGTGTCTGGATCAGAGTAAGTGTTTGTCGAATGAAAAATAGAAAATCAGGGGTAGTTTGAATTCAGATAGAAAGAAACGAGTTGAGATGACATTCTTAGAAAGAGGGAAAATACCAGATAAGTCATAGGGGCACAAATAAGTGGGGAGAGGGAGGAAAACTGCCACGGTTCATAGTGGGAAGAAGTGGGGGAATCACCCTGGGTAACTGGGTGGGACTGATGAATGCAGGGCCATGAGGGCCTAACAAGCAGCTGTTTTGTCCTATAGGCACAATCTACTCACAGGCACTCTGGTATCTCCATATGGGTGTCTAATAAGCATCCTGAACTTCACTGGTTCTAAACTGAGCTCCAAATCCCAGGTTTTTACATCTTGGGATGCACTGATGGCCACTGCATCCTCCCACTCGCCAGGCCAAAAATCTTGGAGTCAGTCTTGTCCCCTCCCTTTCTTTCATAAACTGAGTTTAATCTATGACGAAAAAAGATGAGCTCTACCTTCCCAGTGTGCCTAGATTCTAGAATGCAACCGCTTTTCCCCACGCCCACTCTCCACCAAGGTCCAGTCTCCGCTCCTCCTGCCCAGCTCATCACTGCGGCTCTTGGGCTGACTGCCCGGCCTCCACCCTTGTGCCCTGGACTCTGCTCTCAGCGCAGCTGCCAAAGGCGTTATTTTAAAAATGCAAGTCAGATCATATCACTCTGTCTTAGTCCATTTTGTGTTGCTACAAAGAAATACCTGAGATTGGGTAATTTATAAAGAAAAGACGTTTATTTGGCTAACGGTTCTGCAGGCTGCACAGGAAGCAAGTCACTGACATCTGCTTCTGGGGAGGGTCTCAGGAAGCTTCCACTCATGGCGGGAGGAGAAGAGGGGCCAGCATGTCACATGGTGAGACAGCAGAAATAGAAGAGGTGCCACGCTCTTTTTAACGACCAGCTCTTGCATGAACTAACAGAGTGAGAATTCACTTACTACTTTGAGAACAGCACCAAGATATTCACGAGCGACCCACCCACCAGGAGCCAAACACCTCCCACCAGGCCGCACCTCCAACACTGGGGATCACATTTTAACATGAGACTTGGTGGGGCCAAGCAAACCATATCCAAACCATGGTATGCTCCCTCACTCAAAGCCCATCCTCACTGCCATTTCTCTCAGAGTGAAAGGCCAACATCCTTCCAATGTCCTGCAAGGCCCATGGTCTGTGCACCTACCTCCATGCTGCGCCTCCCCAGTCTTCCCTCCTGCTGCCCTTGCCCCACTTGCTCCCTCTGCTCCAGCAATACTGGCCTCCTTGCTGGTCCTCAGCTGCTCTGGGCATGCGCCAACCTTAGGGCCTTCATGATTGCTGTTCCTCTGCTGGGAATGCACTCCCCAGGTACCCCCAACGGCTTCCTCATCTGTCCTCCAGGTCTTTACTCCAATGCCATGTCTTCGGTCAGCTCTTCTCTCACCCCCTGGCCTAAAACTGAGTTACTCTCCTCCCTTGGCACTCTTCCCCTTCCTTCCTTGCTTTTTCTTCATAGTATTTATTACAATCTGACTTAAGTACATATTTAATGTACGTCAATCTTCCACAACTAGGATGTAGCTCCATGAGGATCAGATCTTTTGTCTGCTTTGCTTGCTGATGTATCTGGCTCCTAGAATAGTGCCTAACATATAGTAAACATGCAATCAATCTGCAGTGAATTAATTAGTGAACGAGAGAGAACTTGATTAAGGAGAATGTTGAAAGTAAATAACAAGAACAACAATAATAACAATCATACTACTTTTAAATATAAGTTACTGTCTGCTCAGGGTTTTGCTTGTTTGTTTGTTTGTTTGTTTGTTTGTTTTTGAGACGGAGTTTTTTGCTCTTGTTGCCCAGGCTGGAGTGCAATGGCAGGATCTCGGCTCACTGCAACTTCTGCCTCCCAGGTTCAAGCAATTCTCCTGCCTCAGCCTTTCGAGTAGCTGGAATTACAGGCATGCACCTCCACACCTGGCTAATTTTTGTATTTTTAGTAGAGATGGGGTTTCTCAATGTTAGTCAGGCTGGTCTCGAACTCCAGACCTCAGGCAATCCACCCGCCTCGGCTTCCGAAAGTGCTGGGATTACAGGCGTGAGCCACCATGCCCAGCCCCTATCTGCTCAGTTCTTTAAACTCCACCTTGCTTTAAGAAGCCTCCCCTTGGCTGCATTTCATTATCGATCTTCTCCCTGTCAGGTGGGGGTTTTGCGGATCGGTTGACAGAGAAAGGGTTTCAGATGATATTATGGGTTACATTATGTTCACCCCAAAAGATATGAAGTCCTAGCCCCCAGTACCTCAGAATGTGACCTTATTTGGAAATGGGCTCTTTACAGAGGCCATCAAGTTAAAATGAGGTCATTAGGGTGAGCCCTAATCCAATGTGACTGGTGTCCTTATGAAAAGAGGCAACATGGACACAGGCAGACATGCACAGAGGGAAGCTGAGGTGAAGACACACACAGGGATGAGGTGACTGGGGAAGATGCAGGCGGAGGCTGGAGCTCTGTGACTGCAGCCATGGAATTCCTGGGGCCACTAGAAGCTGCAAGCAGCATGGAGCAGGCTCTCCCTCATAGACCTGGGGAAGAATCAACGCATCCTGCCCACACCTGAACTATCCTGGACTTCCAGCCTCCAGGAATGAGAGACAAAAACTTCTGTTGTTCAAGCTTCCAGTTCATGGTTCTCGGTTACAGTGGCCCTAGGAAAGTAACACAGATGGGAAACTTCCTCTTCACCAGGTAGTCAGCCTGACTTGGGTAGAAAAGAGAAACCCAGACCTCACGTTGCACTGATGCCGACGGATGGGATGTGGAGGTGAACTGGGGTACATATGGCAGGACATGGGCCCGCTGGGGAAGGGTGGAGCAGCTAAGGATGGCTAGCAGGGCGGGCAAGGTTTTCTGGCTCCCACCTTGGCCATGGCCGTGCCCTGTTGTGTTGGCAAATCACTCCACCATTGGGATCTCTCTGCCATCACTTGCAAAGTGAGTTTTTGGAGTGGGTGTTTTTTCATGGTTCTATGGCATGCTAAGAGGCCTGGACATCTGCAGAAGGCAAGAGGAGACAATACCTGATGAACAGTGACCATGAAAACATTTTCCAAATTATGATTAATTTGCAGAGCCCAATTCTGCAATTTACAAATTTTTCGTATTCCCCTTGACTGGTGTTTCCTCATTTATTTCTAGCCTGGGTGGATGTCATTGATAAAGTGAGTGGAAGATGAAGTCAGTGCTTCAGGAGGGTGACAGGCCCTGAGTGGCAACGACAAAATTAAGCTAGCTGCAGCCTGTTACGTCCAATTCAAAAGCCGAAGTGGAAAAAAAAATCACAAAAAGGAAGAGGCCCAAAGAAAGACATTTTTGATCTCTTAGAGAATAGATCTATGCAGACGGGCCCCAAATCATACACAATTGGCGAGCTTCTTGTCAACTCTGCCACTTCAGTCCTGGTGGAATTATATGTCAGTTGCATAAACTGCTATAATTATTGGTTTGGCAAAAATTATATCCAGAGAGAAACTCTAGTGTCCTGTGGGAGCTACATCTCTGAAATACTCACATTTGGAAACAATTAACTGCCTCCAATATCTGTCCCCACAATCTGCAATCACCTAAGCGTTGCAGCAGCCCAAATGTGAGTGCTCCCCTCCTGGCAAAGTAGGGGTGATTGGATTCGAGGAGATGGTGCCAGCTTAATCTGGGCAAGATACAGCTATGGTTTAAGCTGGAAGCAGGGACCTTTGAGGTTATCTATGCAACCTTCCAATCCATTCAGGAAATTAGAATATGAGCAAATGGAAGGATTTTTCATTGATTCATTCAACAAATCATTATGGGAACTTACTATTTTCCAGGTGCTAGACACTGGACATTTGCTTCATTAAACTTGCTTACTAAGTTTATAATTTCAGATGAAAAGCTGGAAAATACAATAAGAACTCTGAATGAAACAGAAAATAACAAGGGCACTGAACTCTGATAGAGCGACCAGCTTTGATAGAGACTTCTGTGAAAGGCGAGGCTGAGACCTGCAAGGTGAGGAGGAGCTGGCTGCGGGAAGATGGAGAGCAAGGCCAGGCCACGTGGAGGGAATGGCACGCGCCACGGCCCTGAGATGGGAAATTAAATGTCTGCTTCCAAAGGAGAGGGAGATACTGGGAAAAAAAAATCCACAAGTAGAACAAAGAATTAGGCATCTAAGAGGAGCCACAGACAACAACTTGCCAAACACCATTAGTTTATATTTTCTAAAGTATAGGCCGGGCACGGTGGCTCACGCCTGTAATCCCAGCACTTTGGGAGGCTGAGGCAGGAGGATCACTTGAGCCCAGGAGTTCAAGACCAACCTGGGCAACATAGCAAGACCCTGTCTCTACAAAAAAATTTAAAAATTAGCCAGGAGTGGTGGTGCATGCCTGTAATCCCAGGTTCTTGGAAGACTGAGGTGGGAGGATCGCTTGAGCCTGGGAGGTCAAGGCTGCAGTAATTCATGATTGCACCACTCAACTCCAACCTGGGTGACAGAGCAAGACCCCAACTCAAAAATTAAAAAAAAAAAAGTTTAGAGAGGCTCATTTCCATCCCTAAAGTCTCACAGTAAGCCAGTGGAAGAGTGGGACTGGAACGCAGAGCTCTGGACTATTTTATATCATTACCTCCTTACCCCCTCTTTCTTCTTACTGTATTCATCATGTTGTACAATAGACCTCCTGAATTATTCTTCCTGTATAACTGAAATTTTATATCATCAAAGTATTTTCCTAAATGGTACTTCTGTTCTTAATAGGACTTCTGCTATTGGATTAATTTTTTCCCCTGCTGGCCAGGGGCGGTGGCTCACCACTGCCTGTGATCCCAGCACTTTGGGAGGCCGAGGCAGATGGATCACTTAGGATCAGGAGTTTGAGTCCAGCCTGGCCAACATGCTGAAGCTCTGTCTCTACTAAAAATGCAAAAATTAACTGGGTGTAGCGGCATGCACCTGTAGTCCTAGCTACTCGGGAGGCTGAGGCAGAAGAATCGCTTGAACCCGGCTGGCGGAGGTTGCAGTGAGCTGAGATCTCGCCACTGCACTCCAGCCCGGGCGACAGAGAGAGACTCAGTCTGAAAAAAAAAAAAAAAATCCCCCTGCCTTATAAACTGTGAAGACTTTTTCAAAAGAAATAAGCTGATTTTTTTTCTATTAGGCCCCATCTCTCTTCATGATGCCATGCCTGCCTCACACCTACACCTTCTCCTAGAGAAAATGTGCTTCACATATGCAAAATGGTGAACCAAGCCCTCTCTGCAACCAAGCAGAACAATTTGAGTTTAATCCTATTCTTGTTTCTCCAAAATATTGGAAACCCTGTATGTTACACAAGTGAATTGCAGATTTGGAAGGAATGTAAGCAGTCATTTTATTTCATTGCATTCATTCATTCATTTGCTCACTCATTCAACTGGCCAGTGATCCCCTGAGGGAAACTCAGTGCCCAGAGAACGGCTACTACTTCCCTGGTGACTTCACTTTTCCACTCTGTTCTGACATCTGTGTACTTGTCTGTACCCTCCATGAGACCAAGAGCTCCATGGGGAGGCACTGATGTATCCTGAGCACCAGAGAGTCCCCGTGCTTAGCGTAGTGCCCCATTAATATTTGCTGAAAGTCAAATGAATGGCTGAATGGATGGATGAATAAGTAAAGGTTGAATATCCTCAGCTCTTAATTAGAAAATTCACCTGTGAGAAGGTAGATGCGTAGTGATGCATGCTCCAGTTTTGTCTTCAAGCACTGTCAATAGGGAATTCAGATACCATTAAATGCTCATCCACCGTGAGGGACCATTAAAGTCCAGCAACAAATTTTACATTGACCATGGTCCTCCCAACATTTTCTAAATTTCCTATTGTTCCCAATAGGTAATACATGTGCATTATTCCAAAGTCAAAGCAATACAACAAGATGCACTTTGGGAATTCCCCAGCTACTCTAGTCCCCAAGCCCTATGCCTTACCCCCTCTACATAGAGTGACCATGGGGACTGGTTTATCTAGAACAGTTCCAAGCTACATCTATTGTCTTGGTATTAAATATTAATAATTTGGCTGGGCACGGTGGCTCACACTTGTCATCCCAGCACTTTGGGAGGCTGAGGCAGGTGGGTTACCTGAGGTCGGGAGTTCAAGACCAGCCTGGCCAACATGGTGAAATGTCGTCTCTACTAAAAATACAAAAAATTAGCCAGGCATGGTGGTGGGCACCTGTAATCCCAGCTACTTGGGAGGCTGAGACAGGAGAATCACTTGAACCCAGGAGGCAGAGGTTGCAGTGAGCCGAGACCACGCCATTGCACTCCAGCCTGGGCGACAGAGCAAGACTCTGTCTAAAAAAAAAAAAAAATTAATACTGACGCTCTCACTCTCAAAACTATTCCATTTAGGCAAAAATAATATGTTTATCCTATCTATAGTTAACCACTTTCACTAGTTCCTTCAAGCTTTTCTTGATGCAGAATTAAGCAAAGAGGAATATAGATTTTTATTTTTCCATCTTATGTATTCTTTTCAGCACCTGGCTTTTCTTCCTAACAACGGGAACCCTTTTTGTAGAGATGATCCTCATCTTTTCTTTCTTTTTTCTTTTCTTTTTCTCTTGCAGCTGCATGGCACCCATTGTGTAGATGACTATGGCTTTTTGACCAGTCTCCTATTGATAGACAATTTGGTTATTTCCAATTGTTTGTTATTACAATTACTGCATCAGTGCTGTTCCTTTACATGTGTGGAGTTGTATCTATAGAAAAATACTCAGAAGTAGGATTGCTGGGTCAAATACAAGTATGTCTGTAATTTTGAAAGATATTGCCAAATCTCTCTTCACTGAAATTGTGAGGTTCTGCAGTCCTAAAACAAGATATGAGACATCATGTTTTCCTATAACTTTGCTCTTTTTTTTTTCTTTTGAGACGAAGTCTCACTCTGTCAACCAGGCTGGAGTACAGTGGCACTATCTTCGCTCACTGCAACCTCCGCCTCCCGAGTTCAAGCGATTCTCCTGCCTCAGCCTCCCGAGTAACTGGGACTACAGGTTACTCGCCCACCACCACACCCGTCTAATTTTTGTTTTTTGTTTTAGTAGAGACGGGGTTTCACCATGTTGGCCAGGCTGGTCTTTAACTCCTGACCTCAGGTGATCCGCCTGCCTCGGCCTCCCATAACTTTGCTCTTAAATGTCTCACAGACTGCATGACTTCTTCCAAAATACGAAACTATATCCCAGAGGGGAACACCGTTGGCTTGTTCCTTTCCCTGAACTAGACTTGGCTCCCTAGACCTGGCAAAGACATGGTAGTACATTGTTTACTCCAATAGTGATATAATTTGATGATTTTTTGAACAATGTTCTTTATATCAGACATTTTCATCAACACTAAGAACGTTCAGTATTTTCCTATCTTTTTTTTTTTTTGAATGATTAACAGTTTTTCTATTCAACCACCTAACAACCTGGTTGCTAACTGGTGGTGTTTCTTTAGTCTGATGCATAAAAAGGATCATTAGGAGCTATGGAAGACTGTCTTGTCAATAGATCTGCAGTAATTCGGCAGGTAGCATTTGGTAAGTACTTACCTGTTATACTTTTCAAACTCTTCAGGCTGACGAGGTAAGTTGGGTGAATTGCCCACATACTGCTGTGCTAAAAATGAAGCTACATCATTTAACTCATTATTGAAGCATTTCTCGAACTGTGGTCCATATGCCACCTGTATCTAAGTCATCTGAAGTGCTTGTTACAAGGGTAGGTTCCTGGACTGCACTTCCTATCTACCCAGTTTCTCTCTGCCAGTGTCTTCACATGTTATTGTTCTGATCATTGCCTCTGTTAATCACAGTACCGAAAGTCATGTACAGGACACCAGACCAATGATCTGTAGGGCATTCCTAGCTCTTCTCACTGATTTTTAGAGAGCATCGTTTTCTCTTTCTCTTCCTTCCTTCCTTCTGTCCTTTCTCTTTCTTTCTTTCTTCCTTTTTTTTCTGTCTCACAGTTTGTAAAGAATGTTTTATGGGCTGGGTATAGTGGCTCACACCTGTACTACTGGTGCTTTGAGAGGCCAAGGCAGGAGGATAACTTGAGGCCAGGGGTTCAAGACCAGCCTGGTCAACATAACCAGACCCCATCTCTACAGAAAAATGTAAAAATTAGCTGGGTGTGGTGGTGCATGCCTGTAGTCCCAGCTACTTGGGAGGATTGCTTGTGCCCAAGAATTTGAGGCTGCAGTGAGCTATGATCACATTCCACTGCATTCCAGCCTGGGTGACAGAGCAAGACCCTGCTCTTAAAAAAATTTTTTTTAATGTTTTATTACAAAAATGTTCAAACATATGTGAAAGTAGAAAGAATAATATAATAACCTCCATGTATCCAATATCAACCTTTTTTTTTTTTTTCTCTGTCACCCGGGCTGGAGTGCAGTGGTGCGATCTTGGCTCACCGCAACCTCCGCCTCCTGGGTTCAAGCAATTCTTCACCTTAGCCTCTCGAGTAGCTGGGACTATGAACCTGCAACACCAAACCCAGCTAATTTTTTTTTTTTTTTGTATTTTTAATAAAGACGGGGCTTCACCATATTGGCCAGGCTGGTCTTGAACTCCTGACCTCATGATCCGCCCTCCTCGGCCTCCCAAAGTGCTGGGATTATAGGCGTGAGCCACCGCGCCTGGCTCCATTATCATCTTTAATAATTATCAACTCATGACTAATTTTGTTTCATCTATATCTCCACCAATGTCCCCCAACTGCCTGGAAATCCCAGACACCATATTTTCCATCTGGAAATATATTGTAGTCTGTATCTAGAATTCTTCCTGCTCCCAGAGAGGAGCAGCTGAGAGGGGAATGAGGCCCCCCGGGCTGGTGGAGGAAGGATGGCCCAGCTGGGTGTCGGGTGCATGTCCTGTGGGCTATGTTATTCTGCTATGAGGGGCTGTGCCAGGCATATTCTAAGGTCCTTCCTGCCTCTAAAATGCAGGTCCTGTCCTGTCCCCTGAAGGGACTGTCCCTGCTTGGTTGTTATGGCTTGAATACTTGCCAGACTTTCCCCACAATTTAATAGGTTTAGCTTCTGAATTTCACCAGCATTTCGCCCTCATTCCCTATATAAGCACTTAAATTCCAAAAAGCACCCTCAGAATGACACAGTCCTACAGTCCCCCTCAAAATCCTGTCTGAATTGGAAGTAGATATTTTCTTCCCTTTTTAAAGGAACACATGGCCATATGCAATATAATTTATGTTTTTATAGAGAAAACCCAAGCACATTATTAACTGTGATACCAAATATTATTTTTGATTTTACAGCCGTGATAAACTCCCATCTGTAATTCTCTAAAAACCTGAAAAGCTTTCTGACCTAGCTGAGCCATGGGGCAGAATACAGACTGTGGTAAAACTGAAAAGTTTGAAAGTACTGAAAGTACTTTGAAAAGATGCTCACATATTTCACATCGATAAAAGAGATAATAAGGAGATAGCAAGAATAGAGCACACCAAAACTGCAGGCACTACCAAAGAACTCTTTTAATCATTTCGGAGTTACATTTTATACCAAATTGTCAGAGGGGATGTTGGAAGATTAAGCTCTTGACTGCTCTTTGGCCCATATATCAAATGGCTTCTTGCTTTTGGAACTGCTTTTCATGAAATTGGCAACCTCACATTCTGATTTCTACAGATTCTTTTTACTCCAACAAATTTCCATTAGCCAAGATCTTTCATCACAAGGTGAACTCTGCTTAAAGGAGATCTATTTCCTCAGGCTTGAGACACCACTGATGTCTTGTGAAAGACCATGGTTTCAGAGCAAGAGGCAGAGTTGGACACAAAGCTCAGGTTTCTCAGCCTGGACAGTGCCTTGCTGTGTGACCACCCAGGCTCTTGGCTTTAAGACCACTTGGTGGAGGCCAGTTGAACACAATCAATCACTGTTATCAGGCACCCTGGAAAAAAGAGGAGGCACCGGATTCCGTTTTGTTGTTGTGTTAACTTTCTTGATCAGCCTAGAGTTCAAAACCATCTACAAAAGATGTGTATAGCATGAGAAAATTAAATGTCCAAGAATGTAGTTTGGATTGGGTTGTTTTAAAGTTATAAAATAGAAACCTCTGAAGTCATAAAAAATCACAAGTTAGAGCTACATTTATTGGCATAAAAACATTCCATAGTACATTTTATTTTCTTTTGTGTGTATTTTATTTTAGATACTAGGATTCTGAGAATGTGAGTGTTCCTGTTAACAGTTTCAGTAAAACAGTACAAGGGAAACTGATGGCTCCTTTAGTGACATCAAACTCAGAGGTCATCGTGGAGATCAAATCTCCCTTAGGGAAAAGGTAGCTGGCCTGTGCAGTTGCAAATCTGACCCTTGGATAGTCATTGTCATCTTTGGAGGAGTCCATGGAGGGGATATTTCCTTATTTTCACAAAACAGTCTTGATGGAAAAGTGAAATCAGTGCAGCTGGAAAGTTAGAAAGAAGATGATAAAATGCCAATTAAGTATTGAGGCAAGTGAAAAGGAAGGGTGTTCCTTACTGTTTAAAGGCCTTTGAATATGAGGGCATGTTTCCAGGCATTACGCACAAAGGGAGCAAAATGTAAAGCAAACATCCAAGGGAGGTCACGATGGCACATCTCTACAATTAGAAGTTTTATCTTAATTCTCCTCTGACAGTGGAAAGTTTATAAATGTATAAGTTTGTTCCTGAAATAAACATTTATCAAGCACCTATTGTACGGCAGCTTGGAGATATAAACATAAACAAATACAATCTCTCGGCTTCAACACGATTGCAGTCAATTCAGAGTCTGCAAAAGCTGTTCCGCGACATAGATGGGGTGATGTGGGAACTGAAAAGGGGAGGTGGCCTCTGGCTGCACGGACGCAATTCTGAAGGACAGTGACGAATGCCACGGTGGAGAGGGGTAAAGAGGGTGGCCTGTTTGAAAACAGCGAGCCGCTTGTCTTAGCTGGAGGCCAGGAGAAGGCCAGGGAAGGAGAGAATGGCCAAGAAGACCAGAGGGTAAGGCGATGACTGGTTTATCAGGCCTCTTATTAGACCAAGGAGTTTAGACTTTATCTTACAGGCAATAGCCATAGAGTTATTTTCAAGTAGGGTTTATTATTATTCTACATAACAATATAATTTCTGTCAGTAACATCAACCTTGGGACCAAGGCATTATCCTGCCTATACCCAGAGTTAGAAGCTTTTCAGAGGGAGTAAGACATACCTTCATTTATTTCTTTCTGTGAGTAGGGGCTGAGAACAGGATGCAGCCATCGCAAGAAGTCACCAATTTGACCAATGGCATTGGTAAGAGATCATTAGGACTATACTAAGCCTCAGTAGTATAAGACTAGATTTATGATTCATTCATTTGTTTATCCAAAATAATAACTGTTGACACTCACCATGTATTAGTAACTGTGCAAGGGCTTGGAAATACAACAGGTATGACCCCTACCCTTTCTCAGCCTACAATCTAATGGGAGAAATAGAAGAATAGAACAAACAATAGAAACATAGTGGGATAGCATTGGTCTCTAAGCAGCCCTTCTTCTCAACTCAGCATGAACCTTTCCCTGCAGCTCTGGGTTGAAACTATTCTTTAATGTAGGCCAAGGACCCTGCTATCAAAATACTAACACTGGCTCCTGCTGTCCCAGAATGGTTGTTTTCTTCTCTTGTGTTCCAAAAGGTGTTTGGTCTTTAACAGTTCCCTGATTGGTGTGATAGACACTAAATGGAAGCAAAACTCTTGGTAGGTTATAGTTATATGGCTAAATAGATAATAACTAGTCTTTTTTCCAATATAGATAAAAAATCATTATGATTAATAAAATACAAGTTCATTTGAAAATGTTACCGAATTCATTGCAACTTTTGATTGTTTTTGCTTTTTTTCCCCAATCACTAGGTACGAAAAGTGCAATTACTAACATGTGGGAGAAATCCTCAAGGTTAGTTTCATGTTAAGCAGCAAACTTCATCTAAATGCTGTGAATTACAGACATGAAGAATAAATTCTTAGCGGAGTGGAGAGGTGTATTAGTCAGTTTTCTTCTAAATGAAACATTTCATCCAGAAATGATTGGAGATGATAGATAAAGATAGATAGATAGATAGATAGATAGATAGATAGATAGATAGATAATTGATAGGTAGATAGATGATAGATAGATAGATAGATAGATAGATAGATAGATAGATAGACATAGATAGATAAAAGAGATTTAGTATAAGGGATTCGCTCCTGTGATTATGGGGGCCAAGATTATGATCTGTAGTCGGCCAAGATTACAGATTATGATCTGTAGTCTGCAAGCTCAAAGCCCAGGAAAGCCAGTGGTGTGGTTCTATTTCAGTGATAGAAGTCCCAGTCCAAGTCCACAGGCTTAAGGACAAGCAGTGCTGATGTCCAAGGATAAGAGAAGATGGATGTTCCAGCTTCAGCAGGGAGCAAATTTGCCTTTCCTCCACTTTTGCATTCGATTCGGGCCTGCAGTGGAATGGTGATGCTCACCCACATTGGTGAGGGGGATGTTCTTTACTCAGTCCACTGATTCAAATGCCGATTTCTTCCAGAAACACTGTCACAGACACTCTCAGAGAAATAAATGTTTCGCCAGCTAACTGGGCATCCCTTAGCCCAGTCAAGTGGACACCTAAAATTAACTGTCACAGGAGGAGAAAAGGGAGAGGTGGGGGTGTGTAGGAAAGCAGGATTCCTGGGAAGGAGGAACCAGGCACTGGGGAGACGCCATTCAAAGTGTGTGTATTTAATTCATTCATACCAGACTCCTGGAGTTGCTAGGTGGGCTAGCATGTGTTTTAGTTATGTTCTAGGTGGGCAAGCCCCATTCTACATAGCCTTTGATGACTCATTCAATTAATTTTTTTACTACATTGATTAAACTAATTTGGCTGATCGGCTGCTTTAGTGTCACATAGACGTAACCTGGCCATCAAATGTTAGGGTTCCCTGAGGGCGAAGATCAAGCTGGCCTACCGCCTGTTATAATTCAAGTTTCCTAAATTCAGAATTCTCCTCCAGTAATGCTATTCACTGCACATCCACTTGTCACCTGCCTCTCTTTGTGCTGCCCTATGGGTACCGGGGCTCCAGGAACTGGCGTAAAAAACGTTACTCAGCCTACTGCTTTTGCTGTGAGTAATGAAATCCCGAGTCTCTGACATCTTCACATATGACATATGTCATAGGTTCCACCAGCACCCACGAAACTGTGGCAAGGTAACTTGCAAGTAGGATAAATTCCTAGCGTCTTTACAGTTCTTGACACCATCCACTGTACTTAGCCAAAGACACAGGCCCAGGCATTTAGGTCCTTGACATGGCCCCAATATACCAACGAACCACAATACTCGAGGGAAGGCAGAAAATGTGATTTCAGCGTATGAAGTGTTCACCCATATTGAAAAGAAAGCTGCGCACACGACTGTGGAATTTACCTCTAAGAGTACATCAATTCAGGGCACTTGCTACGTAGTCCTCTTTACCATGAGCTGGAGGCTTCACTAGGATGATTCTGAGCCATCTTCTTCCAATGGCAATAAAAGAACTATTGCTAAGTCTGTGTACTGAGCTTTGCACAATGTAACGCAATCAGAACCTCCTAAAAAGCACAGCCCTTCACTTTTGTTATTAGTGGAATCTGTCTGCTACCAGTGCTCATTTGCCTCTGTTAAAAAAAAAAAAAAAAAAGCTTCATCCTGAATACAGAAATCAGAGTAAATAATACAGTTGTCCCCCTTATTCACAGTTTTGTTTTCCATGGTTTCAGTTACCTATGGTCAACTGCGGTCTAAAAATGTTACAGCATTCTGAGAGAGAGAGAGGAGAGAGAGAGAGAAACCACATTCACATAACTTTAATTACAGCATATTATTATAATTTCTCTATTTTTATTATTGTTATTATAATCTCCTACTGTGCCTAATTTATAAATTAAACTTTATTATAGGTGTGTATATATAAGAAAAAAACAATATATCTAGGACTTGGTACTATCCATGGTTTCAGGCATCCACGGGGGGACTTGGATGGTATCTCCCATGGATAAGGGGGACCTGCTGTACATCTATTCGTGCATCTGCCTTGAGAACAGAGGTCAAAATTCCTACTCTAGCAACCCTTTTGTGGACACATTTGTTCATTACTGCCTTGGAAGATGTCCTTGGACAATGAACTCTGCCTACTAAAAACCATGATGGCAGCCTTGCTTCTATTCCATTGGGGATTTCCTAAATGTTGGATTCAGCTCGACCACCTGAATCACCACACACAGTTACAACTTCATACATTCACTAAATTCCTGGACCTTGCACTAGACTCCAAATCCCAGCCTTCCTGGGCTTTCTGCCTTCATGCCCAGATAAATAACATTCACTCATTTTGTCATTAGCCAGACTCCCAGCTCCAGCTGGTCCAGGCCATCCTGCCTGGCTTCCCACACAAGGCCCATCATCAGTGCCACGGATCTGACATCAGCTCTTCCTGATCACCATGACAACTTTACAACCTGATATGTAAGTGCCCTTTGCTTTAATTTCTAATTTAGTGCATATATTTTAATTTTACATTCTACAAGGTAAAAGGACCATTTTTACAAGTAGGAAAACTACTTTTAAAAAAATTCAATGCTGATCGGGTGCAGTGGCTCATGCCTGTAATCCTAGCACTTTGGGAGGCCAAGGCAGGTGGATCACCTGAGGTCAGGAGTTTGAGACCAGCCTGGCCAACGTGGTGAAACCTCTTCTCTACTAAAAATACAAAAATTAGCCAGGCGTCGTGCTGGGTGCCCATAATCCCAGCTACTCAGGAGGCTGAGGCAGGAGAATCACTTGAACCTGGGAGGCAGAGGTTGCAGTGAGCTGAGATTGCACCGTTTCACTCCAGCCTGGGTGAAAGAGCAAAACTCCGTCTCAAACAAACAAACAAACAAAAATTCAATGCTAAGTATGTCCTTGCAAACTAATGTTAACCTTGAAAAATATAATTGAGACCTGAGAATTCAGATTAAATAAATGAGCAGTACTTGATCTTTTAATAATACAGAATTAGGCCAGGTGCAGTGGCTCATGCCTGAAATTCCAACATTTTGGGAGGCCAAGGTGGGAGGATTGCTTGAGGCCAGGAGTTCCAGATCAGCCTGGGCAATATAGTGAGACCCCATCTGTACAAAAAAAATAAAATAAAATTAGCCCTGCATCATGGCCCACACCTGTAGTCCCAGCTACTTGGGGAGGCTGATGTGGGAGGATCACTTGAGCCTAGAAATTCGAGGCTGCAGTGAGTGATGATGGTGCCACTGCACTCACTGACAGTGCAAGACTTTGTCTCTAAAAAAAATAACATAGAATCAGACATGCAGACTCTATTTGACTCAATTAGGGTCAAGTCAGGAGAAAAAACCAGAGCAGTTAATAGGGAAAATTTGATCTAAAGTATTATTAACTGGGTGAATGGTAGTTCCCTATTGCTGCTGTAACAATTACCACTAATTTAGTGACTTAAGACAACACAAATCTATTACCTTACAGTTCCAGAGGTTAGGTATCTGAAATCGTCTCACTGGGCTAAATCGAGGTGCTGGCAGAACTGTGTTCCTTCTGGAGGCCCTAGGGGACAGTCTATTTCCTTCCCTCTCCCAGCTTCTAGAGGCCACCTGCACTTCCCGTGACACGGACCCCATCGCTCCAGCTGGCTTCCCTTGCCGCGTCTCCTTCTCTGATTCTGGCCCTGTTGCCCTCCTCTCATAAGGACCCTTGTGATTACACTGAGCCCAAGCAGATAATTCTGGGTAATCTTCCCATCTCTCAGTGCTTAACTTGATCACACCTGCAGAGTCCCTCTTGCCATATAACATAACCTATTCCCAGGTTTGGGGGATTAGGATGTAGGCCTCTTTAGAGGACCGTTATTCTAAAAGAGTAACTAACAAGCGAAAACAGAACTCTAAGATATCATAATTTATGGACTGAATCAGCAACTGCAGGAAGCCACAACCTCCCCTAGGGTTGAAGTCATGAAGAGAAGAGGTTGGAATGTTTAAAACTTGGAGCCTTCAAAATGGGGCTCCACAGGGCAGAAACCCAGACTTCTGAGAATGAGATGCCAATGGCTAGTGCTGGTGTCTCTGGAGGGGCCCAGTGAGGCAGGTTCTTTTAAGGTGGGGAGAACCGCAAACTACTGCATCCACAGTAAAGTGCGGCCGTGGGGGCATGGGGTGAGGGCTGGGCAGTGGGGTGGGAAGCAATGCTGGCCAGGCAGGAAACAGACAGGAAGCTAACAAGAAGCTCCAAGAAGGGGCAGATCCCTCTCCCTTCTTCCTGCCTGCTGGTTTTCCTCTAGTGGTCCTCATTGGCAGAGTGCAAAAGGGAGCCAGCAGGCAAAGGATGTGTGCAGTCATCGCAAGCAGAACACAGAAGGGAAGCGTGAAGCTGAGAGACAGGAGCTTTACAGGCGCTATGGGACTCAACTTGATGGAAGGCAAAACGCAAGAATCAACCAATTGTTCTTGAGCAGGATTTCCGGATCAATACAGTGGATGTTGCACCAAATCATTTCACAATAATAAGTGGAAGGAAACCCATAGAGGAGATGTCCTGAGTCACAAAGTCAGATTTTGAAAAATCTATCCCATTTTGAGAGTGAAGTCTATGCGTTTTCACTCATATTTCGGTCTCGTTTTAATGACTTGTGTGTATATAGTTTTTTTAGAGCAAATTTTCCATTTTCATACACCAGAGTGTTTTTTTTTTACAACACTACATTTTTTTAATGTACCCCAAATATCAAACTATTCTTGAATTACAAGAGCAAGATGCAAAGAGCTCAACATTCTTGTGTCTATCTAGCATTTGATGCTCTGTGTTGACTTCTAGAATGCACCTAGCATAAGCACCTGCAGTGCTGTTATTTATGTTCTTTGACTCTCAAGTAGACTAATTACAATGCTCCTGCATCTTAGCCTTGGTTGGCTACTATTGCTTTCACCATCATTCACTAAAGAATGACTCAAGCTAAAATATTTATTCAACTGCTTCTAACACCCCATCCTCACTAATTCTATTTCCTTTCCTCTCTCCTATTTATAAATGCATCTTTTGATAATTTTATAGCATAGTACCAAATTGCTTCACCTCTGAAAGTTTTATTTATTTATTTATTTTTGAGACAGAGTCTTGTACTACCACCCAGTCTGGGGTACAGTGGCATGATCTTGGCTTACTACAACCTCCATCTCCCAGGTTCAAGCAATTCTCCCACCTCAGCCTCCCAAGCAGCTGGGACTACAGGTGCCCATCACCGCACCTGGCTAATGTTTGTATTTTTAGTAGAGATGGGGTTTCACCATGTTGGCCAAGCTGGTCTCAAACTCCTGACCTCAAGTGATCTGGCCTCCTTGGCCTCTCAAAATGCTGGGATTACAGGCGTGAGCTACATACCTGATCTCTAAATTTTTATTTTTATTTCAAATCATTGATTAACCACTTCATTGGAATGCTTTTGTAAGTGGATTTTTTAAATGAAAAAGAATCCAATACAAGGAAAATAAAAATTATATCAGGAATTTATTCCAAAAACATCGTTCAGGATGAATTAGGTCTCTATAAACTCATCCTGTTCCCATACACATTTTATATTTCCATCCATTCAATAAAAAAGATGGTATAAAGTGGTGATCCTAAGGAACTGATTATAAATCTCAAAGCACTCAAAACTGTTGAAATATGTGATATTCAAATGTAATTATTGAGTCAGGAAATAACAGATTACCTTATATACAAAACTGATTTTTCAACAAGAATTTATATTTAAGGGAGTTTTCTGCTTAAGGACCTTACTTTCATTAATTTCTGTTTTATGACTACTTCATCTTCCATTATTTTTGTTGATGATAATGTTTCTTCTAAGATTTCTTTCTTTGTTAAAAAAAACACTGCTGTACTTTTGTTTTGATGGTATTCCCTTACTCTTATTTTGGCTTTTTCCCCCTCTCACAGCAACCATACAGTTACCCAAATTTGCATATTTTAGGTTTTCACTGTTCTCACATCTTTCTATGGAATGATCAGTTTTTGAAGGACAATCTTTTGGTCCCCTAATAATTGACCAATTGCATCTTATTTTCTTGTTTTATTGCCTCAGTAACTGCAGTGCATATAATTTCCTTTTTCTCCTCTAAGTTTCTCACTAATACCTTAACAGTTTGGGTTTATATAACAAATGTCCTTACACTTCCCAGGTAAATGTATAAAAGTAAGGACATTGTTATAGAGGGGTGTGTGTGTGTGTGTAATCAAGGATAAACGAAATATTGTGAGACTATACCCATGTTTCACTTCTGTTCATTTTATGCTCTTTATATAAAACACAAACATGTTAAGTTCATGTACACATGATTTCTAATATTTTCTTTTGTAGGTTGCCTTTTTCTTTACTCTGATTCTTTTCATTTATACCTAATCATCTTCCTTCCTGGGGGTTCAATTTCTAGCAAGTGAAAGGAGGGCAGGAGATGGTCAGAGAAAGAGAGAGATTTTGTTTTCTGAGTCCTGCTTCTGAGGCCTGAAGTTCCACAACATTATTACACGACTACAACAAGAGCTATGGGAGTTATGAGACAGGAGCTGTGGAAAAAAACCTACACATATATGTTTTAATTATGTATGTATTGTATATATTATGTAATATCCCAGCATCTGTCTCAAAAAGTTAGAAAAATATCAAGTTAAACTCAAAGATAGTAAAAGAGAGAAAGTATGAAAAAGGAGAACTAAATGGAATAGAAAACAAATCAAATATATATATATATATAAACCTTCTCTCTTTTCCTCGATCCATCCCACCAGGGACTTATGACTTTGCTCATCTTTTCAAGGAACTAGCTGTCACGCCTGGCCCATGGGTTTTTTTTGTTGTTGTCATTCTTGCAAAACTACAACAGTAATGTCTGAAAAGGTGAATACATTGTGACCAAAGTGGCCTATTTCAAGAGTAAGAATGGTTAAATATTTGAAAACGTAAAATTCATCTCATTGACAGAGAAAAGGAGAAAACATAACACTGCCTTCTAGATAAATGCTGAAAAGGAATTTGATGAAATTCAATATACATTCATAATCATATCTTTTAGCAAATATAGATAGAACTGCTTGAATCTGATAAAATGCACCAACAAAAAACTTACATAAACATTTTGATTAAATGTTAAAAACTTTCCCTCTGAAATTGAGAATAGAGAAGAGTGTCCTGGCCAATCTGATGAGCAAGAGAAAGCAAGCATAAGAATGTGAACACAAGGACCAAACCTGTTCCTATTTACAGGCAACTTAGTGATGTACACAGAGAAATCAAGCAGAAGAATGTGAACCCAAGGACCAAACCTGTGCCTATTTACAGGCAACTTAGTGATGTACACAGAAAATCCACTGGGCATGGTGGCTCATGTCTATAATCCCAGCACTTTGGGAGGCTGAGGCAGGAGGATCTCTTGAGCTTAGGAGTTCAAGACCAGCCTGGGCAACACAGGGAGACCCCTATCTTTACAGAAAATTAGGAAAAAAAAAAACAAAAAAACAGGCTTGGTGGCATGCCTGTAGTTCAGCTACTCGAGAGGCTGAGGCAGGAGGATCACTTGAGGTTGTAGTGAGCCATGATCATGCTACTGTACTCCAGCCTGGGTGACAGAAGGAGACCCTGTCTGAAAAAAAAAAAGAAGAAGAAGAAGAAAAAAAATCCCAAAGAATCTACAGATGAACTACTAAATTTAAGTTTACCAAGGTTGCTGGATATACAGATGCAAAAACCAAGTCTATATTTTTATCCCAACAACAAGCAAAAATATAAAAAATCAATTATACCTTTTATAATAGCATTAAACTTATCATCAACAATGTAAAAATAAACCTAAATAAAGACATGTAAGACATCTTCAGTAAAACTGTAAAAATATTATTAAGAGAAATTTTAAAACATAATAAGTGAAAAGTTATATCATGTTTATGGGTTAGTAGCTTCTATATTGTAATATAGAATATGTCAGTCTCCATGAATTAATCTATAGAGTCAAAAGAAGTTCCAGGTTGGGCACAGCGGCTCACACTTGTAATCCCAGCACTTTGGGAGGCCAAGGCCGGCAGATCACTTGAGGTCAGGAGTTCGAGACCAGCCTGGCCAACATGGTGAAACCCTGTCTTTACTAAAAATACAAAAATTAGCTGAGCGTGTTGGTGGACGCCTGTAATCCCAGCTACTCTGGAGGCTGAAGCAAGAGAATCACTTGAACCCGGGAGGTGGAGGTTGCAGTGAGCCAAGATCACGCCACTGCACTCCAGCCTGGGCGACAGTGCAAGACTCCGTCTCAAAAGAAACAGAAACAAAAACAAAAGAAGTTTCAGGTTTATTTTTTGTGGCAGTTGACCAGGTGACTGTAAAGTTTATGGGAAAATTAAAAGGACCACAAACAGAAGGAGTTATCCCAGAGGAAGGTCAAGTAACCAATCTAAAGCACATTAAATCAACAGAACACCACTTTCCATCAATCAAATTAGCAAAGACATCATAAATGATAACACTCCATGCTGGCGAGAGTGTAATAAACTGATTTTTTTATGCACACCTGGAAGAGTGCACACAGGTACAACCTATCTGGAAAGCCATTTGACAAGCCAATTGGAAAGAAAACATGGAGATGTTTAGAATTTCATATCCTCCATCACGGTGTTTCACCTTCTAGGAATCTATCCTTTGAAAATAATATTGATCACACACTTGGCTAAAGTTTTATGTCTGAGGGTGCTGCAGCCTTATTTGCCGTGGCAAAAGTATGAAATCACCTAAATGTTCACACACACACACACACACACACACCAAAATGATTAGATTACCATGTCCACCTATAGTGAGACTGGCAGTCAATCAGAGGAAATGTTTCCTGAAGGCAATTTAATAAAATGAAGAAATGCTAGTAATTATAAAGTGAAAGAAGGAGATGCAAACTGGATACACTGGAAACAGCCCAAACGCTTACCAGCAGCAGATGGATGAGAAACAACACGTAGCATTGACATACATGCAATGGCATATTCTTTAGCCTTTATTTTTTATTTTATTTTTTTGAGATAGAGTGTCGCTCTTGTCGCCCAGGTTGGAGTGCAGTGGTGCAATCTTGGCTCACTGCAACCTCTGCTTCCTGGGTTCAAGAGATTCTCCCTGACTCAGCCTCCCAAGTAGCTGGGACTACAGGCATGCGCCACCATGCCTGGCTAATTTTTGTATTATTAGCATAGATGGGGTTTCGCCACGTTGGCCAGACTGGTCTCGATCTCCTGACCTCAGATGATCCACCCACCTCAGATGATCCACGCACAAACATGCGTAGAATGTTTGTGGTCCTTTTAATTTTCCCATAAACTTTAGAGTCACCTGGTCAACTCCCAAAGTGCTGGGATTACAGGCATGAGCCACCACGTCCAGCCATTTTTTAGCCTTTAAAAGGAATTAAATGGCACTATATGTGACAACATGAGTAAACCTTGGGAACATTATCTAACTGAAATAGGCCAGACACAAAACGACAAATCCTCTATGATTCCACTTATAGGAGTTACCTAGAATAGGCGAATTATTAGAGACAGCAAGTAGAATAGAGGTTATCAGGGGCTGAGGGGAAGGACCAATGGAGAATTATTCTCTGGTGGGTACAGAGTTTCGGTTTCTTTTTCCAGAAAAAGTTCTGGAACTGGATGTGGTAATGGTTGAACCACATTGTGAAGAAACACTGCCACTGAATTTACACTTGAAAGTGGCTAAAATGGTAACTTTTATGTTAGTATATTTTACCACAATAGAAAATGCGTAGAAAAAAACCGTGTGAGTGATTTTTTTAAAAACACATGCTTTGAGATATAGGACAATGTGTAATGAGATATTAAGATGTAATCTCAGAGTATTCATTGATTCATTGATTCATTGAAAAAAGATAATTCTATTGAGCCCCTACTTGTGCCAGTTACTCTTCTGGTTCTGGGGACAGAGCTTGGTCAACAAGACAAACAGCCCCTTGCTCTAGTGGAGGGTGTAACGCACACTGGGGTTATAAGAAGATTCTTTCTTTTTTGCCCCTTTATATATTTTCCAAATCTTTCCAATGGGCATTGTATTTTTATGTATGGGGAAAATATAAATGGAAGAAGGGAGGCAATTATGAAATCAATGTTGGCCTGAGATGATTGTTAATTTTCCTCTTCCTCCTGGGCTTATGCCGTGAGCACACACCTCATCAATACAGAGAGGACCAGGTCCGATGATGATGAGGGAGGGATGCAGGAGGATCGGAACTTACGGAGCAAGAGAGTGGCGCCTGCTCAGTCCGCCATCCTGCTGTCTCCCGACTATGCTTTGGGCTTTCTGGCTTCCAGAGGCATCCGGACTCTAGTGATCTGTCAGTCCCCCTCACTCCACCCAGTGGGTGTTTACATCGGTGTTCAAAAGATCCAGAGCTTCTCTTTTTTTGGTGCTAGGATTTTTATTCTTTTAACAATAGTCCTGCAATAGCTCTTGGATAATTGTCTTGACCCCTCCTCTGCTTATACCAGGCCATAACCCTCCTAGAGATTCGAAAAGCTGTCTGAAAATATCAGGCAGAGGTTAATAAATGAAAGGGCTGGGCACCTTTCCTCCAAGAAATCGTTGCTAATTTGGGGCTCCTCTTGCAACATAGCAAAACCGAGAATTTCAGGGCTTTGCAATGCAAAAAGTCCCCAGTGGCCTCATTTCTACATTTCCTCTCCATACCCAACTAATTGACCCTGAGTTTTTGTTCATTCTTGTCTGATCTTGGCTGATATTAGGAGAGGCAGTCTAACCCAGATGAATGAAACTCTGCTTCCTTGATCATGGCTGCAAAGGGACACCGCCCCACGCCCCACCTCCTCTGTGCGGAGATAGGAGGAATCCCTCAGACCCCACAGCTCTCTCTCATCTCTGGCAGCCTGCGCCCCAGGAGTATGAGATGAAAGAGATCCACACGATGGTCCCTGGCATCTTTGGCTACTGTTATTCTTCTATATCCCTTGGCCTAGGGATCTATTTTAGGCAGTAACTTCCACTCCCTCTCTGTCAGAAACCTCTCTCATCATTGAGCTAGATTTTGGAAGTGTAGGAACATCTGGTTTTTGGACTGTGAGTCCCCTCAAGGCTGATAGGATGTTTAATTTTAGCTAATGAATGGATGTTTAATTTATGAGTATATGATGAATAAATAAAACCAGCTCTGATGGTTTCATTTTAATCTCATTCCAAGACAAATCTTACTTTCTATATTTTCCCCCACAAAAACGGATTTTTCTTCTCCATTTCAATTCTTTTCATCTCCCTCTCCCCAAAATCTCCAATTATCAGCTCTTCCATGGAAAATTTCTTCTCTACTCTCTGTTCTGACTTGTTCATGATCTAGTAGTTTTCTCTAAGGAAGGCTATGTAGTTTGGAGGTTATAAAGCTCAGGCTTCCTGAGTTCAAGTCCCAATTCCACCATTTGATGGTTGTAACCTCTGTGCGTCTCAGTGTCCCCATTTGTAAACTGGTGCTAGTCATAGACACCAGGTTGTGGGGTTACCGAAGGAGGGGTAATGAAGGTAAAAAAAGAGCATCTATCATAGAACCTGGCAACTGATGAAAGATTCAATAATGTTGACTGTTAGTAACATTTCAGTAACATTTTACTTAAATAGATAGAGGTTATGATATTATCTAGGTAGGTAGCCCTTTCTTAATGGCCTCAGTCTAACCCAACACTTTATCATATGGGGAGAAAATGTATAATGGAACTGTGAGGAAAAATCTGGAAGAATGGGTTGCTGGTGCCAGAGAGGAGGTGACTGGAAAGTGTAACAGCCTCTCTTGCCCTGCCCTGAAGCCACTTCCACGTGCCTCAGAGCCTTTGAGCCTCCAGCAACTCTGCCATCTGCTCCAGGTGTGAACTTTGCACACAGTGAGCTCACTGAGGTCTGGCCTACTGATCAGCTGTCTTATTCCCCCCTTTCAAAAAAAGGAGCTGCACCGTCATGAGTACAAACAACTTGCCTGGGTCTACAACCCCAAGGTGACAATGTGGAGTTGTGATCCCAGGTCTTCAGAGGACCAGCTGGGACCTTTGGGACCCCAAGGTGACGATGTGGAGTTGTGATCCCAGGTCTTCAGAGGACCAGCTGGGACCTTTGGGACCCCGAGGTGACGATGTGGAGTTGTGATCCCAGGTCTTCAGAGGACCAGCTGGGACCTTTGGGACCCCGAGGTGACGATGTGGAGTTGTGATCCCGGGTCTTCAGAGGACCAGCTGGGACCTTTGGGACCCCGAGGTGACGATGTGGAGTTGTGATCCCGGGTCTTCAGAGGACCAGCTGGGACCTTTGGGACCCCGAGGTGACGATGTGGAGTTGTGATCCCGGGTCTTCAGAGGACCAGCTGGGACCTTTGGGACCCCGAGGTGACGATGTGGAGTTGTGATCCCGGGTCTTCAGAGGATCAGCTGGGACCTTTGGGACCCCGAGGTGACGATGTGGAGTTGTGATCCCGGGTCTTCAGAGGACCAGCTGGGACCTTTGGGACCCCGAGGTGACGATGTGGAGTTGTGATCCCGGGTCTTCAGAGGACCAGCTGGGACCTTTGGGACCCCGAGGTGACGATGTGGAGTTGTGATCCCGGGTCTTCAGAGGACCAGCTGGGACCTTTGGGACCCCGAGGTGACGATGTGGAGTTGTGATCCCGGGTCTTCAGAGGACCAGCTGGGACCTTTGGGAGATGCAGAGCTGCTGCGGCGCTCTTCACATGCACTTGATCTGCTGTGTCCACTAAATCTACCCCACTTCTAACACCCCAGTCCTGGACTCCGTGGGTGCAAAACGTGAGTCTCTGCACCCCTCTTCACATCCCTGGGGGGCTTGAGAATAAGCCAGCAGCCCTGAGCTGGGCTCCTTGGCCTGGCCATGACTGCCAATGAGGGGCCTTGAGTCTGTGTCCTCAGCCCCCAGCCTGTCCCCATTTTGGGGACTTGAACAGACCCACAGTGTCAGTTCCTCCCATAAAAAGATTTCAGGGGACAGCAGCACTTCCTCTTGGCCCCCAGGCACTTGAAGGCCGCCTGCACCCCCCATTCCTAGGCCTTGCCAGCCTGAGGGCAAGCTCCTTACATGACCTGCAGCTTCAGAAACTAGGCCCTCCTCCTTACTTCCCATCACCCATTTTGTCAAAGAACCTAGAATATTTTGTTATCCGAGAAGCCTGGCTTTCGACAAACCGTAGGATTGCTAGTATCTCTTTATGGAGTGGACTTGAACTGTTTATTGCAACTGTGACATGTGGCAAATCATTTTACTGTTCTGAGGCTTTACTTCCTTCTAGTTAGAATGAGCATTAGGCCGGGCATGGTGGCTCACGCTTGTAATCCCAGCACTTTGGGAGGCCAAGGCAGGTGAATCACGAGGTCAGGAGTTCAAGACCAGACTGGCCAAGATGGTGAAACCCCGTCTCTACTAAAAATTCAAAAATTAGCTGGATGTGGTGGCGGGCACCTGTAATCCCAGCTACTCGGGAGGCTGAGGCAGAGAATTGCTTGAACCCGGGAGGCAGAGGTTGCAGTGAGACAAGATCGTGCCACTGCACTCCAGCCTGGGTGACAGAGCAAGACTCCATCTCAAAAAAAAAAGAAAAAAAAAAGAGCATTAAATATATGACATCTTTAAAACTGTGTGGATTTAGAACTGAGGTATCTTCTTTGTTACCTGAGGAGGGAAACATGCTTATGGGGCTAATGTCATTTTAATTTTGGGGTAGGTCTGTCTGTCTTCTGTGGGGTGGGGGAGAGTGAAAATTTTCTCTGCTGTAGGTGAAGACCTCTAGGCTTTATTTTCAACTCATATGCCTCATGCTATTGTTCGAGAATCATCTTTTCTATTCATATAAGCTATATCATACTGATCTTTTTTTTAACCTTATTTATTATTTTTTATTTTTGAGATGGAGTCTCCCCCTGTCACCCAGGCTGGAGTATAGTGGTGCAATCTCAGTTCACTGCAACCTCTGCCTCCAGGGTTCAAGTGATTCCCCTGCCTCAGCCTCCAGAGTAGCTGGGATTACAGGCGCGCACCACCACACCTGGATAATTTTTGTATTTTTAGTAGAGACGGGGTTTCACCATGTTGTCCAGGCTGGTCTCGAACTCGTGACCTCGGGTGATCCGCCCGACTCAGCCTCCCAAAGTGCTGGGATTACAGACATGAGCCACTGCACTCAGCCCCCCTTTTTTTTTTTAACTTTAAAATCCACTTGTGACACTTTTGTAAAATACCATCAACCTTGTGTATTAAGCTACTGTTGTGACAGCCATGATAATTTCCCTCTGAAAATGGTTTGGAGACATGAAATAATAAAAATAACCTTTAAAATGCATTATCACTCTGATTCTATTAGGAAAAACGGAAGTCACTGGATTTAAACTATGTCAATGCCCTGTACTTTCTGTCTGTCAGTAGGTGCTGTAACTGTTGGCTAAATGATTATTTTTCATGCTTCCTTTCTCATTTCTGCTTTTTTAGATATTTAAAATGTCCTTGTTTCTTGGTGAGCAGAATTATTTCCTACCTCATGACCATGAGTCATGACCTTATACTCTTCTTTCAGTACAGGAGAAAGCTTCATTAATTTACTAATGCATTCATTCCACAAGTAAACTTCTGCAATCCTCGTTTATTCATATACTTTGACAAAAACAAAGAGACCCACAAGCTTTTTGAGTCTTCACAACCCAAAACATGTATTTGAAACTGAAAATTCAATCATTCCATGTTTATAGGCATATTGCTTGATAGAAACATATAAATCATTACCTGAATTTTTTTTTTTTTTTTTTTTTTTTGAGACGGAGTCTCACTCTGTCACCCAGGCTGGAGTGCAGTGGTGCAGTCTCAGCTCACTACAACCTCTGCCTCCCGGGTTCAAGCTATTCTCCTGCCTCAGTCTCCTGAGTAGCTGGGATTACAGGCGCCCACCACCACACCCGGCTAATTTTTTTTTTTTAATTTTTAATCGAGACGGAGTTTTACCATGTTGGCCACGCTGGTCTCGAACTCCTGACCTCTGGTGATCCACCCGCCTTGGCCTCCCAAAGTGCTGGGATTACAGGCATGAGCCACCGCGCCCAGCCTGGATTTTTTTTAATCCAACCCAGTTCCATATTTTCCTCTAGAGAGACTGACTCACCAAGCCTATCTCCTTTTCCTGGAAACACAATCAAATTAACTTTCCAGTCACCGCTGTGTCTAGGTGTGGCCATATGAGTAGTTCTCACCAGTGGAATGTAGTGAAAACGAGATGCTGTCTCTTAGGGACTAAGGAAGCTATCTTTCCTCTTCCGACATTTGCTGACTGGTCGATGCTAGATGATCTTGAGACCCTGTGCTGAGGACTGGAGAACTACAGGAAAGGAGCAGTATCTCTGAATTATCGTGTGGAAGGTCACTTGTCTAGCCCCTGATGACTGTGAGGTAAGTCGTTAGGGATCTGGGGTTGTCTGATACAGCAGTTAGCAGGTCCTGACTGACATATCCCTCTTATTCTTTAAGTTGAACAAATTAGAGACTGGAGTGTTTTGGGTAGCCTTGCTATATGGCATGGTCGAAGACGGTGCTTCGCAGGTGATTTACAACCCTCCTACCATTTACTCTGTCTTCATTTCAAGCAGTATAACCTATAATTTCCTAATCTTCAGCAGAATAGGAAAAGGGGCTCAAAGCCACAAACACACACGCTTCCTTTCAATGTACCTTTGTTGCTCAGCCACAGTGGCGAGTTCACGCGCCTGGCAAGACCTCTCCCTATTTGGGCATTTTGTGAATACAGAAGAATGGGCGCCCTGGTGTGACCCAACATCAGAATCCAAAACATGGCATCTTTACCTAGCCCTTTTCGCTTCTTTTAGATCATTCAATAAACATAATCTGTTTTCTTTCAAAATAACATGGTTATCTAATTCCCTTCATTAGCAGCTAGCAAAAGAGGCCCTGGGCTTCCCGTGAGCTAATTCACTGGGTCCCTGAGGTCGTTGCGGGCTTTCCCTCTCACTCTTGCAACAGACACAATCTCACTTCTTTAATGTAAAGTATGGTTTTTCTGTCGAAATGTGCTTCCTGTTTTCTTTATCGTAACTTACAGGCATGATTGCCTGGGTCTTCTCTCATTATTCCCAGTCCACTGCCTCTTCATATTTAGTGGTACTTCTGTCTTACTGGTCCCTGGAAATTTATCTCAGATCATTTCCTTTTGGGTCTATCTCTTCTTTAAGAGAAATAATTTTAAAGTCAAAGCTCCATAATACAGAGATCTGTTCTCTTTCCCACCATCTGTTTTCTGAACCTCCCCTCCTGGTTCAAGCCTCTGTAGGATAATTTGAACACAAACCATTGACTGCCAACTGAAATCGAACAAGATAATGTCCAATTTGCCCTTTTTTCTCTCTGATTTGTCCCAATGTTTACATTTCTCCATCAATCAATGAACAAATCACTTTGGTACAGTGTGCCAGTAGCTTTGAGAGGAGCACAGAAGCAATACAAGCAAGCTCACCAGTAACTTATGAGGCTCGCTTACCCAAAGCCATTCAAGAATAAGACAGTAGATAACACCAGCCACCTGGTGTATATAGAAAGTGCATTCAGAGGGCCGGGCACGGTGGCTCACGCCTGTAATCCCAGCACTTTGGGAGGCCGAGGCGGGCAGATCACGAGGTCAGGAGATCGAGACCATCCTGGCTAACACGGTGAAACCCCGTCTCTACTAAAAATGCAAAAAATTAGCTGGGCGTGGTGGTGGGCGCCTGTAGTCCCAGCTACTCGGGAGGCTGAGGCAGGAGAATGGCATGAACCCGGGAGGCGGAGCTTGCAGTGAGCCGAGATCGCGCCACTGCACTCCAGGCTGGGCGACAGAGCGAGACTCTGTCTCAAAAAAAAAAAAAAGAAAAAAGAAAGTGCATTCAGAATTGGGGAGGGGAGAGATCAATGTGTGTTAGAGCCAAGGAAACATTTAGTAAAGATGGAATTTAGCCCTTAAGGACTGTCAGGCCAGAGCAATAGGAAGTACAAACATTTCATATGTAGAGAATAACACGAACAAGGCACAAGAGCAGAAATATGAGTAACAGCCTCAGTGGGTCCTATTCGTTATGCACCTATCATGTCCCTTGCACTATGCCGGGCCCTTTGCACTCATTATATACGATGCTCACAGCAATCCTGAGATTGTGAGGCGGGTATTTTACAAATACAAGAAGTCAGTTTTAGAGAAGTACTAAATGGCAGACTCAGGATTCATGTCTGCACTTCATTCACTGCGTAGGAAGGTGAGGGTGGTTAAGGAGGTGCCACTCTGGGAGCAGAAGGCAGTCACTGGAGCAGATCAGTGGAGCTACGTTACGGAGATCCGGGATGGTCCGTGAGGATGCTGGGCCTCACCTGGTAAGCAACAGGGACTGCTGTAGAAGCTTTAGCACAGAAATAGGATGACAAACTTTAGTCAGACAAAATCTGAGTTCAAGGCCGTGTTCTGTGTTAGCTGTGTGACTGGGAACCACCGTTAAACCTGCTGAGATTGTTTCCTCCTCTATAAAATGTGTTCAACAGCAATATCAATGTATAACATTGAAAGGCTTAAATGAGATTTTACTAAAGCACCTGAGATATAGTTAGCATTTACTATATGATAGAGGTTGTTGCTGTTACTACTGCTACTACCACCACCACTGCTACCACAACAGCACTTAAGGAAGGATGATAATCTGGAGAAAAACAGCTAACAGATATTTCGTGAAGACATGAAATGAGATGGCATAGATAGATAGATAGATAGATAGATAGATAGATAGAGTTATATGCCATTTGGTTATATATACATAATCAAAACTTGACTCTGGGAGTATAGATGAATAAAGGTGAATTAGAATCTAGTATAAAGAGAGAAGATCGGAGAATGAGGATTGACACATCTGGGGCACCCACAGTTGGGGAGCGGGACACGGGAGAGAGTCAGTGACAGACACAAGGAAAATGCAGAGGAAGAGGTAAGATGGTCACGTAGACCACAGCAGTCAGGTAACAGAAGAGGTTCCTCAAAAGGCTAGGGAGGTCTACTGTGCCCAGGGCTGCTGTGGGGAGAAAAGATTGAGGACTAGGAAAAGGCTTGTGCAGTTGGGGCAGTGACAACATGGAACACAGACTGGGAGGAACCAGGTGGGAATAAAAGACACTGGCCACAGCCACAGGCACTGCTCATTCATCTGAGGTGTAAGTATAGAGAGAGAACTCGGCTGTGGCTTGGAAGTAACAGCAAGACAAAGAAGGAGGTTATTTTTAGTTCTTGGAGAGGCCAATACCGCTGGTAATCATGAGCGAGCTTCAGTTCATCTCTACCCCTTACTATGGTGCAACTCCTCATGGACTGGTTCCTGAGCCTGCACCCTCTTAGGGTGCAGGTTAGTCCTGCACTTAGTCTGGCTTCTGTTAACTTGTTTTCTCTTTCAGGTCTCACTGTTGCTAACCCCACTCATCAACTTGATCTGTTTGCCCCCAATCCCACCATTTTGCATGACATTATGGATCCTCTGATCTTTAACAAATCCATCCAAGATTGTCTGTTTCTTCTTCTAAGGTGTCACCAGGAATGAAGATTCTTTCACCTAATTTATTTTTTTCTGGTTTCACACGTGTCTGAAAAAATAATAGCAATTATTATTATTATCATTGTAGGATTCATTTCACTCCTCTCAAACACATTCAAAAAGTCTCTTCATCTCTTCCATCATGGTGATGCTCAACTGTTACCCAACTATCCAACTGTATCTTGGAGTTTTGTAATTCCATCATGAGTTGTACTCAACTGTTATCCAACATATCTTGGAGCATGCACCAGGATGCTCCCTGACACAGCTCACTTTGCAAGTAATTCTTAGACACACACTTTCTCCACCAGGCCTGTCTAGTTGAAGTTCTCTATATCCCTGCCCCCCTCCCCACCCTGGTTAAGCATAGGACTTCCATGGTTACATCCCATTTATTCCTTTCCCAAACATGCTTAATGCATTTCATCTCCAGTTACAAACATCGTCTGCTAATGAACAATGTAGATAGTTACCATGTTGTATAAATAGTTACTTATTTCCCTTCGTTGTTGGTTTTATCCAATAAACTAGCCCGATCAGCTTCATTTTATATCACCTTATCTCATACAGATGAGAAACTGTATGTATTTCAGCCTGTCTAAACTGGAGGTAACGCTAGACTGCAGTATCCCTGCACAGTGTCGTATTAGAAATGGCACCCTATAAATTTTTTATGAGTTAATAATGATTGTGATCCCATTCCTATTTTCTACAAGTTCTTCTGTTATGGTGGCAATTAAATAGCCTCACCTTCCTTTCACTTTCTGCAAACCTGCTGCAAGTCATCATTAACTTTCTTAATTGGTAGCGGCTCTGAATTCCAGTCTTTCAGAGTTCCCGTAAACAGCATCTTTCTTAATACTTATGTCATAATGTTTTTCTCCTTTCCTTGCATTTCATTCTGCCTTTGGGCAGGAACAGCATCATTTCCTGCTCTTCTGGGGTTTCAACACTGACTGCAAAGCACCCTTGCTCATCTCACTGGGAGATTCTGCAGCCAAGCAGAGATTTGCATAAAGCCCATCCACCCTTCACCAGCACAGGATACGCAGACTTAACTGCAGGGACTCTTGGTGACTAGTCTCTGTGGTGCACACTCTCCACCCTACCACCAAAAAGGTCCCCAGTACCCTAAAAGGAACTATGTACTCAAATATCACCTCAAATAAGATGAGGTCTTTCTGAGAGAAAAGAGATGTTGATGCACGTGACGGGGAGGGCATAGGAGAGGGTTGATATAAAATGCAATTACAGCCTCTTATGCTTTCCAAAGTGGGGGATGATTCAATGATTCCTGACTGGTCCACAGCCATATATCAATTGAGGTTATAATACTAATTTGAATTGCAAATCTCTGAAAAGAAGGGGACAAGCTAAGGAGATAAAATTTAACAGGGTGAGTCCTGAATTTAGATTTAAACAAACTCCACAAGTATAAGAAGGCAGAGGCTGGCAACAGTACTTGCTGTCATGTTTAGTCGGCCACTGGTCAGTCTGAGACAGCAGTGGGTGTGATCGTGTAGCAGCTATGGAAAGCTTATGCTGCATTTAATAATAATAGTCATACTTTAAAGCATGTTTCAGTTATGAATTCATTCTGACCAGAAAAGTAACTTGCACTAGCTTAACAGTCAAATAGCAAGAAGCATAGAGAAGTGGCCGCTTGCTGTGCTTCAGCAGCTCAACAGTGTCTCTATTCTCTTAGCCTCTTCCTCCTGCTTGCCACCTCTCAGTCACAAGACGGCTGCTGCGACTCAGGCTCATGTCCCAATTCAAGGCAGCAAGAAGGCCATGGAGCGGCACCTGCCAGGTATGTCCCTTTCCCAGGCATCCCCAGCAGATTTCTCACTGTCTGAAACTGCATCCCACGGCGTTCTTAGGTGCGAGGCTGGTCTGGAGAGTCAATGCTTGGGTTTTCCAATACCTGCATGGGACATGGGCAAGATGGAAGGGAGTTGGGTTTAGGAAACCAGTAGTGCCAGCCCTTTACTCGTATCATATCTGATCCCCACAGCAACCCTGAGGAGTAGCTATTTATCATCCTTATTGAGCAAATGAAGAAAATCAGAACCAGCAACATCAAGAAAAAATGAGGAAAGACATACATTAGTAAATAATAAAGCCAGGGTTCCAATTCAGATCAGGTTGAATCCAAAATTCCTCTCCCTGCCATTATAACGCATCACAGTGTTCAGGTCATGTGGGTCTGGGAAGGATGAATCATATTCAACTATCCCACCACGTTTTTGGCCATTTTTTAAAAACTAAAGTATAACACACATCTTGTTATGTTAACACTGACATCTTGAGAATATTAAATCTTCCAATCCATGAACATAGACTGTTTTTACATTTATTTGGTTTCTTCTTTGATTTATTTCAACAAAGCTTTGTAGTTTTCACAGTATAAGTTTTGTACATCTTTGTTAAATTTACTTCTAAGTATTTTAGAATTTTTATCTTAAGTGAAATTACTTTCTTAATTTCATTTTTGGTTTGCTCATTGCTACTGTATACAATACAATTAATATTTGTACATTGCTCTTAATCCTGTAACCTTGCCGGACCTTATTCATTTTAAGTTTGTTCTTTGAATATGTGAAACATTAAAAAGATTTTAAAAGCCAGAACTATACACAAAGGTATTGTCCTTGTAATTTTATATCTGATTGGAAGAATTCTCCACAGACTAGCTTCTGGCGATGTACTTTTCAAACCTTGTTTTTCTCCACTACCCATATATTTTCATGCGAATTCTGGGTACTAGGAGATACAGTCATACCACAGTATGACCTCTGGTCCTGGACTTTAGTGTCACAATGCTGTTTGAGTTAGTCAGTAAGCCATAGGAGTATTCCTGGAAGTCATTTCTACACTGGGGTGCCCAGTAATAACTTAACCATGTGTTGAAGTTACTGAAAACCACATCATTATAACCTACTCCACCAAAACTAAATATAGCTATAACTCAATTTCCCCTTAGCTGGGTCTCCAAAATGCCCAGTAACACCTGACGCAAGGGGATGTGATGGAAGGGAGGCTGAAGTGAAGGTACAGCAGACTTAACTAGTTGTAGTAAAGATACTTTACCTCTGAACATTTACGAAACATATGACCATGTGAACACAATTCTGGGTCCCCTCTGGGGCCTCGGAAGAAGGTGTCAGTGCTAGTGAGGGGCTCTAAAAGTGAAAACTTCATTAAATTCATTGCAAATCCACCTTTCTACTCCAATTCTCAGTTGTGTTCCTTTATTTGCAAAATACAAATAATATTTGCTTTGCCTATTTGAAAGGTTATTGTGATATATAATGAAATTTGTGTTTTTTTTAAATTTATATTATTATTTAATGCCTGATTAGAGTTTTTGTGTATTTCATGCGTTAAGAGTTTTACATGTATTTTCCAAAATTGGCTACAATAATACCTCCCTTCCCACATTCTCTTCTTATGGTGACTCTGACACTCCTCCACTGAGAGGACACTTTGCTCCCTCTCTTTGAATTTGGATGTCGTCTTGTGACCGCAGCAGAAGTGATACTATGACTCCAAGAGCTACGTCATAAGTGGCAATACAGCTTTCACTTGGCTCTCTTGAAATCAAACTGCTGTGAGGAAATTCAAGCCATAGAGAAGCCCACAAAAGGAACAGACAGCTCCCTCCAACTTCCCAGCCATGTGAGGGAGCCACTTTGAAAGTGGTCTCTCCAGGTCCCATTAAGCTGACAGGGTGGAACACAGACAAGCTGTAGATCCATGAGCAAAAGAAATGACTATTGTTGTTTTAAGCCTTTAGATTTTGGACTGGTGTATTATGCAGCAACTGATAACTGATACACCATCCCAGCTTTCCAGTGAAATCCCTCTCCACTCACGCCAAAATGAGCTTCCCCCTGTTCTGCAGTACACTTTGCAATTCCCCACCACTATGGCTTTCTCATGCCATCTCTTCCAGAATGTTTTCTGCCTACTGAAATACGACTTATCCTTAAAGTCCTCTCTCAAATGCTGCTTCCTCTCTAAAGCTTCTCTCACTGCCCCCGCCGGCTTTCCTATCTCCCTCTTCTGAAATCCTGGAGACCTTTGATTCTATCTTTTATACAGTACTTATTGCCAGGATTGAGATTTAGGATATTTATCAACTGACCCCTTCCTGGATTATCAGCCCTGGGAGCACTCTCTGCCTTGTGGCAAAGTTGGTTCCACACCTTTTCAGCTCCTCTTCTAGCCTAGAAGCACCTTAAGGGCAGGGTGCCTCATATATTTTTCCTCCATGCAAAACATAGGTTTTTGCACATAGTAAACTTCACACATCATCATCATTATTACTATTACTATTTTTGAGTCAAAGTCTCACTCTTGTCCCCCAGGCTGGAGTGCAATGACGCAATCTCTGCTCACTGCAACCTCCGCCTCCTGGGTTCAAGTGATTCTCCTGCCTCAGCCTCCCGAGTAGCTGGGACTACAGGCACATGCCACCACACCCAGCTAATTTTTGTATTTTTAGTAGAGACGGAGTTTCTTCATGTTGGCCAGGCTGGTCTCGAACTCCTGACCTCAGGTGATCCACCCATCTCGGCCTCCCAAAGTGCTGGGATTACAGGTGTGAGCTACCGCGCCCAGCCCATACATTATTTTATAAATAATTTGTTGGGACTTAAAGACGGAGAGATAATACTTAGGGGAGAAAGAAGATTAAACCTTTAAAATTATAAATTACTGAGAAATAAGATCATTTTTCTTAAACTGGGATTCTGAAGTCACAGTGTTTTTGATCTGGCAGCTTAGAGATCATTTAATTGGGTCTCACAATTTTTTTTTTTTTTTTGAGACGGAGTTTTGCTCTTGTTGCCCAGGCTGGAATGCAGTAGCGGGATCTCAGCTCACTGCAACCTCTGCCTCCCAGGTTCAAGCCATTTTTCTGCCTCAGCCTCCCGAGTAGCTAGGATTATGGGCATGGGCCACCATGCCCAGCTGATTTTTATATTTTTAGTAGAGACAGGGTTTCATCATGTTGGCCAGGCTGGTCTCAAACTCCTGACCTCGTGATCCTCTCTCCTCGGACTCCCAAAGTGCTGGGATTACAGGTGCGAGCCACCACGCCCGGTGATTCTTACATGTTTGTGTGCAAAACAATGCCTTGAGGAAGATGCGGGAGGGGCACACAGGTTCTGGAGTCCCCTTCCAGACATTCTGAACAGGCAGATCTGGGTGGGCTCATGCAGTCGCCTCCTTAACAAGCTGCCCACGTGGTGCTGATGTGGGTAGTCTGAGGCCCACGGTGTCAGAAGCCCTGGTTATTCAGGCTCCTGAATGGTGACTGGTTTGTCCCCTCCTGCTGGAGTCATGTGTCCTCTGAACTGGCCATGGAGCAGAAGAGGTTGCATGGCCAGAAGGAAAGGAAAACTGGTGAGGAGAGCCACAGCTTTGGGGCTGGATTTGAAGGAGAAATCACTGCTTTCATCCTTGGGTGGTGGTAAAAGCACCTCTTCCTTCGGGGCTGTCCTCAGGTGGGGTGATCTGCTTCTTCACAGCTGGTCATTGTTAATGGTGTGAATCACTCAATTCTGGTTAGGCCTCCACCCTTGGCTACCTGGTTCCCACTAATCCCACGTCTAATTTCATTTGCTCCCAGCCCCAGGGCCATGCTGAGATTCTAACACTAGATCATCTACTGCCACCCGTTTTTCCTGCATAAAATTTACCTTGCTCTGTAACCTTCATCTATTTAGAAATAAACCCATGAAGTCTTTCTGGTTTATTTTTCCAGCTCCTGTCTCCCCATCCCCTAGAATCGTTGACAAAATGAGTGACACTGCCCTGGGATCTGGGTCTCTGGTTGAGGCCTTGGAGCTACTGCCTCTGCCTGTGAACTCACCCATCATCGCTAACAGGTTGCTCCACAGCCTACAGATCTCAATATTTCGCTAGCACAAAACCCAAGCGGCCAGGCACGGTGGCTCACGCCTGTAATCCCAGCACTTTGGGAGGCCGAGGCGGGTGGATCACTTGAGGTCAGGAGTTCGAGACCAGCCTGACCAACATGGAGAAACCCCGTCTCTACTAAAAATACAAAATTAGCCGGGCGTGGTGACACGTGCCCGTAATCCCAGCTACTTGGGAGGCTGAGGCAGGAGAATTGCTTGAACACCGGGGGTGGAGGTTGTGGTGAGCCGAGATTGCACCACTGCACTCCAGTCTGGGAGACAGAGAGAGACCCCATCTCAAAAGAAAAAAAAAAAAAAAGACCAAGGGACTTCCGGGAACTAAAACATCTCAGCCCTTTCATCGCCAGTGTCTTCATCTTACAAGCAGAAAAGGAAAAAAAGCAGTGGGAAGCAGTAAGAAGCTACCGCTGACTCACTATGAATTACTGCTGACTTTGAATTATTTAGCAGCTGTGGAAAAGCCATCTTTTGTTTAAAAAAAAAATAGGGTTTTCTGAAATGCTTTTTATTTTTTTATTTGTATAAATACCTGCCCAGAACAGTCAAGTCAACTGACATCTGCTAAATGACTGAGACACTGTGGAATTTGTATACTGGCATGGTGTGCAGTTTCGTGCAAGTATAACCACAGAGACAGACAAATCTCTATCATTGCCACAGACTGCTTATAGCAAAATTCCAGAGCTCCTGTCATTGGTCTTTAATAGTTGTGCTTTGTTGCTTTTGTTACCACGTGTGCATTTGTGTCAACATTATACAAAGCACTCTTTCTCACAAGAGCTAGTTTCACTCTACAACCATACTGTAAGACAGGTATTGTTTTAAGATCAAGAAACCAAGGCTCTGAGAGGTTTAGTGACTCACCTAAGATCATGAACTAATAATAAGTGACGGATCAGGGACTTGACCTGGGACATTGATGCCAATTCCAGGGCACCTTCCACCGTGTCATATGGCACTTGCTCTACATATGTGCCAGGCAGCACCCGCATGGCTTTTCCTCATGAAACAACGTGGACCCAGGCCTACACAGCAGTTGTGAGAAAGTGCCTCCAGCTGGGAGCGCATCTGGCCCAGGGCACCAGCTGCCACTCCATGCTCTGAATCCATCCTGGCCTGTGCTGAGACCCCCCCTTTCCATGGGCTGCTCCCCACCCGTGATGGGGCATGGCAGGGGCACTAGGCAGCCCCCTTCCTGAGAGACATGGGGCTCCTCTGCCTAGAATGTTGTCTCAGCACTTCTCTTCTGCCTTGCTGAACTTTCCCTAGAGCCAAGGAGGCCTCCATACAACCTTTCCTCTCCTTCATTTGGAGTCAGACTTGCACTGCAGTCTAATGGTCATCCCACTTTTTTCCAGCTCCCTGATAAAATCTATGGCTTCTGCTTCTTGGAGGACCCAGATTATCACAGCTTATCTCATTCCTTTGCAGCAGATGCCCCTGCAGGCCATCTCTCCAGGCTCAGGAACCTAAAGAAGAATCTACCCAGATGTGGTGGCTCACACCTGTGATCCCACCACTTTGGGAGGCTGAGGCAAGAGGATCACTTGAGCCCAGGAGTTGGAGACCAACGTAGGCAATACAGCAAGACTCCCATCTCTACAAAAAAAAAAAAGAAAGAAAGAAAGAAAGAAAAGAAATTAGCTGGCTGTGGTGCTGCACATTTGTAATACCAGCTACTCTAGAGGCTGAGGCTGGAGGATCACTTGAGCCGAGGAGTGAGCTATGACCACACCATTGCATTTCAGCCTCAGTGACAGAGCAAGGCCCTGCCTCAAAAAAAAAAAAAAAAAAAGAAAAGAATAAGATAAAATAAATAATACAGGAGAACCTAGTGCTCAGGTTCTCTAGTGAAGAGGAAGGCAAAAGATAGAAAGGTCAGACAAACTTAAACATGCATTCCAAGATCGGCCTGGGTCCGCCCGTAGACATGAAGGAATCTTCTGGTGGAAAGTTAGGCAGGGAAACGGACACTGCTATGAGCATGTCTTCCTGGGCAGCTTGCGATGGTCAGGAGGAGGTGGTTGTTCCTCAGCAGCGGTGCTTCCGATGAAGCCCCATGTTGTAGTGGAAGACAAGCCATTCCTGTCTGACCTTCTGTGCCGCGCCTAGGCTTCCAAAAGCTGCTATCGCCAAGATCCATTTCCGTTCACCTTTAAACTGCTTGTTATGGGGAGGAGTCAGCCAGCCATGATGCATACTTGTTACAGAAAGAAACGCCCACGTTGAGCTCTCCTGATAAGAAGAGAGAGCATTCGTCATTGTCTGTATCTGTCATCTGAAGAAGGAACCAATGTCAAAAATCCCACACATTCTCCTCCCGCAAGTCACAGAGTAAGCCTCCCATTCTTGAGCTCGTTCATTCACCAAACACATTCTGATCTCTCCTGTGCCCAGGCGGTGGGATTCAGAGAAGAAGTGCTGCCTAGTAGTCAGCACCCAGTGCCAGGAAAACAGGACAAGGGGAGTTGTCGGGGGAGACACCAGGATTGAAGTTGCTTTTACTAAAAAACATTTTTTTTATCTTGTTAACAAATATATTTACCATGGTACATGGTGGCAATGCTCTCAGTTTTAAAACACAGCAATTATCTTCCAGTGGTCACTAATTAATCCAGGTGTGGCTAGGAACAGCTGGATACTGATCTGTGTGATGATGGCACCTCTATCATCAGGCTGCCATTGCTGGCACTTTGGGCAAGGTGGACTGGGGTTCTGCTCTGGGGCTGTGTGCCCAAGGTTTACACCTCACTATTTTACAGCACACTGGAGCTCCCAACAGTCCCCGAAGGTCTGGAGATCACCAATGGGCAGGAGAGAAGGGAGGGGTTTAGACATCAGGGAGCCAAGTTCTACAGCATCTTCTAGATCCAGGCTATCGAGCACTTGAAATGCGGCTAAGTCTGAATTGAGATGTGCTGTGTGTAAGAGACACAACAGATTTTGAAGACAGTATGAGAAAAAGAACATAAAATATCTCAGTAATTTTATATTGATTACATGTTGAAATGATACTAATTTTTGATATACTGGGTTAAATAAAATAGATTATTAAAATTAACTTCATCTCTTTCTTTTGACCTTTTCAACATGGCCATTAGAAAATTCAGCTTACGTAGTAGGCTCACTTTCTACTGCACAGCCCTGGATGTCAAACTCAATGAGAGCGGTGTCTGTACCTGTATCTGCTCATCCAGTCCATAAAAGTCAGCACAGTACCTAGCACTGAAAGTACTCCATAAATATTTGAGGGATGGACAAAAGTACAAGTGAACAAATAGCATCTGCTCCTCATTTCTGGTAAGTCAAGGAGCAGTTCTACCCTCTCCTTATCTTAAACTAATGCCTGAGAAGGAGGTGGGAGATTTACAAAAATCCATCTCCCAAATTTGAATCTTCAGCCCTGAACTCCCCTGAGATGTATATCTGACTGCCTACTTGCAAACTCCACTTAGATGAGTAATAGACATCTCAAACTTCACATCTCCAAAGCAGAATTTTTTATTTTCCCCGCAAACTGGCTCCTACCTAAGTCTTTTTCATCTTAATAGATGGCGCCATGATCCATCTGTTTTTTTTCAGGGCAAATACCTAGAAGTCATTCTTGAGTCCTCTAGTTTCCTACTCTTCTTCCCCCATGATCACCACCACCCAATCCCATCCATTCAAGAAACAGTCCTATTGCTCATGCCTGTAATCCCAGCACTTTGGGAGGCCGAGGCAGGTGGATCGCTTGAGATCAGGAGTTCGAGACCAGCCTGGTCAACATGGTGAAACCCTGTCTCTACTAAAATACAAAAAAATGAGCTGGGCATGGTGGCATGTGCCTGAAATCCCAGCTACTCGGGAGGCTGAGGCACGAGAATCACTTGAACCCAGGAGGCGGAGGTTGCAGTGAGCCGAGATCATGCTACTGCACTCCAGCCTGGGTGACAGAGTGAGACTCTGTCTTAAAAAAGAAGAAGAAGAAGAAGAAAGAAAAGAAAAGAAAAGAGAAAAGAAAAGAAAAGAAACAGTCCCATTGCAACATCCATTGCTACTACATCCACTTTTTCCACTGTCACTGTTATCACCTAGGGATAAGCCCCCTTCATCTCTCACGTGCATTATTTCTGACTGTCCAGGTGATGCTGCCACCACTATCAGAATTCTGTAAGCCGTTATTACCTTTCTGATAAAGACAAAAGCATGGATGCTATGAACTGCATGGCAAGATGACTTTGATCCGCATGTAACAGATGCACTTCCACAGAGACACCACTGTGGGAGGGAAACAGCTGGAGGCAGTCCTCTAAATATACACCTGCCTTCGGGCAAGTCTTCACTTGGCTGGTCCAGACAGAAATTTACCCTCTTTATAAAGCCCTCCACAGATGTGGGGTCCAGAGACAGGCATGCCCAGGCTTTGACTAGACCATTCATTGGCTGCATAGCCTTCCCCACAGGGTGGGTACAATAGCGGGTACAATAACGACAGCAAGCATCACTTTCCACCCCAGGGCTTTTCCTGCTGCCTTTGGGGACCTCCCCAACAGCATTCTCCAGTTCAGAAGCAAGCAAAGCAGAACCCTCATCCCTACTTAGAACATACAAAACAAAAAATAGCCTTCTGCAGGATCACAGAAAAACGAAGGAGAAATCAAAGATGATGGAACTACCTCACAGACACACTTTCCTGATTTGGTTATTTAATGAGTTTGTATTGCTACAGAATTGCAGAGGAAATTAACTTAGCTTACAAGAAGACGGAGGACTAGGAGCCTGAATGTTTCACGTGAGGCCTTTGCCCACAAGAGCAGACGACTCTGATGCTCCTCTCTGCAATTAGACTAAGGACTCCACACCTTCATGCCCTCCCTCTTCCTGCCCCTAAATGTCACCTTCTCCTATGGCAATCCTCCTGAAACACCCTCCTCTCTTACAACTCAATAGACCCCATAAACACACCGCCATTCTTCCAGTCATCTTTGACTCCTCCTTCTGCCTGACCACTCATCTCCATTGGTGACTCTTATGTGTTCCTTCAACTGTTTCTTAAACCTGAAGGCACCATCTGGAGCAGATCCATATATCCATACTTCATGTGACCTCCCAGGAGGTGGTCCTTTCTTCACTGTCTTCTCTATTCAGTCCAGCTCATCATGATCACTGCTGCCAGGTTAATCTCCCATAAGCACCATTTTCTTTAAGTCATTGTAAATAAGAATCTGCAGTAGCTCCCTATGGCTTATTCATTCATTTTTTAAAAATCCATTCATCCAACACATAGCTATGCCAAGCTATATGCTAGGTGCTGGGGATAATGGTAAACAAGACAACTTAGCACCAACTTCATAAATTCCAACGAACTCCACACTCTTCTGTATGATTTTCAGCCCTTCACCAGCTCTCAATCAGGCCTTTGCTTTCATTATTTCCCCAATGTGAAGTTTTTCCTCCACTTACTTTATCCTCTGAATTTTGCTCATCACGAAAGGACCAATTCAAAGCCTCCCTCCTCAATACTTCTGTGAGTTCATATCACTGACTTCCTATATACCATTCATTTGGTTCTTATCCTCTACTGCCTTTTTAAAAATGCATTTCACAAATGAAATTACTTTTTCATTTCTGAGTCTTATCCCCACAATTATATAATATAAATGCCTTGAGGAGGGTTCTCCTACAGATTTTTAGTTGGTAGAGTGTTTCATACCAATTTTTGATTAATTACTTTATCTACATAGAAATTTACTATTTGGGCTGGGCATGATGGCTCACGCCTGTAATCCTAGCACTTTGTGAGGCCGAGGTGGGTGGATCACTTGAGGTCAGGAGTTCGAGACCAGCCTGGCCAACATGGCCAAATCCCGTCTCCACTAAAAACACAAAAGTTAGCCGGCGTGGTGGCACGTGCCTATGATCCCAGCTGCTCGGGAGGCTGAGGCACGAAAATCACTTGAACCTGGGAGGCAGAGGTTGCAGTGAGCTGAGATCGTGCCACTGCACTCTAGCCTGGGTGACAGAGTAGAACTCTGTCTCAAAAAAAAAAGAAAAAGAAAAAGAAATTTACTGTTGGAGGAATTGACTACATTATGTCAGTGAAAGCCATAAAGGAGAAGATGAGACAATTATTTTACTGTTGTCATCATAGCAAATTGTCCAGTTGAATTTCTACCATTTAGACTGTATATTAAATCTTTGATAAGCCAATATTTAATATCTATCCTATACATTGAAAAATTATTTACAAACTCCATTTGTAAAACAGGAGCCATGCTTAAAGTCAGGATTTGATATTTCACTTTTCGTTATTATTTATTGTGCTCCATATGACATTGAACAAACAGCAGTGCCCGTTAAACAATAATTCACTGTAATATTTCCCTATATTTCAAGTTCATTTTCTTGTCTGACTTTGCCATTGCTTTCTGACTTACTCAAAGGCAAGATTGTATTTTGTCCACTGTGGCATCAGTGGTACCCAGGACAGGCCTGTTACTGACTGGAGGGGAAAAGATCAATGAAGGTGATGGATGGATGGAAGGATGGCTGAATAGACAGATGGACAGATAAATGGGTGAGTGACATAGAGCAGTAGAGACTTCTCGCAGTCTGGGGTATTAGAAACTTCCTCAAGGAACTGGCATTTGAGCTGAATCTTACAGGCTAAGGAAGATTTAGCTGTATGAGGTGATAACAAGGGCAAACCCAGGCAAAGCCAACATCCTTAGCAAAAGCTCAATGGGCCAGAAAAGTGTGACTGCAGGAGAGTTGGCAAGCTATGGAGACATGGAAAGAAAGATTGACGAGAGAAGATACGTTTGACGTCTTTTGGCCAGGCGTGGTGTCTCACACCTGTAATCTCAGCACTTTGGGAGGCCGAGGCGGGCAGATCACAAGGTCAGGAGTTCAAGACCAGGCTGGCCAACATAGTGAAACCCCATCTCTATTAAAAATACAAAAATTAGCCAGGTGTGCTGGTACGTGCCTGTAATCCCAGCTACTTGGGGGGCTGAGGCAGGAGAATTGCTTAAACCCGAGAGGCGGAGGTTGCAGTGAGCTGAGACCACGCCATTGCACCCTAGCCTGGGTAACAGAGCGAGATTCTGTCTTAAAAAAAAAAAAAAAAAAAAAAAAAAAAGACACGTTTGATGTCTTCTGAGCCCCTTGGAAGGGGTTTCAGCTCCTTGAAGGCATGGCCAGTTCATGGTTGCATTCCCAGATCCTAGCACAGTGCCTCTTGCACTGAAAGAATGAAACAATCAACAATCCATGAATGAAGGTTGGTCCCTGGCCACTTCTCTGAAGTCATCTCTCGTCACCCTTTTCTGGCCCCTCCATGACGTCATGTAGATATTCTTGTCTTCTCTTCAACATGACTCGGAGCCTTTGTATTTGCTTTTCCCTCTTCTGTGCTCCGCCCTCACTGACCTGCCTGCTCTTCCCCTCACATGCCTGGAGACCTTCCCACTTGCCATTTCTTTGATCTTTCTGCTTGGAAAATTCTTCCTGCCTATCTTCATTTGATTCCTCCCTTCATTTGAATCTCTGTTTAAAATCTCTTTCACTTCTTTGAGAGGCCGCCCTGCCAGCCTATGAAGAGTTGCCTCTCTCCAGTCACTTCCAAATCCCCCCAACCTGCTTTGTTCTTTATAGCACATACCACCACCTTATATCATTAGACAGTCGTTTCTTTATTGTTGACTGCCCCCCACTCCTCTTGCTAGAATCTAGTTCTCATTCAAAAGACCTCACATAGTGGTAAGGACTTTTCTTATTTACTGCTAATCCTCTGAAGCCTAGAACAGTGTTTGAGACATAAATAATAGTCAGTAAATATTTGTTGAGGCCAGCGCAGTGGCTCATGCCTGTAATCCTAGTGTTTTGAGACATAAATAATAGTCAGTAAATATTTGTTGAGGCCAGCGCAGTGGCTCATGCCTGTAATCCTAGTGCTTTGAGACACCTAAGCGGGAGGATCACTTGAGGCCAGGAGTTGGAGGCCAGCCTGAACAAGAAAGCAAGACCCTTGTCTCTACCCACCCCTACCAAAAAAAATTAACTTGGCAGGATGTGGTGGCATGCGCCTGTCATCCCAACTGCTTGGGAGGTCGAAGTGGGAGGATTGCTCGAACCCAGGAGTTAAATGCGGTAGTGAGTTATGATCACGACACTGTACTCCAGCCTGTGACAGAGTGAGACCCTGTTTCTAAAAATAAAATAAAATAAAAATAAAAATATTTGTTGAATAAGTAAACAAGTAGTTCAAATAATTTATCCTGCAACTTAAGTTTTTTTAATAATCATACTCCAATTTGCCTTTACAGTAACAAAGTCTAAACTTTGAGGGTAGAATGGACCACATTAGAATTGTCTTTTCCAATCAAAGCACTTTAGAAGATGAAAATAATGAGACAGGTTAAGATCAAGTTGGAGACCAGATCACATAGCTAATTGGAGAAAAAGCCAGAATGAGAAAACCTGGTCTCCCCGAGCCTGGCTTACCGCAACCCACACCAGTTCTTGCCATCCACTCTCCGTACAGGGACCAAGGTGAGCTTTCTAAAAGGTAAATGTGACCTGCCTCTGTCTAAAACTGCTCAGTGTGTCTCCGTACCACTGTCCAATGGTCTAAGCTGGCTGAGAAGGGCAGCCAATTCTGCCCTGTCTCCTTTCTTTACTCCTCCAACCTCACCCTCTATGCTGTCTCATATATCTGGGCCTCTGTATACATCCACATTTATGCCTGGGCTTATCATTATCTGCATGGTAATTCTTACCCATTCCTCCTTCAAAATTTTATTTTGAAGGCCTACCATTATTTCTCCAGTAAATAATTAATTCCCACTGGGCGTAGTGGCTCACGCCTGTAATCCCAACACTTTGGGAGGCCGAGGTGGGCAGACCACTTGAGGTCGGGCGTTTGAGACCAACCAGCCTGGCCAACATGGTGAAACCCTGTCTCTACTAAAAATACAAAAATTAGATGGGTATTGTGGCATGCGTCTGTCATCCCAGCTACTCGGGAGGCTGAGGCAGGAGAATCGCTTGAACTGGGGAGGCAGAGGTTGCAGTGAGCTGAGATCGCACCACTGCACTCCAGCCTGGGTAACAGAGCGAGACTCAAAAAAAAAAATTTAATTCCCTTTGTCTAAACTAATTCTAATGCTAGTACTTGTCTTATCATTGAACAAAGAATGTGGTGGAGCTTTGTCATATTTTACTATCCAGTATTTAATAACCTCTTCCTACTTGGAGGGGTCATGTCACCCTCTCTGCAACTACAGACAACAAAGCAAAGGCATCCTTTTCCTCACTCCACACCCAGCAGCCAGGGCACAGGCGCAGGACCAAAGACTGGCAACCAGGAGCTCTTGCCTAGAATTCTGACTCCCGGGTGCGTGCGGCAAAGATAAAAGGAGGGCTGGAACCTCCTTGTGCAGCAGCTGTGGCCTGCAGTGGACCCAGCCTGGTAGCAGTTACTGTGGCTGTGTTGGCCGGCAGGCTTCTGAGCAGCCTGTTCTTGTTAAGAGATGGCTGTGGTTCTTCTTCCTGCTTCTTGGACCACACACCAGCTCAGGTCTTTCAGTCTCTGAAAGTCTCCAATTTCCTTTCAGTGAATTCTATATCTACTCATATTGCTCATGGTGGATTTCTGTTGCTTACAATCGAGAAGGCAGGTGTCTCATACTCACAGCAGTTCCTGGCCCAGAACTGTACAAAATAGTAGGTGCTCAGTAAGTAGGAGTTCATAGTAAAGGTGAAAATACTTGAAAATGAGATACATTGAAGTAGGCCAATTAACCTAAATTGTAAACTAGACCACTGTGCTTCATTTTTTTTTCATTTAACATCCAAATTATGGAACCTGAATGACATGAGCAGCCTCAGTAGGAATGACACCAGAGAGACAGAGCTTTCAAAAAATTACACTTATCAAAGTCTTTAGGAATCTCTCCAGATTATTCTCAAACAGCCAGCTTCTTGGCAAAATGGGAGCTTAGTGCATTCTGGTAGACTGTTTGACTTGAAGAAAAGACTGTGAGAGCAGAGGTATTCAAATGTGTTCAGCAGTGAGCACAAATGCCCACAATGCCATGAGCTGTCTACATTTTCAATTGAGAACTATGCTGAAAAGAACAGCCTGACAAGCATCTTAAAAATGGATTTTTAGCCATGATAAAAAATCATTTCCCCAAAAGTTAATAATCTTTAGCTGTGTAGAGTGCAATATTATAATCAATTTTATTCAGTCAGTGAAAACATTGATATTTACCATAGTGAACTAATTTCAAAAGCTGTACATTCAATATATTCATGCCAAAGACATCTCACTCAATTTTGACTACACAAGAATATCCCTAATGGAGGCTCTTGGCATTGAATTTAATAGACTCGAGGAAGACAATGTATTTTCACAGAGATATACGGGTGTCAAACATAGGCCAGACTTTGATCCCATAGCCGAAACGCTGGAGGTATCAATAATAAGATGTCTTTGTAGTGGGTTAATCAGGTAAAACATTTTGTGCTAAACGTTTTAGGCAAATTGCATTCTGTGGATAGATGGGCACTAGGTCATCATACTACCAGCTCCCTGAGGTCTCATATTATGTTCACCTCTGTATACCTTTCACAGCCAGGTATAAACACACACTTGCATACTCCAGCACCTACCACTGTGGCTAGCACATAATAAATGCTCAGTAAATGGTTTCACGTGATTGCATGAAGACCTGAACTTGGAATGAAACTTCCACCTGTTAGCTCCAGGCTCTTGCAAATGGTAACCAGGTACCTAGGAGGCTTAGACGGGGAAGGCAAAACTGAGGACCTATCACGTAGCAGGCCCCTTACAACCTGCAGTGCTGGCTATACCTCATTTTCAGATGTAGAAATTGAGGCTCAGAGAGATCAGCCACAGAATTAGTGAGAGGTAGAATCAGACCTTGAACTTAGATCTCTGCAAGTACAAATCCAGTGCCCTTTCTATTCCACCAGGGCTCTTAACTGGGGACCCCAGGGAACCCATAGAAAGCATGTGGGAAACGTTTATGAGGAGGGTCTGAATCTTCCATTGCATTCCCAAGGTGGTGCATGGCCTCCAAAAGGCTGAGAAGTGAGCTTGTGGCTGTATGCAGGCTCTGGGCCGGCGTCAGCCTGCTGCAGGAGAGAAGTAGAGGGTGCAAATGGAAGTGGAGGATGGTGGTATGTTGTTCCACTCACAGTTTCAACATCCCTCCGAGCCAATATACCAACTCTATGGGGTCCTGGGGTCCTGCCCCCATAGGGTATCATAGGGTGACAAAAGACCTGATCCAAGTCCCATCCACTGTCCATGGTATTTATAGACACACTCTACTCACATAAAATACTGACGTTTGTGAGCGCGCGTGGTGTGTGTGTTGGGGTGGGGGTGGGGGATCAGAGAGACCACGGAGACATGGATAGGGCCTGCAATGATTCTCTGTGTAGTGGTGATGTCACTGGGTTGTGATCTAAAGAGGAGAGAAAAGTCAGCAGAGTTCATACCCTAGGGATGCAGTAAGAACGAGCTATTGATGGATTAAATACTGAATCTAATTTTACTCCGGATCTCTGGGCCACAGGCCTTCTTGGGTGTAAGACAGAGATTGAAAACTCTGTTTTCTAAATTTAACAGGTGTTGGCCAGGCGCAGTGGCTCATGCCTATAATCCCAGCACTTTGGGAGGCCAAGGTGAGCAGACCACCTGAGGTCAGGAGTTTGAGACCAGCCCAGTCAACGTGGTGAAACACTGTCTCCATTAAAAATACAAAAATTAGCTGGTCCTGGTGGCAGGTGCCTGTAATCCTAACTACTCGGGAGGCTGAGGCACGAGAATCACTTGAACCGGGAGGTGGAGGTTGCAGTGAGCTGAGATTGCACCACTTCACTCCAGCCTGGGTGACAGAGTGAGACTCGGTCTCAAAAATAAATAAATAAATAAATAAATAAATAAATAAATGTAACAGGTATTTATAGAGTATTTGCTGCTACCGCTAGTCATGGTACTGGGGAGCTCTGTGTAATATAAAGAAATAAGGAAAATTCTTTATGTGTGCATGTTACGCAAACAAGTCATCACAGCTCAGTGTCACAAGTCCTACACTAGAAAGATGGTAGGGTGCTGTGGGAGCATCCCCAGAGGAAAGGAAGATGATACCCAGGGGAATGAGAAGAAGTTCTATTGGAAGTAACATGTCACTTCAATTAAATAAACACATATCAAGTGCCAGGCACTGTATTGGGGATGGAAGGTGTCTAGACACAGAATATCTGCTACCAAAAAGCCCAAAGCCAGGCCCACAGAAGCACAAGAATGACAACCTGCTGCAACAAAGGCAATGTGTGTAAAGTACAGGGTGGCACAGCTCTGGGAGCAACAAATTGTGTGTGTGTCCTAGGGAAAGTGATGTCTGAGTTAGGATTGGGAGGATAAACATGAATTTACCAGCTTTCTGGTAGAAAGAAGCACGGACACAAATGTGATAGTAATAGTACGTACAGAACATTGACCAGGGGCCACGCACTGTACTAAGTGATATTACTGACATTATCTCACAGAGCCCTACTACTCAACTCTTTGAGGCAAGCACTACTACTCTTAGTACTTGTGCACTCTTAGTACAAATTTCTTCAGACTTTTTTATGTACACAGTCAGGATGTGGGTAGATTGCAAAATAACCAGCAAAATTCTCCTCCTCGTACCCATGTGCTTCAGTAGCTCTTTCCCATACTGAGTCTTGACTTGGTCATGTGGCTTGCTTTAGCCAACGGGACCCATCCCTGCTCTCATTCCCCTCTCCAGTAAGACGGAACTCTCTGCAGGTTAAGAGTCGAGGGTCTGGAACCAGACTGCCTGGATTCAAGCACGCAAACATGATGCAAGGGGTTTGAAAAGCATTTATGCCCTGAGGCTTGTCCCCTTTGCTGTGCTTGTAGCCGTGACACTACTATTTGAACACGCTTGAGCTAGTTTGCTAGGGTGGCCATGTGAAGAACTGAGGAGCCTCAGCAAATTGTCAGCCAACCATCAGACATGTAAATGAGGCTATCCCAGAGCATCTGGCCCCAGCTGATCCACCAGCTATTGGTGGCTGCAGGACTGAGCCTAAGAGAGACCAGCAGGGGAACCACCCAGCTGAACCTAGCCCAAGTGCCGACCCACAGAATGATGAGCTAATGAATGATTGTGGTGTTAAGCCATTAAGTTTTGGTGTGATTTGTCATACAGCAAAAGCGAATTGATAGAGGGTGCATCTTCCAAAGGACAATGTTTTGCAATTAAAATCAGCAGAAATTCTTTTCTTTATCAGGGCTACATAAATTAATAGTGCATCTTACAATTGATGATTTAGATTTGATGCAATACAGTATTATATTCACTCAGCAGATAAGAAAGACAGGGATTTGACAGTTACTTGCCTTGGGTCTGAACTAGTGAGTAGTGGAATTGGTTCCAACCTGTGTGACTCCAGACTTTTTACTCTTGACTACAGATAGCTGGAGAGGAAAATGATATGAACTTGTTGGCGGGGAAAGCAGGGTCAGGTTATGAAGGGTGCCTTAGAAACCCTTGCAGAGGTTGAATTTTACTAGTTGGGAATAAGTGGCCAGTTGAGTGGGAAAAATGAAGTAATTATCATTTCTTTTTGACATTGACTACATAAGATCTTCATATCACTTCCAAGAACAAAAAAATAGAGTGCTGTGGGGACGCAGGGTGGGGTCTAGACGCCCTGGTTTGTCAGCTCTGTGTTGGGGCAGAACTGCAATGCCAGGAGAAGGCCTGAGCAGTGAGTCTGGGAGAGCTGGAGTCCTCCAACCCAGAAAAGAGAGGGGAAACCCTGGGCAGCTGCGGCCTAAGCAGCTGTGGATTGTTCTCCCACATGGAGTGGATGAAGCCAGTGGATCAAGTGCATGTTAAAACTAAAAGGGGTGTGGAGAAAGGGACTATGACTTCATTAGGGCCACTGAAGACCACAGGATAATTATCAGTAGTGTTAGAACAGTGTCGGCCTGGTGGAAATGCTTCTTCTTCACTACCGCTGAAGCCCAGGAGAGTTGAACTAGCAAGTCCAAGCAGTGGCATCATAACGGTGCAAAAAGCATTGCCAACGGGAGTAGATTCATTGCGAGGCTCACATAGCTTGATTTTTAGGGCTTCTCATTTATAGAAGCCCCTTGTGAGACCTCGGGAGGGGCTCTGGCAACCTAGTCACATGGTTAAATGTTTCCACAAAATTTGCAAAAGTAAGACCACGTAGCTGCAATCAGTTGATACAGCACATAGCACAGTTGGTGCACTCTATGCAAAGTCTCTTCTGTCACCACCTCATCCCATTATGGTGCTGAAGTGACCAAGGTCATCTTTGGAACCCAGCTAACAAGAGCTGGAGCTGAACATACATTTCTTTGGGTCTGGGGAGATGTAGTTACGGAATTCACAGGGACTTGCATGTATAGCTCTAGCTTTCTCCGCACAGGAATGCCTTCAGGTATATTTCTCCACCCTCTCTGTCAACTTATCTAGCATCCTGGCAGGAGGTTCAAGGCCAGAGATCATATTTCCCCTCTCCTAAGGCATCTTAGGAGATGGGCAGGGGAAGAGAAACACGGAGTGAAATGGACATAGCCGGTAGGTTTACCACTGAAAATTTTTCCAATCAGCATTCATTTAAAATGAAAAGCAATGAATTTGGTACCCATCCACATAGTTTTGATTTTGAATCAAAACTAACAATGTAAGAAAAGCCCATCAATCATGGTAGAGAAAAGTCCGAATTTTCTTCCTGTAGAAAATTATATTATAAAAATGTCACATGTGGCCTTCCTCCTAAAAACCTATAACCCCAGTCTAATCGTAAGAAAAACATCAGACAACTCCCAATAGAAGTATGTTTTACAAAACACTCACCAGTATGCCTCAAAACTGTCAAGGTCCTAAAAAACAAGGATAGTCTGAGAAACCGTCACAGCCAAGAGGAACCTAAGGAGGCGTGATGAGTAAATGCAATGTCATATCCTGGTTGGGATCCAATGCAATGCCATAACCTGGTTGGGATCCAATGTAATGCCATAACCTGGTTGGGATCCAACGCAATGCCATATCCTGGTTGGGATCCAGTGCAATGCCATATCCTGGTTGGGATCCAGTGCAATGCCATATCCTGGTTGGGATCCAATGTAACGTCATATCCTGGTTGGGATCCAATGCAATGCCATATCCTGGTTGATATCCTGGGACAGAAAAAGGACGCTGGGTAAAAACGGATGAAATCTGAACAATGGATGGGCTTTGGTTATAATAATGTGTCAATATTGGCTCAGTCATCATCACAAATGTTAATCTAAGATGTTAATCAGTGGAAATTGGGTGGGGGGTTTATGGAACTTGGCAATTTTTCTATACATCAAAAACTGTTTTATAAAGTTTATTTAAAATGTCGCATGAAGAAAACATTCATTAGTACACAGCCCAAAACACAGGAAAAAAACTTATTAGAGTGGTAGGAAAAAAGAATTAATAAAATTTTTAGGTGATTTTTTTCTGGATTTTGTGAAATTTATGATTGCAATTATGTGGGCAACATTTTTTCCCTTCCCTACTGCCGGAGGCCCTAGAAAGCCCAAACTTTTAAAATTTGTAGTTTACTGTGATTTCTGTTCTAATTCTAAAGGAAACATTCACTTTTGTATCCAACTTTGTATTTGTAATTTTCTTATAGAGGTTCCCTAAACTGTGTAAGTTTAAGGCTCCAAACGTGGATCTACCCTTGGTTGACATCGAGTAGTTAGAAAAATGTGTCCAACTCAACAATTGAATACCTACTCTGTGTAAATGAAGAGGACGTGCAGGGGAGTAAGAAAGACTGGGATGGTTCATGAGGATTCACGGGACACACTGCCTCCTTCCAGTCCCTTACAGTTTCATGGGGGCATGGATGTATGCCTAATATAGTTGCAGTCCCAAAATGGATTGAACAAAAAGAACTCAGTTACTGATGCCAATCTTCCTTTAACCAGCCAATTACCGAGGTCTGTAATTAAAAGCTCATCGGCCATTATTAATTGATGTGGCTATACTTCAGATAGCCATGCTCAAAAGCAATAGGTGCAGAAGATTAATAATAATCACAGCTTTGTAGTTCCTAATCACAAGTGGGAACTTTTGAGACAAGGCCACTGTAAACCTGCTAATCAGCTTGACCCAGAAAGACTTCGATTCTTTTTTTCTTTTCTTTCTTTCTTTTTTTTTTTTGATGTGGTCTTGCTCTGTTGCCCATGCCAAAGTGCAATGGTGCAATCACGGTTCACTGCAGTCTCGACCTCCTGGGTTCAAGAGATCCTCCCACCTCAGCCTCCCATGTAGCTGGGACTATAGGCTACAGGTGCACACCACCATGCTGGGCTAAGTTTTGTATTTTTTGTAGAGACAGGATCTCGCCATGTTGCTCACACTGGTCTCAAACTCCTGGGCTGAAGTGATCCGCCGACCTTGGCCTCCCAACATGCTGGGATTACAGGCATGTGCCACTGCACCCGGCCCAGTTCTCTTTAGCTTCTCCAGGAGATTGATCAATCGGTGTTAGGCAGATGTCAATGTGGATTTAGCCAGAATTAGCCACAACATTTTAATCAGGCCAAAATGTAACAAGGGCAGGAGTGACCGAAAAAAGACTCAAATTTCCGCTAGGAAATTTGCACCACTACAATATCCAATTGGCTCTTATTCCCTTGGCTAGAGAGATGCTTGAAAAAAAAGACAGTAGAAAGGAGGGTTAAGACTGGTTTCTTAAAGAAGTAAGTACAAGGAAGTATAAGTTCATGCTGCCTGCTTCTAAAAGAATTCTATTCCTCATAACTACATAACATTATAATGCTACTGATTCATAAGGAGTTTAGATTAATTCTATTGGAGAGGACACCAGGATTATTAGTGTTTATTTTCATCTAGGATCTTTATTCTTTAATGCTGTTGGTCCCACAGACACATTTCAGTATACAAAAACACTGCAGTGTTAATAGCCAAAAGAAAAGCCATTATGATGTGAATAGTGGTCATTGTGATCACTGTGACACAATTTTTAAAAACTTTTTCTTAGAGACGGAGGGTCTCACTATGTTGCTCAGGCTGGTCTTGAATTCCCGGACTCAAGCAATCCTCCTGCATTTGCCTCCCAAAGTGCTGGGATTACAGGTGTGAGCCACCGCACCTGGCCCAATTTTTAAAAACAATCATGTCCTTCATTTAAAAAAAAAAAAAAAAAAAAGGCCGGGCGCGGTGGCTCACGCCTGTAATCCCAGCACTTTGGGAGGCCAAGGCGGGTGGATCACGAAGTCAGGAGATCGAGACCATCCTGGCTAACACAATGAAACCCCATCTCTACTAAAAATACAAAAAACTAGCCGGGTGTGGTGGTGGGTGCCTGTGGTCCCAGCTACTTGGGAGGCTGAGGCAGGAAAATGGCATGAACCCAGGAGGTAGAGATTGCAGTGAGCCGAGATCGCACCACTGCACCCCAGCCTGGGCAACAGAGTGAGACTCCGTCTCAAAAAAAGAGACTGGTTTCTTACCTAAGTCACAAACTCCCAACTATAGAGTCTGGAATCTTCATTTAATGAGAACGCCAAGGGCGTGGCTGTCAATCCTATGACACCTGTCTGAGGTAGGTATTATTCCTGATTTAAGGAGGATGCAATGAGGCTTGATGTGGATTCACCCACCCCAAAGCCTGTGTTCTTAACCACTATGCAATACTGCCTCCCATCAAAGTCTCTATCTCAAGTCCACAAGACAACCCCATACATTGTAAAACTTTTTGGAGTGATTAGATAAAAACTTTTTTGTTTTTTTTTAAGTGTGTGTGCTGAAAGAGACCTAAGAGATTATTTAGCCAAGCCCCCTTATAGCCTGAGGAGAAATCTAGGTTCTAAGGAATGAAGTTGCTTCCCAATGTCACCTAGAAGTTCCTGCCAGAAGGAGTGTGAACTCAGGTCTGATACTGGGTTGTGTGCCTTTCCCAGCCTTGAGTTGGAAATCACCTCATTAAGGGCTAGAGCCCAGGGAGAGGCACCCAGTTTAAAAGAAAAGTGTCTTGAGGAGAAGACGTAAGGTGAGACAGCCAGTGACGACCATCCACATGTTACGGGTTGAATTGTCACCCCCACATTCCCCAAGTTCATATGTTCAGGGGTTTGTTGTTGTTGTTGTTGTTGTTTTGAGACAGAGTCTTGCTCTGTCTCCCAGGCTGGAATGCAGTGGCGTGATCTTGGCTCATTGCAACCTCCACCTCCCTGGGTTCAAACAATTCTTCTGCCTCAGCCTCCCGAGTAGCTGGGACTACAGGTACGCACCACCATGCCCCGCTAATTTTTTTATTTTTAGTAGAGACAGGGTTTCACCATGTTGGCCAGGCTGGTCTTGAACTCCTGACCTCAGTTGATCTGCCTGCCTCGGCCTCCCAAAGTGCTGGGATTACAGGCATGAACCACCGTGCCTGGGCATTCAGGTATCTTAGAATGGGACCTTACTTGGACATTACCTCATGATTACAGAGGTCATCAAGTTAAAATGAGGCAATTCGGGTGGGCCCTAGTCCAGTATGACTGGTGTCCTTATAGAAAGAAGGGATTTGCACACACACACCACAGGGAAGATGGTGTGAGGAGACATAGGGAGAAGATGGGCATCTGCAAGTCAGAGTGGCCGGGCACACATGCTCTTTCATGGGCCTCGGAAGCAGCCAGCCCTCCCACGCCGTGATTTTGTACTTCTAGTCTCCAGAACCAGGACAGACCATACATTTCGGTTGTTGAAGCCACTTAGTGTGTGGTACTTCGTTCCAGCAGCCCTTGAAAACAATAGACCACAGAACTTGGGAGGTGCCTGCAGAGGTTCTGGGGCTGAGGGACCGGTTGGAGAAGAGGAAAAAGGAGAGGCAAAGATGACAAAATCACGGATGGGGAGGCGAGATCTGGACAGAAAAACCAGGGATTAGCCAAGCGGGAACCAGTGAAAACGAACGTGGAGTCCATTTTTTCTAGATCTGGAAGATGGAGATCTAAAAGGACTGAGCTGCTAGAGAGGTTGCTGGTGTGTGCGTTGTCCTCACCCCACTGCACCACTGCGCCCAGCACACTGTGGGAGACACCCAGGGAAAGTCCTTCAGTTATTTGTGGGAGTGAACTGCAGTGTGGCTGAGGCCTGGAGCGAACCACGGTCAGTTTCCCCTGCCTGCAGCCCAGGCATAGCCCTGCGTTGGTTGTGCCCACACTCTGGGGGCAGCCTGAGTGCCAAGTGTGGTACTGCTCTCACTAGCATTTAACCTCTGTGCCCCAGCTTCCTCTTCTGTGAAAGGACAGTAATGACAGTACCTACCTCACTGGGTTATGAAGATTAAATAGAATAATGTGTACGCAGTGTTTGTAGCAATGCCTGGCATCAAGCACTGGGTAAACAGTATCTATTATTATCAAAGGCCTTTACGACAACAATCATTCTTCAAACGGCCCTCCAGCGAACGCTGGGCGCAAACTCCACGGTAACGGGGACCAATGTTGTTAGAGGTTGAGGTTCCTGGTAGGTCCCAGGTGCTAAAAGGAAGAGCAGCCTTTGGGATGTGAGCCCGAAAACCATCGTGTTGGCTTCTGAAGCCCCAAGATGGGCATGGCAGGGACGCGGAAGCCCTCAGAACCGCGGAAGCCCTCAGAACCGCACAGCAGGTGGCCGCCGTGGTGCAGCGCGCAGTCGGCCCTCAGCTCCCCTGCACCGGCGCGAGCTGCGGGCGCTGCCCACGTCAGGCTCTGCAGACACCAGACAGAAAAGGTCTTCCGGCCAGGGAGCGTGGGGGAAACCCTGTGGGGCCGCGCCCGTCAGTGTCAAGGAAAAACGGAGAGGAAGGCCCTTGCCTCCAGGGCCCTCGCAGCAGAATTCTGCCCGGCCTGCCAGGAGGCCAGCGGGGCACGGGCTGAGGGTGCAGGATCCGGAGGGCGCCGCCCGCCCCTCGGGCATCGCGGGGCCCAGGGTCCGCGGGGCCTCTGAGCTGAGGCGGTCCAATGTACCCTTTGTCCTTCCTCAGATTCATTATGAAATCCGAGGCAGTCTGGGCGACTCCAGCGGCGTTCGCCCGCCGCAGCCTCTCGACCGCCGGCCACCCGCCAGCCACGCGCGCCCAGACAGGAGGGCGGCCGGGCGCTCGGCGGGGCGGGGCCTGCCGGGGGCGGGGCCTGCGGGCGGGGCGGGGCCGCGGGAGGGCGGGGCCGGCGCGGCGAGCGCACCAGCAGCATCCTGGCTCAGCCGCGGCGGTGGCGGGGGCGCAACCAGCGGGCCGAGGCGGCGGCGCCAGCGGCGCCTTAAATAGCATCCAGAGCCGGCGCGGGGCAGGGAGTGGGCTGCAGTGACAGCCGGCGGCGGAGCGGCCGGTCCACGGAGGAGGTGAGTGCGCCCGCCGTGCGGAGCCGCGCCTGCTCCCGCGGCGGTGCCCGGGCCCCGGCCGAGGCGCCGGCTGACGTTGCCCTTCAGGGCCGAGCCCGGAGCAGCGGCCGCCGCGGAGGCGCGTGAGCCACCCCAGGCTCGTGGGGCCGCGCCGCCTTTCCGGCCTCCTGCCCGCGGCCCCGCTTCCCTCGGCAGCCGGAGGCCTCCGGGGTGCCCGTGCTGCCGCAGCTTCCTGTGTCTGAGTCGCGGGCGGCGCGGGCGCGGGGCTGGTGCGCGGCCGGGGATGCGCGCGGGACCGACCCTTGTGTGTGCGGCGGCGGGGACCGGCCCGGCGAAGCAGCCGGAGGCCGCGCTTCGGCTGGGAGGAGGTGGCCCAGCTGGGCCGCTGACGTTGCCCTCGTCCGCGGCCCCCGCCTGCCCAGAGGCCGGGCTCGCGGGCGTTCGGACCGCGCGTGGGGCGAGACTGCACTCGCGCCCGCTGAGATGCCGGCCCCACGCAGCGCGGCGGCACGAGGCCCACAGGCAGCTCAGAGGCCGCTGCCAGAGGCAGACATTCTCTCGGTGACTCCAGAGGAGTGCCCGTGGCCCTTGCACTTGGCCGTGGAGTCATTGATCTAAGGAGTGCTGGCATTTTTTGAAATTGAGAAGCAAAGATGATGTCTGTCACCTGGCAGCGTAGACGGAGAGTGGCGGTAGATGACTTGAATGGACACGTGGATTCGAGTCTGGGGACAGGCGTTCCCCCAGTCGGTGCGTTGTGAGAGTGTGGAAACCCCTTCCCCACTCAGTCCAATTTCAAGGTTATGGAGCATAATTAAGAGTGACCATTCTAAAAGCGTTCTCTAGTGCCCTGGCTAAGACTTTTAAGCTTCTTGGTGCAGGAGTGTCTAAAGTCCCGCGACTCTCACTGCCCTGTCTTTTATTTTCTTGACCTTTGATTAGCGTTGAGAGAAACTGGTTAAATCTTGCAGTTTCTGCCACCCATTTCACAACTTAACCTGTGATTGTCCCAAAGAAAACAATTATTGGCTTCTTGCTAGCAAAAAAATCAAAGGCTTCCGGTTGATTGTTTCTTTCTTTTTTTTCTTTTTTCAAGTGGACGTGGAAGGTTAGGCTGGCTAAAACTTAAAGTTTGAGTTGTAGGTCTGTGCTGGGTAGGCTTGAGAAGATGGAGCTTTTTAAGGAACCATTGCTCGCCATCAGATTGGAGCCAGACAGTGCAGTGTGATATAGTGGAAAAGGACCAGGTCTTGGGAGACTTACTTTCTTGTTCTGACTCAACTCGGAAAACACCTCCCTAGTCTGAGGCCCCCCTCCTTATATTTGTGAACAAACTGCATTAGACTAAAATCTTTCACGAGTCCAAATTCTGCGACTAGAAAAATAAACTTGTTAGCCGCACACCTTATACCTCTCCCCTTTAAAACAGACATATTAAAGACTTCTGTTTTCTGAATTTACTGTAAACAGAATACTTAAAAAAAAATTACCCAGACAGGCGTGGTGGCTCACTGTAATCCCAGCACTTTGGGAGACCGAGGCGGGCAGATCATTTGAGGTCAGGAGTTCGAGACCAGCCTGACCAACATGGAGAAACCCTATCTCTACTAAAAATACAAATAATTAGCCAGGCGTGGTGGCATGCATCTCTAGTCCCAGCTACTCGAGAGGCTGAGCCAGGAGAATCGCTTGAACTCAGGAGGCAGAAGTTGTGATGAGCTGAGATCCCGCCACTGCACTCCAGACTGGGCAACAGAGCAGGACTCTGTAAAAAACAAAACAAAACAAAAAATTACCCTTCCCCACAATTATAAGCATTTTGGCATATTTCCTTCCTGTCTCTGTTGTTCCTATTTTGGCAGTATTTTTATTGTTATCGCAGGCAGCCTGACTGAAAAGAAATCTGGGCTTCTAAGTTTTTGGTATTTAGGAGGTAGATACAAGTGACCCATGCATGTAGGGTTAGGTATCTATTTATACCATGCAGGTAGAGTTTTCATAGCCACCTCTACTTTTGGGTGAAGTTTAGGCTAACTGAAAGTGTACCAGCATGCATGGTGTATGCAGAAAAATGAACGTAATTCAGATTATGTGATAGTTTTCTCTTGTTGCCATTATATATAACCCAGGGCTTACCACAAACTGAAATTTCTTATGCATTGACATTTAGCATTTGATGTAAAATGACTATCTCAGAGTTGCTGCCACAAACACTGGTAAAACTGTCCCTACTTTCTAGCATGCTTAATGTCTAGGTCTTGCTACATCTTTTTTGATGTAACTGTTTTGTGGAAAATGGTTGTGTGTTTGGGGAGGCTTTTGAGAAAAGATAAGGTTGTCTTGTCATTATAACTGGGTATTTCTCCTCTCTCCCTTCCAGTTTCACTTGTCTGGAAATAGCAAGACTATAGGAGTAGTAATTTCTAGATATTTATAGTCAGTAACCTTAGAGGAATGTTTAGTTTTTAAGATCAATTGAATTTATTGTGTAAGTTTGCCATTTAAAACAGGTGCCCATTTGTGTTTACTGTCTCTTGTAACCAAACTCTGTTCAATTAGAATCCATTAGTAATGTTTTGTGGAGAGTCTTGTTTGGATGATGCAGTGCATGAGGCTCCTGTACTACAAAATAGAAAAGAAGTTCCTCTAAGGCAGCTCAAAGCTGTTGATATCCTGAAGCCTTTTTAGGCCTCCCTCTCTGACAGGCGGTGATCTGACAGGAGGTAGATAAAGGTGCCGGAGTTTTTAGTGAAGGTTGGCAGTCCAACTTGGTAGTCAGACAAACACATGATGGTCAAAAGTGCCTTTGACACTGGGGCCTGGAGAAGAATTCTCAGTGGCCAGAGCTGATCTGAAGCTGCAGGCAGTTGAGTTTGAGTTTCAACATGTTGGTACTTCAAGGGGCTTCTGAAAAGTTTTAAAGGAGCACAAGCCCTGAAGGAGTAGCTGAACTTAGTGAACTGGAGAAGGCAGGGGCAGTTTTACCAGGGTTTGTGGCAGCGACTCTAAGATTGTCATTTTACATCAAATGCTGAATGTCAATGCATAAGAAATTTCAGTTTGTGGCAAGCCTTGGGTTGTATATAATGGCAAGAAGAGAAAACTATCACATAATCTGAGTTATGTTCATTTTCTACATCATGACATTTTCACTTTCTTTTTTTTTTCTTTTTTCCCAGATAAGGTCTCACTCTGTCGCCCAGGTTGGAGTACAGGCATGATCATGGCTCGTTGCAGCCTCTCCACCTCCCTGGGCTCAGTTGATCCTCCCACTTCAGCCTCTCCAGTAGCTTAGACTACAGGCGCACATCACTATGCCCAGCTAATTTTTGTATTTTTTTCGTAGTGAAGCGGTTTTGCCATATTGCCCAGTTGTCTCGAACTCCTGGGCTCAAGCGATTTGCCCTCCTTGGCCTCCCCAAAGTGCTAGGATTACAGGCGTGAGCCACTGCACCCAGCCCACTTTCATGTTCTTGACTGTGTTAGAAACAACACAGTATTGATTCACTTATGACCTTTGAGGAATCAAGAGGGGCGGGTGAAATATTGGAGACTCCTTGAAGTGTGGCTGGCTTGGAGGGTGTCACCCTTGGACAAAAACTTAAGTGGAGGTGAGTAAGGGCCCTGCTCCCCTGTGCTGCCTGCCTTAGAAGGATGTGATCATCTGGAGGCAAATAGCTTGTTGCTTGAGGCCAGGAGTTCAAGACCAGCCTGGGCAACAGAGCAAGACCCCATCTCTAGAAAAAAAAAAGTAAAAACAATAAAATAAAATCTCAAAACTGGTGGTTCCATATAGGTGCCTGGGCTGATTCTCTTTATGAATTATTTGCTGGTCTTCAAGTTTAAATAAAATTCTGAAAGCTGTCTAATATCTAAAAACCACTTGCCACAGAAAAGCTGTATTTGTTTTTCATATTTTAAGAGTCATACATACTTACTGGAGAAAATTTGGGAAATAGGAAAAATGAAGCTCTTCCAGAGATTAAATACTATTAACATTTTGTTATATTTCCTTCCAGTCTTTTTTCCCTATACAATAAACAAATTTTAAGCATACATTGTTAATTAAAGATTACAATTTTGACAATTTAACTTTATCACCTAAGTTATATTGTGGGCTTTTTTACACGTTGTTACATATTCTTCAAAAAATAAGTTCTGAAGATGACTGCATTATTTGCTGTATGGGCCATAATTTAGTTACTTCTCCCCATTTGTTGGATATTTTTCAGAACAGTTTACCAACCTTTGTTATATGTTTAAATACGTCTTTAAAAAATAAAAAATGTTCTGCTTTAAAACTCTTGAAATTAACAATAATTTGAAAAGTGTTTTTACTAATGAATAGGTTTAATGGACTTTTGGGTTCATGTATTCTAGTCAAAAGCAGTTGAAATAGGGATTTCATGGTTTGGAAAGAGAAATGGAAAGAAGTTAGGGCATCAGAGGAGGAAACGGGGCCTGCCTGTAGACCATTTCCTCATTCTGGAGGGGACTTCTGATAAATGTAGGCTCTATCCATTAGCACAGCTTTGGCTGCTATAGAAATGGGCACTTTCCCCTTAGGTTTGTTGTGGGAGAAATGTCCATATAAGAAGGACTGAAACACTCTGAATACTATTTATTCCTTTATTAAGCAGAGTCATGAGAAAGTGCTTCCGGAGCTAGTTTCTCCTTCAGGGTCCAGGTGTCTGCCACAAAGCAGGGCTGTGGTAGCTGACCGAGGTGGTAGCCACAGCCTGGACACGGCCAGGCTTAGGAACAGAGCAGTGATGAGAGCAGCAGACAGAGCCAGGTGCTGCTAAGCTTCTGATGGGTTAACTCATTAGTACCTTCAGCAACCCTGTAAGGTAGGTCCTGCTGCTATCCTTACTGTACACAAGATAAAGGAACAGGTGCAAAGATTAAGTTCCCCATACCAGAATTTGAACCTAGGCAGTCTGGCTTCAGGGTCTGTGCTCCTAATTGCTGGGCTCTACTGCCCCTCCAGAGCTAGAAGTTCTCACTCCAGGAGGGCCTAGAAAGTTCCAGGTTAGGCCAGGTGCGGTGGCTCACGCCTGTAATCCCAGCATTTTGGGAGGCCGAGGCGGGTGGATCACCCTGACCAATATGGTGAAACCCCGTCTCTACTAAAAATACAAAAATTAACTGGGCGTGGTGGTACGTGCCTGTAGTCTCAGCTGCTCGGGAGGTTGAGGCAGGAGAATCGCATGAACCCAGGAGGCGGAGGCTGCAGTGAGCCAAGATTGCGCCACAGCACTCCAGCCTGGGTGACAGAGTGAGACTCTGTCTCCAAAAGAAAAAAAAAGAAAGTTCCAGGTTATACAGCTGGCAGTAAGACAGGAAGGACAGAGCTGGGTCTCCTTCGGTGTCACTGCTCCTTGATTTTACCCCCATCTCATTTACACTCTGCCTTGAATTATCTCTTTATACCACTAGAGTGCTGAAAGAGACCACAAATTTTGATTCAGCGTGGCTCAGGGAGTGATAAGATCACTTGCTATGTAGCTGTGACTTTCTAGAGAATTAAAAAATAAAAGGCTTTGCCTGCCCTGGACATTGGTCTTGTAAGGCTGGAGAACAATTGAGACGCATGACTGGCCGGGTGCAGTGGCTCACGCCTGTAATCCCAGCACTTTGGGAGGCCGAGGTGGGCGGATCATGAGGTCAGGAGATCAAGACCATCCTGGCTAACACGGTGCAACCCTGTCTCTACTAAAAATACAAAAAATTAGCCAGGCATGGTGGTGGGCACCTGTAGTCCCAGCTACTTGGGAGTCTGCAGGGATCGGAGGGGGGTGACTTGGCCAAGGTAACACAACCTGCCTGACCCTCTGGCCATGCACACGTGTGGAGTTTGTTCCCGGGCCCTGTGCCTGTTCAAAGAATGGCTGGACGTCGGTATTGCCCTTGGTTTCTGCCCTGAAGTCCAGTCAGTCAGCAGTTCTGCTTATTCTGACCCTCTCTGTGCAGTATTACCCAACACACATGCATTTCCTCCTTGCCTTCTCAGTATTGCCATCGTGAACCAGAATTGTCACCTCCAATTTAAACAGTGAAGGCCTTTGTTAGGAAGAGGGGCAGGGTGCAGAGGGGGATGGTTGCTTTTTCTAAATCACAGCTCTGATCAAATCCCTCCTAAGCAGAAGCCTTCCAGGCTCCCCTCCATAAGGCTCCAGGTGTTTACTTACCTTGCCTGTCAGGGGCTTCTGCAGCTTGCTTCCTACCTGCTATCTCCACTCCTCTCCAAACCACCATATCCTGAGGCTTCTAGAAAGCAAACTCTGGCGGCATGGGGTTAATGGGTCTGTGTACCCAAGACACTGTACCTGGGTGCTGTCATCTGCCTGACTGACCTTCCTGTGTCCTGGTCCGATGGTGTCTTTGATCCTATAGCTAAGATCAAGACACTGAAAATCTCTAGACTCAAGTCTGTGCTTTTGCTGGGATAAAGTTTGTGTTGAGTACATCTAGGCTGGGTGTGGTAGCTCACGCCTGTAATCTCAGCACTTTGGGAGGCCAAGGCAGGTGGATCATCTGAGGTCAGGAGTTCGAGACCAGCCTGGACAACATGGTGAAACCCTGTCTCTGCTAAAAATACAAAAATTAGCCAGGTGTGGTGGCAGGCGCCTGTAATCCCAGCTACTCAGGAGGCTGAGGCAGGAGAATCCCTTGAGCCTGGGAGGCAGAGGTTGCAGTGAGCCAAGATCGTGCCATTGCACTCCAGCCTGGGGTATAGAGTGAGGCTCTGTCTCCAAAAAAAAAAAAAAAAAAAGTACATCTAAATGGTACGATGCCCATGTTGGCCTATTTGGAATGCCATTCCTTGTCCCACAGAGCCCTGCTCCTCAGAGGCACTTTTCCTGGAGTGACTCTCCCCTTCCTCACCTACACTCACTGTCATTCAGCTGTAGATGCACCAGCGATCATGCTAGTGGTTAAAATATCGAAATACTCCCATCCTGGCTAGAGAATAGCTGCTACCCAAGTGCCCCCGCCCTTCATATGGAAACTAAAGGGTTAATACATGGGGCAGTAGAGGAACTTTGGAGCCCTGTTTTGGTGCACTGGCCTGTGTCTTTTCTGGCTGGTTGGTGTCTGGCCGTACTGGCTATTAAATATTTTGATGAGCATCCCAGCCTCTGTCCCACGTGCATCTTTTCATGAGTGCATATCTGGCTTCCACAGATTGGCACCCCAGCCACACTCTAAGCTCTGGGCACATGGGAGACCTAGTCATTGTCATCTCTGTGTTTTCAGCAGCGTTTAATACAGGGCCTTACCGCTAGTAAGCATGTAAGATTATCTAATGATGGATTGAGGGTAGGGCAGGTTCCGATGGTCAGATGTCCCATAGAAGGTGGTCCCTAACAAGAATATACATTGTAATGTTCCAGGTTTGTCTATTCTGATACTGTGCAAAACGTAGATCTTATAGCCAAGATCAAGGCATCGAAAGTCTGTGGACCTAAGCCTGTGCTTTCACTGAGTGAAGTTTGTGTTTCGGAGTACATCTGAGGTGTTTCTTTCCGTGTAGTTTCACTTGTGTTGGAGAAGCAGGTGGCTGTGGTCTTTGCAGGGTGTGAGAGGGGAGGAGATTAGTGTTGAGCTCCAGCTAATGTTACATAACTCTACTGTAGTCTTCCTTTACCTGGTATTCTTGTGTTCAAATTGCCCCTTGTTTCTGTGCCACTAGTGAAATGGTCAAATGGCTCATTGTTCCTTCTGTAGGACAGTTACCTACATTGCGCCTCAGGCAAGCTTCTGAGGCATCCCAGGATGGGGAGCTGGCGGGGGACCTTATCTGTCAAGCAGCCCAGCCAGGCACCTCACAGTGGACGGAACTGAGTTCTTGAGGGGGTGGCTGAGCAGCCCAGACTCCCAGGTTAGACTCTGAAGACAGCCAGTCTGTGCTTTTCTCTCCTGATGTGAGTCAGAGGCAAACTCTGCCGATGCCAAGACCTCCCTAGAGTTCAGGCAGGGTGAAGATCCTTGTCCTTGGGGTCAGGGCTGAAGCTTCAGGGTGTCCAGGACAGACCTTCAGAGGAGGCCAGCCCTGGAGCCTGGCGTGGGTCTCGGCCTCAAGCCTCTCTGTCCTGCAGAGAGGCCGGCTCAGTCTCTTCACCCTCTCAGGCAGGCCAGGCGACGGTCACCAGTAGCGTCCTGCTCTCTCTGGCATGCTTCCCTTCATCACTGGGTGATGCTGAGTGTCTTTTCCTCCCTCTTTGATGTGACAGTCCCTTTTTGCAGGCTTTTGCAGGCACTGTCCCTCTGCCTCCCAGGTGTGGCACGCATTTCAGGGTGCCTCCATTAGCAGTTTCATGCATTGTTGCCCATGGTGGGGAACAGATGGAGACACAAGGCAGGCAAGCCACCAAAGAGGCTGCAGGGCTGCTCAGGAGATGGAAGGACTGTCTCCAGAGTGGGGTGTATGCCCCATAGTGGCTGCCTAGACCATCCATTAGATTGTAGAATAGAATAGAAACATTAGAACTTCTATGGATAGTTATTTTTTGGCCATCTTTTAAATTCATATTTGTGTGTTTTCTAATGGTCAGAAAATACTTGTATATGGTTTATAGATAAAAGCATTTAATGTGAGGGGTGCATTTATTTATTGGGGTACATCATCAGAAGTCTAGAGAACCAGAAAGTTAACTCCTTCTCTAGCACCAGTATCATGAGAGACCTCTGAATGCCATTTTTTAAAAAGGAAAGAATTTGTCAATTAAAGGGGAATAGAAACTGCTCTCTGGCTAGGTTGTGATTCATGTCAAATAGGCCTGTGACTTAAGGAGAGTCAGGTTAACTCCAGAGTATGTTTTGTCTCTGGTCCCAAAACTTAGCAGTGTGGAAGCCTCATTGGGATCAGGGTTTTATTTTTTTCTCTTTTGTTTACTATCATATCCCCTGAGGCTGGAGCTGACTTGCATATCCTCAATATTTGCAAATTGAATATATGGGCGTTTTTCTTGCATGATAATTAAGTATTATGCTGAGTTGGATGCTTCAAGTCAATATTCAGGTTGCCTCCTTTTGTTTAAACCTTTGGGCAGTTGGCAAGATGCAGCCTACATGCCAGTCAGTTTTACTGTCCTGCACATGATACCCCCACGCGGTAGAACCATAGAGCCGTGGAGGCCTCAGAAATGTCACCTGAGAGACAGGGTGTTGGGATGTAACTTAAAGTAATTTTTTAAGAAGTGGGTATAATGAAACAGCAAAACGTTGATCATTACTGAAGCTGAAGTTGGAGTCACGGGTACATAAAATATAGTTTTATTATACTTCTGTGTCTACTTTTGAATAGATTTGAATTTTCATAATAAATTTTAAGTGAAACATAAAGGGAATATAGAGACCCCAAACTAGTATCACCCATTCCGAGCAGGTAATGGCCGAACTGCATAGTCTCTTTTTCTTTCTGTCTTTTAAACACTGGTCATTATTCTATAATCTTCTGCAACTTGTTAGGTTTGTTTTGATTTTGGCTTCCCCAGAGCCAGTCACCTCTTTTTATAGTTACCTGAGCTCTTTGTGTAATTTTAGCTCATGTCTCGTGGTTGTCACCAGTACCTCTCTTCTCCTTCCCAATACGATGAGCTAAATCCTGGTTAACCTTTTCCCTATTTCACTTGTTGCTTCCTCCAACACCACTGAGGTCTTCCACATGACAGGCACAATTCAGAGGCCAGAACAGGGTCCCATGTTTTTTGCAGGCTGCGTCCAGTCCTGGGGAACCTCATAGCCTGTGATTATCTTCTAGATTCCATTCATGTCTGCTTTTTTTTTTTTCTTTTGGATGGCGTCTCTGTTGTCCAGGCTGGAGCGCAGTGGTGCCATCTTGGCTCACTGCCGCTGCGCCCCCCACAGGTTCAATCGACTCTCCTGCCTCAGCCTCCGAGTAGCCGGGACTACAGGTGTGTGCCATCACGCCTGGCTAATTTTTGTATTTTTAGTAGAGATGGAGTTTCGCCATGTTGGCCAGGCTGGGCTTGAACTCCTGGCCTCAGATGATCCACCCACCTCTGCCTCCCAAAGTGCTGGGTTTACAGGCATGAACCTGTAAACCTGGCCTCATCTCTGCTTTTTAAAGTAACAGCAGGTACCTGTTGAAATCTGTAAAAACTCAACTCAGAAGTGGATTTCTCCAAACTCGTGAGAGGCTGATCTTCTTCTCCCTGGGCAGAGAGGTCTTTGTGTCCTGTCTTCTCACCCGTGTCCTGCTAAGCCATTTCTGTGGTTATCAGTCTCTGAAACCTTGGTCTATTTTAAGAGGTGTGAGTAACTCTACCCAACCTTTGCCCTTTTTAACCTTCTTATCCAGGTCACTGATATGTGATAGCTGTGACCTCTGCGAGCTGTGGGGTGCTGTGGACTCCTTGAAGACAAGGACTGGGTCTTACTCTTCCCAGTTTCCCCCCCCAGGCCTGGGTCCTGGAGGGGACAGGAGGGCTCTGTGAACTAAACACCCACTGGGTGAGGGCGAGCCTCCTTTAGCCAGCTGTTTCTTACTCAGCCAAGACATTGACAAGAATGCTGTCATGGGAGAGAGAGAGGCAGAGGCTCCTGACGGTTGCCTTACAATGCGGCTGCGAGTCCCCAGCCCACCTGCCGCTCCTTCAGGGCCTCCTCCCTGCCTCTTTGCTCACAGCACTGTCTGGCTGTTGCTGGTGTTTCTCCACCCACTCCTGTCTCTGCCTGTTCAGACTTGGCCTGGTTCCACCCTCAGCTCTCTGGACAGCCCTCCCTCGGATGCCTGGTGCATGCGTACTGTTTTCTCCCTCCCCTAGATTCCTGGAGCACCAGGGCCCTACCTGCCGTGGTTATCAGATCTGTCTTCTGTAGCTCTGTTAACTCTTGCAGGTGTGTTTGTCTTCATTGATATCCTAAACTTGCTGAAGGCAAAGAAAACCTTGTAAGTATTTTATCCTCAGGCTTTCTGATTGTCAGGAACTAAGGAGAGTTGGTTATCCCCCTGGAATGTTCAGAGTGTTGCTTCTTTTTTTGTGGTGTGACTCCTTTTTCAAAGAGGCACGAAAGTGGAAGTGGCTCACATAGCAGGTCAGTGGCTGAGCCGGGTCCAGCGTGGGCAGACGGGGCAAAGCATAGCTACATATTTTCCAGGAGGGGTTTATATCCTATCTGTCATTCTGTTCTGAGGACAGGTCACTACCTAAATCCTTCGTGGAGCAGGTGGGAAATACATAAATACAGGAGGACATTAACTGACCTGACTCACTTATAGCTTCTTTATCTGGAGAAACTTTTAAAAATACAGCTAATAGTTAGGATGGCAAGTTTTATATTAATTTTTCCATAGTAAAAAATTGGGAAAAATACAGCAACATACAAAGAACAACAACATAGTAGTAAAAACACCCATAGACTCGCCACATAGAATTGAAGGTTTTAACATTGACTCTTTTCTTCATATATCACTGTTCCCTGGGGGTTTTGGGTATTAGGTGGAAACTTGATTGTTTAGTCCTGGACGCCAGGATTGTGTGGCCATCTTTTCCCTTCTCTTACATAGTCTTGGAGAAGCTACCATGATGTTCATGATGGAAAGAGGCGTAGCTCTCCTCTGTTCCCACTCTCCTTTTTTTTTTTTTTTTTTTTTTTGAGGCGGAGTCTCGCTCTGTCGCCCAGGCTGGAGAGCAGTGGCACGATCTTGGCTCACTGCAAGCTCCGCCTCCCGGGTTCATGCCATTCTCCTGCCTCAGCCTCCCGAGTAGCTGGGACTACAGGAGCCCACCACCATGCATGGCTAATTTTTTTGTATTTTTAGTAGAGACGGGGTTTCACCGTGTGAGCCAGGATGGTCTTGATCTCCTGACCTCGTGATCCACCCGCCTCGGCCTCTCTAAGTGCTGGGATTACAGGCGTGAGCCACTGTGCCCAGCCTTACATGTTCATATTCTGTTTATTTCCATAGTCACCACGGGAAGATGGGAAGATCCTGACTTTGGGCAGAGCACCTGAGAGGACCCCAGGATCTAGGTACCTTCTCTGCGTGCAGTTTCTCAAACAAGTGGAGCTTCCTCTCCATCCATGGCCCTCGGAGGAGGAAAGTGCCTGCATAGCTTGGGGCCAGCTCTGGCTACTGTGAAAGGACATTTGATCCTCTCTGCTGTTCAGTTGTGCTCTCTTCTCCTGGTGTGGTCTCTTGCTTCAGGGCTTACTTTGTGGTTAGCTGAGTCCAGTAAGGTGAAGAGTCTTCTGGATTATTTCAGTGGCAAAAAGCCTTTTATTTCCTTCTTTAGCTTTCGTAATAACAGGCCGTGCTTGTCTTGCCTAATACCCTTAGAACATGCTGTCATGTTCTTCAACTTGCGGTCATAGAGACACAATTCCGACTCTTCCTGTGCTGAACATCAGCTGAAATAACATGCCGTATTGATCCAGTTCATGAGTGAGAAGTTTAGTCTACACAAGCCTTTTCTGTCTTGCTCTTTGCAGAAGGATTGCGTCAGCCTAAAAAGCGGATCTTTTTGTCTCCATCCGCTGCCACAAAGCTGTTGACGGAGGCTATCTGCCCAAGTTGGCTGCCTTCTCTAGCTCTTATCAGTAAACTTATCTGCCTCATTGTGACATATCTACAACAGTTGCTTAGCCTTATTCAATCAGTATTGGAAGACAAGTGGAATCATCTTTCTTCTCATAGGAAATTTTTTGAATGGAAACTTGCCCTCTTAAATATGTACCGCCAAAATTTAGCCCTGCTGTCCCACGCAAAGGCTGTACATGACCTGGATATCGTCATGGGGCATGTCCTAACTATAATCATCATTTTCTCAAGTGGATGTACATGACAGATCTTTGCAGCTGTGTGTGAAGAGAGAAGGGAGGAGAGCTATATGTTTTGTTTTGTTTTGTTTTGTTTGCTCTGGAGAATGTTGGGCATATCCTGTTGTCAGCATTCCGTACATCTCAGGTGGCCGCCCACTAGCTCTGTGTTTCTGGGAGCATTCTCCTCACTAGAGCCCTCGCGTGGGACTCTGGATCTTGTGCTTGAGTCTTGTCTGTTTCCCTGGTTTGGAAGATTCTCTTTTCTGTCATAGAAAACTCACAGAAGTTGGAGTCCAGCCCTGGTATGGGGCTCTGGGCTCAAGCCTTTCTGATATTTGCTGTTTTACTTAAGAAAAGTACTTATTTGATCTCTTCCCTTCCCCCGGGGCAGCCTTGATTTGTTTTAAATGAATCATCAGTCGTCTGTCCAAATCTCACTGTATCTCAGCGTCTTCTAAAGACAGTAGCCCTTAGAGTTGATGGCAGTCTTGGGCTGACATTCTACATAAGTGAAACAATTTGAGAAATATAAAACATGATCAAAATAAGAGCAAGAGAATATTTTTATGTCCCCTTTACATCAGTGGCTCGCACCCTTTTCTTTTTCCCCCAGTCAGCCAGGAGATGTTCTCTACTCCTTTCTGGTGTGCGGTGTAGGAGTCTGGTGGCGGGTAGAAGGAGACTACTGAAGTTGGAAAATGCTTAATACCCCCTTTCTTTTTGGAGAATCACTGTTCTATGAATATATCCTCAAGGGACTTGCTGCAGAGACACAGTCAGAATCACAGAGGGTCTGACACGGTCAGAATCACAGAGGGTCATTCATGACTCAGTAGATGTTTGTTAAGCACCTGTCCTTGGCTCGGGACTGTGTTAAGAACCAAGGGCATATAAAGACAGATGGGAGGAGACCCTGGCCGGGGAGAGGAAGAAGCATCTACATAGGTACTAAGTACCATTCGCTGTAAGTGTAAGACAGGAGGTGCTAAGTACCACACAGGGGTTACAAATAAAGAAGTCCTGGAGTTCAGAGGAAGGACTGATTGCTTCTCATAGAGGGGATTGTGTAGGATTTCTGGGTAGTTGTGGAACCGCCGCCTCCTCCCACATGAAGGAGGGCCCTGAGGACCCTGGAAGGTTGGGCCGGTTGCTCACAAATCACCCTCCTGTCTCCTCCTCCCAGTGTCTCTTCAGTGTTTTGCCATTCATTCTCAGGCTCAAAATTACTTCTCTTTTGTCCATTTGTATCCACTTAAGCAATTTTTAAAAATAATTAAACTTTTTTTATTGTGGTAAAATATATATAACATAAAATTTGTCATGCTAATCATTTTTAAGTATACAGTTACACAGTGGTTTGAAGTACATTCATAGGGTTGTATAACCATTACCACCATCTAGTTCCAGAATGTTTCGTCATCCCGAATTGAAACTCTGTGCCCGTTCAGCAATAACGCTCATTCCTCCTCCCCCTGCCCAGCCCCCAGTAACCTCTCTGCTGCTTTCTGTCTCTGTGAATTTGCTGATTCTAGGTACCTCCTAGAAGTGAGATCATGTAGTATTTGTCCTTTGCTTCATCCATGTCATGGCATGTATCCAAATTTCCTTCTTTTTAAAGGTTGGATAATGTTCCATTGTATAGACTACATTTTGATCCGTTCATCTGTTGTTGGAAATCTGGGTTTGAATCCTGGGCTCTTAAAGCATTGTGCAGCTGGGCGCGGTGGCTCACACCTGTAATCCCAGCACTTTGGGAGGCCAAGGCGGGCAGATCACAAAGTCGGGAGATCGAGACCATCCTGGCCAACACGGTGAAACCCCGTCTCTACTAAAAATACAAAAAAAAAATTAGCCAGGCGTGGTGGCGGGTGCCTGAAGTTCCAGCTACTCCGGAGGCTGAGGTGGGAGAATGGCGTGAACCCAGAAGGCGGAGCTTGCAGTGAGCCGAGATCACACCACTGCACTCCAGCCTGGGCGACAAAGTGAGACTCTGTCTCAAAAAACAAAACAAAAAAAAAGCATTGTGCATCGTGGCTTGTCATTGTCAGTGTCACCTATGCCCTCTGTTTAGACTTGAACACCCACGCACGACTGGGCTGATGTGCTCAGCTCTTGAGGTCTGTGGGCTTTGGCTTCAGACCCAGGCACTCATCCTGTTCTCATGTGGAACTAGGGCAGGACATTTGACTCCTGTACAGTTTCCTGATCTTTGAGCTGAAGGCAGTAACAACCCCGTGCAGTAAGGACTGTGACGAGGACGCATTTAGCCCTGTGCGCAGTCCCGTAGCACAGCACCTGACACACGGCAAGTGCTTAAGCACAGTGGCTCCTAACAAACTCATAACTAAGCCCATTTCCCCAAACATCTTCCTTCCCCTTTCCTATCCTATCCTATCCTATCCGCTTGAGCCCTATCGTTTGTTCCAGATTAATGTGCGAAAGTGCGAGCCCTGAGGTCAGGAGGCACTTCTAGTAGCCTTGTCTCTGTCCCTGGGGCATGAAGGATAGCTCATTTTCCCAGATGATTCTCATTTGTCAAGGACCAGCTCAGCTGTGCCTTCTCCATGCAACCCTCCCTAAGAGCAAATGCTCCCTGTCAGAATTCATTTTGCACTTACTGCTACTCTGTTATCCACTATTTTGTGTATACATTTATGTTATGTCTTTTAATTCCAAGCCCAATATAAGATTCCTGTCCCAATATAAGATGAAAGTGTCCCAAAATTCTCCTTCAGCCTTCCTAGTTAAGTCTTACCAAGGCTGTCATAGTATGAGGTGCTCTCAGCCCCTGTATTTGGAACAGCCTCGGGGAGAGAGGGCACCTTGTCCTGAAACCGTCTCTACCAGTCCTAGTCATGGGTCCTTGTACAGGTCAACTAGCTGAATTAGACTTTTTCTACAGCAAATGTAATGCTAGCTGGGTAATTATTTCTTAGGGTTTCAGCTTACAAAGGCAAATGTTGGTTGTTACTGTAAAAAGTGCATTTAAAAATCAGTTTAAAAAGCTATAAATAGAGTATGAGGTTTAGTTAGATAAATGTGGACCCATAGGACAAAATTTCTCCTGTTCTAATATCATTCAAATGTGTTCTTGTGACTTGGGAGAATTTTTTCACTAGTAGCACATACATGACTTCAAAAACTGCTTCAATTTCAACAACTTCAGTGGAAGAGGAAAATGTGAATGTATGCCACAGAAAACCATTCGATGCCTCAAAAAGTGGCTGTAGAGATGCCCCAAACCCTGTTTGAAGATGCATATTCAAAGAACTCAAATAACATATTAATGAAATGTGGTTTATTTGTTTATTTTATTTTTATTTTTTTTGAGACAGAGTCTCGCTCTGTCGCCCAGGCTGGAGTGCAGTGGCGCGATCTCAGCTTACTGCAAGCTCCGCTTCCCAGGTTCACACCATTCTCCTGCCTCAGCCTCCCAAGTAGCTGGGACTACAGGCGCCTGCCACCACGCCTGGCTAATTTTTTTTTTGTATTTTTAGTAGAGATGGAGTTTCACCGTGTTAGCCAGGATGGTCTTGATCTCCTGACCTCGTGATCTGCCCGCCTCGGCCTCCCAAAGTGCTGGGATTACAGGTGTGAGCCACCGCGCCCGGCCTAATGAAATGTGAATTTAAAACAGTATTTCTAAAGTAATTTAGTTCTTCATGTGATTTAACTGGAGATGTAGTTTAATGAATACAGAAACTGCTATAAGATATTTGACCCTGCATCCTAAAAATTTATCTGTTCAAATTCGACATATTGTGTTTGAGATCTCTTTATTTTGGGGGGCATATATGATATTTGTGACCAATGTGAATGGTTGAGGTATGGTCCTCATTTTACTGGTTAACAGTTCAAAGCTTTGTGTCTCACTCTTTCTCTGATAACTTTATAAGGGGATGGGCAGGGAGTGGTTTAAGTGTAGAAGTATTCAGCTGGACTTGAATATTTCAATAAGTCAGATTAATAAAATCAGGGCATCTGCTTTGTTTCTTCTTTTTACATCCTTAGGAAATTCAATTGGTGATCTATAAGATCACTTTAATGAAAATTAAGTGGGTTTAAGATTTATTATACTTAATTGGGAAGAAAAAGCCACAAGGCAGTGGGTGGGAATAACTGACTCCCTGTGGAACCACTTGCATGTTTGTTATGGGATCCCAAAGTTACCCCAAATCTTTCTCCTGATGCTCAGAGTGAGGAGATGGGCCCAGAGCAGTGACCACAGTCAGGGAGATCAGTGGGATAGGGTTTGGACAGCAACCTCTGCTTTCCTCTCCAGCTGGGAGACTGGCATCTCTTTTGAGCTGCCGTACCTCCCTCTCTCTAGGGAGAGCCTGACTGCTCTTTTGGTTCAAAAGGGAATGGCTTAAGCAAATCTAACTTTAGGGAATTTGCCAAGCCAGGGTTAAGGAGCACGAATCCAACAGGTTTGGAGTGGTGCTTTGAAAGAGCAGCAAATGGCCTGGCTGCTGCTCTCTTGTTCCTCCCTGAAGCCTGAGCTCTGCCCAGCTAGTGAATGACAAAGGGGGCGCTTTCAGCCTCTGTAAATAGCCTATTGTACAAGGGGAGGAGGCGGGGCACGGAATGGCAGCATCTTGCCAGCTTGGGTTGCTGCGTTAAGGAAAGATGTCAGGCTTTCTTAATTTGCCACTGCAGGGGCAAGGGTGTCATTTATGTGGGTTTGTTTGAGGGCTGCATTCCTAGTGAAGTATTCCATCAAACTGCCATTATTCATCTTGATGAAAGCTTGAGGAACTTTAGAAGGAGAGAAACATCCAGACCACCCGGTTTTTGGTTTCTAAATGACATGAAGAGAATACAATGTTAATGTAAGTAAAAGTTTGCAGAGTTGCAGGGGCAGTGTGTGTGTGTGTGTGTGTATGTTTGTGTATGTGTATCTTCAAGAGAATGATGTCCTTGTGAGTCACCTCTGGCCCTGAGCCACTATTTTCATGGTACAAATAAAATGGTGAAGAGGTGAACCTTTGTGTATAGTGGGCCTTGAACTCACCACGTGTTCAGAGGCCAGGGTGATACAATAAATGCTAACGTTTTTGTAAGACATTGAGCATTTAGGTGGACCTCAGGAGGGAGCTGTCATAATACCTGGGAGTGTGAGTACTGGAAGGACTTTAGAAACCTGACCTCATGGTTCCTAACCTGGGTTGGGCTAAAGGAGACTTGTGATAGTTATGTGTGTTCTCAGGGGAGAGGGTCAGTGGCTTAGCATAGTTAAGAATTATTAGCATAGGTTGGATTTAGAGTCACATTGGTTGGTGTCCCGTTCTTGACTAACATCCTGGGGAAGGCTTATAAGTCTCTGGCCTTGGTTTCTTCCTCATCAGTTTGCTTTTGTGATGTTCAGATAAGACACTGGATATGAAAGCCTTTCCAAAACACTAAGTAAATGCTAATTGCATTTTTAGTTCTATCCAAAGTTTGGGTAGACGGGTACCAGGATTTTGGTTTCTGACAGTCCGTGCAGTTCAGTTTCCATCACCCTGCCTCGCTATGCCTGTCTCTGCCCAGGTCTATTTAAAGGAATCTCCTGTGCTGGATCTTTACACTGGGCTTGTGCCCAGATTTCCTTGGCCATTGTTACCTTCCCCATCCTTCTGTGGTTTTAGACTCCAGGTTTACAGAAAACCCAGCTGAGCAAACCCACTTTCTGTAAGAGTGGGGAGGAGGGTGCACAGGAGTGGCTGTAGAGGAAGGAGAAGCTGGCTGTCAGTAGCCTTATGTGTTCCCAGCTGGGAAATACTGGCTCCTTAAGCCTTTAAGCCAATTGAATTATATTTTTGGCAAACAGCGGCATGATTTACATGCCCAGGCTATAAATTTCCTTAGATGTTTATATGGAAATTTGATTTTGAAAGAATAAAGAAATATTCAAACCAGAACACTACTGGAATAAGAATACAATCTGTCTGAGTTTTACCATTTGTTAGCAAGTGTATGAGTCTTAGTCCTTCTTAGAGACCCCTTAGTCTAATGCTTATGTTCACATACAGCGTTGAAAGACTATTTCTTGTGCCTGATTTTCTTTGGATGTAGGTGTACCTCCATTTTTAAATACCCCAAGTGCCTTTTCCTTAATAGCAGTTAATAGAAGGGAAAAGATTTATAATGCTATCAGTGTCTGTTTAAGAGTTGTTCTTCACACATATCTAAATGAGCTATTGTCTTAGTTCTTTATGCATAGACTATAGTTTTCCTATGTATAGCATTAATCAGTTTGTTCAGTGAAGTTGGCTTGCAGCTTGTTACCTGGCTGCCATTTAAGAGGCATGAATTAAACTGCTATAGTTTGTCATTATCACCCACTAAATATAGGAATTTGGCTGGATTCAAACCCTTAGTATTATAGATTAGTATCTAATGAAATGTTCTTGTACACATGCTACTAAATATATAATTTTCTGAAGTTTTTTTTTTAAAGTGTTCTTTCTTAGATTTAATAAACTTTCTTGGTGTAAAGCAGTCTATAGCATGGCTACTGCTGATGCTTAAAATAGACAAATTAATCCCCTGTGTCTGACTGTATTTGTTTACAGAGGAATTATTTAAGATTCTCACTCAGGGATGTGATCCTGTTGAACAGCACCTGCAAATTCACACAATCTAGGTTTTATGGGAGTTACTCTAGGAGCTTTGGGGAGAGAAGAGAGAAAGGCATGGCAGTGTGTGTCGGGGTGAGTACTTCCTATTCAGGCCTGGAGTGCTGCAGGGTGATGAAGACAACTAGAGGTGGAAGGATTTGAGGGCAAGGCAAGTTTGCACATTATATTCCCAAGGCTGCTTTGAGGTTGTGGAGTTGCAATACTGTTTCTGAAATCTGAACACTCAGTGTCAATAGGACATGGACTTGATTTGTCTGCTTATCCCGCCTGGTGTACATCCCTTCCTCAGAAAGGCCTTCCCCCGTGCCTTGCAGACCTTGCTTGTTTGATTTTTATCTTCCCTGCTAGAAGGTTAGCCCACTGAAAGCCTAGACCAGGTCATCAACACTGTCTTCCCAGCGCCTGGCCAAAGCCTGGCTCACACTAGGTGCTCAGATATGCAGTGACGGGAGTAGCTCAATTCCTATGTATTCGTCTAGAATAAATCTGCTGTCAGCATGCTCTGGGCAATCTGTTTCTTTCTTGGTATGCCTTACCTTGGTTAGACATACCACCCGGCATCCTATCCTTCATTTCAGTGGTTTAAAAAATATATGCCCGTTGTCTCTTATTGGGAAGCTGAGCAGAAAGAAAACAGTGTCTGTTTTCAGAACCGGTCCTGGCAGCAACACTCACTGATGCCTGTCCCTGCCCATGGGTGGAGCAGTGGGGTGACTTTGCTGCTGGCTGCCCATTGGCCTATCCTCCACCCTCTGCTCTCCTGAGAAGTCAAGTGTGGATTTTGTCTGCTAGTTACCTTTAGCCCAGTGGGCAGCAGCGTGGGGCTCGGCATGTGACTTGTGCCCTGAGAGACCTTGGTAGGCTGGGGGAGCGCAGCTGAGCCCTGCTAACCCCCGCCCACTTCCAGGCTCATTGCCCTCTTCTGTGTCTGCAGTGGGGTGTCACCTAGTAGTCAGCTGTTGGTGGCACAGATGGTGAGTGGTTTTGTTAAGTGCTGGTGCCTTCTTTCCAGAACCATGGCCTGAAGAAATCTGCTTATCTGTTCTTTCTTTGCTGTCATGGTAAACCTTGAAATTTCGTGTGTGTGTTTGTGTGTGTGTGTGTGAGTGAGTACACTTACATGGATTCATTGTAGCAGAGATTGAATGAGCAGAGCAAATACATTATGTTGGTTCTGGTAGTATTAATGGCCTGTAAAACAGAGACCATTAAATTTAAAATTAATTTCATTTAAATTTAAATTTTAGCAGAAAATTTCTGTATTTTAACAAAGAAAAAGAGATGCAAATCAAAACCACAATGCATTTCTCTGATGACCAGTGATGATGAGCATTTTTTCACGTGTCTGTTGGTGGCATAAATGTCTTCTTTTGAGAAGTGTCTGTTCATATCCTTTGCCCACTTGTTTGTTGTTTTTCTTGTAAATTTTTGTTTTTTTTCTTGTAAATTTGTTTGGGTTCTTTGTAGATTCTGGATATTAGCCCTTTGTCAGATGGACAGATTGCAAAAATTTTCTCCCATTCTGTAGGTTGCCTGTTCACTCTGATGGTAGTTTCTTTTGCTGTGCAGAAGCTTCTTAATTTTGTCTGAACACTCCTTGTAGGCAGTGTTTTTACCTGCGTGCTTTACTTGTTCTGCACTCAGGATGAATCACAGAGCGTTGGTAGAGGAAATAATCATAAAATCTAATATTTTTGAGCACTTTCTAACGTGTGTGAGATCATTCTTACCTCTTTATGTGAGTCATTTAGCAGTCAGAAAAGCCCTGCGAGATAAGGTGCTATTTCCGTCTCCATTTACAGATGAGGAAACTGAGGCACAGGGAAGGGAGGTCATATGTCCCAAATCATACAGCTCATATGCCAGGGAGGCAGAATTTGGCTCTAGCATCTAGGGTCTTTTTTTTTTTTTTTCTTTTTTGAGACGGGGTCTCACTTTGTTGCCCAGATTGGAGTGCAGTGGCACGATCCCGGCTCACTGCAACCCTCTGCCTCCTGGATTCAGGCGATTCTCCTGCCTCACCCTCCTGAGTAGCTGGGATTACAGGTGTCCACCACCACACCTGGCTAATTTTTGTATTTTTTGAAGAGATGGAGTTTCACCGTGTTAGCCAGGCTGATCTCAAACTCTTGACCTCAGGTGATCCACCCGCCTCGGCTTCCCAAAGTGCTGGGATTACAGGCATGAGCCACCGCGTCCGGCTGCATCTAGGATCTCAAATACTATTCTGTACTTTCTTTCCAACACTGTGCTGTATTCCCTCTTTAGATATCTGGTGGTTGGTTTAAAGTTTATGCACACCAATTTATCTGTTTGTTTCTTTTGGCTATAATGTCTTGGGGAGTGTAAAAGAAACTCATCTTACCAGATAGCCAACTATGGGTTTCCCAGCATTTATATTGCCACTGTTGTCGTGTGAGGAGTACAGAAGGTGAAATTTACATTGGTGTGTTTAACCAGTTTGGGAACTTGTTCTGAGATCTGTTGGAAGAAATAGAAACTGATGGCCCTTAGGTGGTTTGGGCTTGTACTTCCCCTTCACTCATATTCCCATTAGCCTTGACAATGAGAGTCGAGTGTTTTTGATTAGGTGGATGGACGAGAGCAGAGACGTAGTAGCAAAGAAGAAAATAGAAACTTAAATCTACTTATTTGAGTTTTTATGGGAAGAATTCTTCTTGAGTAAAATCTTTTTAATATGGTTAATGAAAGGAAGAGAATGGGGTTTTTTCAATACAAGGTAATGGAGAAATAGAATGAAAATGAAATCCTAAAGTGTTTTTAGAAAAATGACACTTGACAGCCAGGAAAAGCCCCGGATCATTAGATTGTGGGTTTAATGCCTGGACTGGCCGAGCAGCTACCCAATTAGATGGCTGGCCGGTGGAATTTTGGAGTTCTGGAGAGGGGTCCTGCTTCCCTGGAACGAACGTGACATTTTTCTCTCCCAACAGAATTCAGCTTAGAGAACTATCAACACAGGACAATGCAAGCCCATGAGCTGTTCCGGTATTTTCGAATGCCAGAGCTGGTTGACTTCCGACAGTACGTGCGTACTCTTCCGACCAACACGCTTATGGGCTTCGGAGCTTTTGCAGCACTCACCACCTTCTGGTACGCCACGAGACCCAAACCCCTGAAGCCGCCATGCGACCTCTCCATGCAGTCAGTGGAAGTGGCGGTGAGTGGAGGGCCCAGCCTGCCTCGTGCGTTTTCTCCGCATTTCCCCAGATGAGCTGAGCCCTGTTGAATGTGATAGCCATCAAGATCAAATATTTGTTTATAACTGCACTTTGTAAATGGAAATGTGCCAAATTACTGATGGTGGTAAATAGAGGTACAGGGCAAAATATAGGCACAGGGACAGATGAGAGGGTGTCGGTTGGGTGTCTACCTCTCGTCACATGGAAGATCATTCTAGAAATGACATTGAGTTTCTACGCTGTGGTAGGCACTGTGGTCAGCCTGGAGGATTCCATAAGGAAAAATATAGCACAGAACCCCTGTTCTCACAGGGATTAGATTCTGGCAGGAATGAGAGTTTTCAAACAAATGTTACCAAAAGAATGCACTCGTGGTACATCTGACGCTTAGAACATATCCCTAGCCTGTTGGAAGGGACTTTGGGATTTCAAATAGAATAGGGCTGGAGTAAGAACTTGACGGAAGAACACGGCTGCAGAATTCGGGGCAGGACATGAAGAAACAACCCTCAAGAGGCGCGTCTGGCTGGGCTGCTGAGCGCCGTGGTTGTGTGTGACTTGGGCAAACTGGAGGCTGTGCTCTCATGTTAGGAAAATGAAACTGGAATGCGGGCAATTAGGGCTTAATAGGAGGGATGGCGTAAGGAAACCTTAGGATCCTTTCAGGAAGATTCTTAGTGCTCCTGCTCTCCCTGCCTTCCCTAGTGAGAAAGGCAGGGTGTGGAGAAGATGAAGAGGCCGCATGCTCACTGGTGCTTCCACTCCTCACCTGTTCTTTGGTTTTCTCTGTGGTCGCTTGCTTTCCCCTACCCAAGTCAGTCACCCTTCAGTGTTTCCCGCATTCAGCAGATATGCAGAAGAACATTGTGAAACACAAGATCCCCCCATTTACTGCTTCCAGATGTAAGAGATGGAAGGCCTCCCCCACCCCCCCGGGCTGACTGCCGCAGAGGGAGTGTGTGCCCTTCCACATAAAGCCCTGGCTGGAGTCAGCATTTTTGTTATTTATGGGATTCTAGGTCTTTGTTTTATTTTAGACAAGTTCTTGGATTCATTAATGTGAAACTCTTAAAATATATAAAAGATTCTTCAGTCTAATTCATGCCAAAATATAAATATAGAATGACTGAACTACAGCTGAGAAAAGTTAACTTTCTACTTGATTTCTATTTAGAAGGTCAGGGTACCTTAATATTTCACCTCAGCTAATCACATAGGCTGGGGAATGAGTGGAATCTCCCTTTTCCTAAGGGATTCCTGTGAGGTTCTGGCATTCCTTCTCTACTGGCAGAGCACCTGATGTGTCACGGCAGCGCTGCCATCTCCATGAAGAGTTGTTGGCAAGTGCAGTGTTAAGACATGTATAACTTAGCAGTAACTGTAAGAAATGAGTAATTCCTATTATATGAGAAATTGTGGGGGCACTTACGTGTGGTTTTAAAGCTTTAGCTTAGCATAAAGGCATTGTGCCTTGTTAAAATAATTACATATGTTCTCTCTAGAACAGTTTAAAACTTGAGATATGCAGCAAGAAATGAAAATCTATAATTTTACTGCCCAGTATAGAGGCTTCCTGATTTTTCTCTGTTTATAGACATTGATTTAGCTCTGATTTTCAGAATTTGTGGGGCTTAGAAATAGATACTGAGCTTGCTTTGCCTTTTTAAAAAAGAAGTTAAAAGTTTAAATTTAAAAGTAGCTCTGGAATTCTGGTGCTTAATAATTACAGATGCTTTGATATAGCTAGCATCATCCTGTGGACACCTAGGGCAGGGAAAGAGGAACTTGATTCACTTCATAAGGTACCGGTGAAGAGCCTGTGCATCTGGCACTGCTGCGGGGGGCTGGTGGCCGGAGTGGAATATTGTTGCTGTGTTCCTACTTTGAAAACAAGTAAGCAGGGTTTGCCAGTTCCCACCCTCATTCTGCACCCCCATCTCACATGCACAGTTTTTATCACCCTCCTTGTCCAATAAAGTTTACACGGATACTAAAATGAGAAGAATCCGCACTTTTTGGTTTGGCCACTTCTCATCACAACCCACGCTGGCTGTTTCCCAGCTACTGATTTTTAAGGCAGTAGCACAGAGGTTCTTTGTAAATTATACCTTCTGAAATTTCCTTTTAAAAATCAGGATTGTAGAGCTGGGTGCAGTGGCACATGCTGTAATCCCTGCACTTTGGGAGGCCGAGGTGAGAGGATTGCTTGAGGCCAGGAGTTTGAGACCAGCATGGGCAACATAGCAAGGCCTCATCTCTATAAATTTTTTTATTTTAATTAGTTGGGTGTGGTGGCTCATGGCTGTAGTCCCAGCTACTCGGGAGACTGAAGTGGACGAATCATTTGAACCCAGGAGTTGGACACTGCAGTGAGCTATGACTGTGCCACTGCACTCCAGCCTGGGCAACAGAGCGAGACCTTGTCCCTAAGAAAAATAAAAATCAGGGTTGTAAAGAGGAGGTTAACACTCATGCTGGTCACCTCTAATGAAGACCTAAATTAGAGAACAGGACAGACAAGCTGGGTTAGGAACAGAATCCAAAAAGTGTTTCTTAAGTGTTGGAGCCCGGACTGATCAGGGCCCTGTCTGGAGAACCACGTCCTTGTGTCTGTAGTGGCAGCTCACAGTCATAACTGTGATGCCCTGCGTGCCAAGGAAGAGCTTCTATCTTCTGAAGGATTTTGCTGCTGCTGCTCTGTGACTTTGAGCAATGGATAGAAGCAGATTTTGTGGGTTTGCTTTCTTTTTACATCACTGTCACAGATAATGCAAGATTTCTGGTGTTAGCCAGTGTTCCGGTTTAGCCTGGCTACATGTTTTAGCCTCTTCTCTGAGATTGAAGCCCCATGGCCCCCTAGTGAAAACGATCTTCACTGGAGTGACTGGAAACCTTTTCGGATTGGTCGGAGCCCAGACACACGTGGTTGCAGTTAAGCAAAGTACAGGAGCATGTTGGAGCGGAAAGGGACCAGGGAAAAGAGGGATGGGGCAGATGTGGGACTGGACTCCAACTTAGACCAGGCAACCTTGGGCAAGTTCACCAGGATTTTCTGACCTTCAGATTCCTCATATGGAAAACCGAAGTGACAGTACCTTTCCTCCTTCAGTGTTGCTAAGAGGACTGAAGAGTTATGCAATGTCTGCTTGGCCCACAATAAGTATGCAGCAATGTTACTTTTTTCCCTTTGTCTTTTAATCTTCATATTTTATACACAAGAAAACTGAGTCCAAAGAGGTAAAATTATATCATACAGTTAGTAGAAGGTCCAGAACTCTGTTATGCTGCCTTCATTATAGTAGTAGAAAGTTGTATATTATAACTAGGGCTTTGGGGAAGGGGGCAGTAAACCAGGATAGAAAGTTTGGATCTGTCCAGATCAATATGAAGAGTCAGTGGCTTGAGCCTCTAAACCCAGGAGCAGGCTTGTTTGTTTGTTTATTTATTTAGAGACAGGGTCTCGCTCTGTTGCCCAGGCTGGAGTGCAGTGGTGTGGTCATAGCTCACTACAGCCTCAAACTCCTGGGCTCAAGCTGTTCTCTCACCTCTAACTCCAGAGTAGCTAAGACTATAGGCATGCACCACCATGCCTGGCTAATTAAAAAAAATTTTTTTAGAGATGAGGTCTTGCTGTGTTGCCCAGGCTGGTCTCAAACTCCTGGGCTCAAACAATCCTCCCACCTTGGCCTCCCAAAGTGCTGGGATTACAGGTGTGAGCCACAGCACCTGGCCTAGAGCAGGATCTTTTGAAAATGGATATGCAGGCAAATGAGTCTAAAGGTAGTGATGGAAATGGAAGGAGCAAAAGGGACAGGTAAAATAAAAACAGAGTCTAAGTTCTGTTGGGTATAGGATCAGAAATTGTCAAGAATCGGGTAGTGGGCTGGGCACAGTGGCTGACGCCTGTAATCCTAGCACTTTGGGAGGCCAAGGTGGATGGATCACCTGAGGTTAGGAGTTCAAGACCTGCCTGACCAATATAGTGAAACCCCGTCTCTACTAGAAATACAAAAATTAGCCAGGCGTGGTGGCGTGTGCCTGTAATCCCAGCTACTCGGGAGGCTGAGACGGGAATTGCTTGAACCTGGGAGGCGGAGGTTGCAGTGACCCGAGATTGCACCACCGCACTCCAGCGGGGGCAACAGAGCGAGACTCCATCTCAAAAAAAAAAAAAAAAAAAAGAATCAGGTAATGGAGAGGACTGGCATGAAGGGGGCACAGGACTGTGAAAACCTGAGTGACTCTGTCCTTCCCTCATCCTCTATCCCTGAACCAGGTCAGACATAGATGGAATCAGAGCAGGAGTTGGTGTTGATGTGGTTTCAGGTCCACCTATCAGAGTTTGAGAGATTTAGGCCATGAACCATTATGAATATAGATGAGAACCTTTGTAATTGCTGAAGGAGGTAGTAGTGCAGGCAAGTCCTGTGTGCAAGACCTGCTGCTCCCAGTTAGTACGGACCCCTGTGACATTCACAGAAGTTCAGAATGTCTGAGATGCTCTGCAGGCTACCTTATCTCCGTCTGCAGCTACACCTCCAGTGATCACAATCAGTGCTACGCTGGCACAGCCAGCCTGGCCCTGCTCTGGATTGGAGGCATCCTCAAGGGCTGCTTGCTGTGGAAGCAGTTTCGCTGGACCGAGAGGAGCCACTGGAATTTTGGGTACTGGGCCTTAGGGTCACCCGGGAATGGGAATGGCTGCTGTGTGGCCCTGTTTGCCAGAGGGGGCCATTGGTGATGAGCCCCATGCAAGTGGCATCTGCCCTTCACCTGCTCCTTCTAAGCCAGCGGGATGGAGACCCTCCAGAGAGAATATGTGAGTTCCTCTCCTTATGAGAGCCGTGGTATGGGCATTGAGATGACTGACTTGTCAAATTAGTTCGGAAAGATTTTTGACAACTACTACAAGATCATAATGTACTTGAACAAAAACCTGTGATATGTGTTATTTGTTTGTTTTTAGATATTGGAGAAGGGAATAAATTTTAGCAAGTAAAAACTTTTTTATGCCTTCACGTCTTTTCTAAGACTTAATTTTAAGAATATCAGAACCTGGATTAAGGTTTACTTCTGGTGACTAACCCAGTTAGTCTATCACAGATTCACTGTTTAGATTGTTATCAGACCTTGGTTCCAGCATGGGTTCATATCTTACAATACACAGAACCAGTTCCTTGGGTATAACTGATCTCGTTTCCTAGTTGGATGACTAAATTCCACACCAAACGATCTCTTGACCTCCAGGTCACATGCTGGCCGGTGGCCCTTTTGCATGAGAGATTGAAATTTGTACATCCATATGTTAGCATATATATGGTTAGCGACTTGCTTTAGCATTTTAATCCTATGCTTCATAAAGCCTGCCACAGAGGATGTGGCGCTTTGGGTTTCATTCTCCACAAGTCACAGAGAATAGTTATCAGATCTATATTCACTCAGCAAGGACTTGAGTTTTTCTGGCATGATGTGCACAGTACCAGGGCAGAGAAGGCTGCTGCCCTCAGGGAGCTCCAGGCCAGCAGGAAGTACCGCTCGGACCCCTTGTCCTTGGCAGAGGGTGAGAGCCATCTTGAGACTAGAGCAGTCAATGCAAGTGACTTGTTTTCATGCCATAGAACTACAGCTGTGGGTTCATTCTCAGGTAAGGATTTGGAAGAAGCAAACTAAAGGCAACATATCCAGGCTGTGGGAGCCACGCTCAATCAACAGCATGGTTTACAACTCAAAAGTCACACTCCACCAGAGGCCTTCTCAGTGTCATGGCCTGCATGAACAAACCACAGACCTCCAGCTCACATGCACACTGCAACAAGGACTGGCATCCTTCATCCATGTTTAGAGGGTGTATATGGAGCATATTACCAAGTAGGATTTCCCCGTGTGGCTGGTGGAATCCCTCATTTCCACGTAACCATACTTCACACATGTACGCATGTAAAGGCCCACTTGCAAACTAGGAGAAATAATTTTTGCAGGAGAAGAGAGCAGCTCGTTGATTCATAAGTTTTTATGAAGACTCACACCAGACTTGTGGAGGTAAAGCAAGTGTGGGCCTATAGGGATCATGCCAGTGGAAACGCTAAGGGCGGCGAGACACCCTTCTGGACTTGAGTGGCTGGGGCCCGCTGTGAGCGGGAGCTGTTGTTGATCTGGGCAGGATTACACGTGTCTGTGAGGCAGACATTTAGAGACAAGCCTTAGTGGAAACTGCCAGGAGTGGGCAGGAAGGGAGCTGTCCAGGAAGGGCAGCTGGGGTTGAGTTGGATGGTGGTGTCACTCGCCCTCACTGACACCAGCCTGATGGGTCTGAAGAAGGTCTGTCACAGTCAGTTGCAAGGCAGGGCAATAGATGAATGATTTTGAACCAGGTGGGAGGTATCAGGTGAACGCTGAGAGGCAGGGACAAGTATTAGGAACAGTAGTAGCATCTGGTTGTTTCTGCAGTCATTTGTAAATATGACCTAATAAATACTGTTTCTACAGTCATTTGTAAATGTAAACCTAATTCTCATCTCTGGGAAGCTTTGGAACAGAAATCAGTTATCCGATGTGTATTTAACTAGAAGCCTGTGTGAGACTTCAGAAGAATCTCCTGATCCAATGCTCTGGTTACATCCCTATCCTTCATCCTTATGGAAATCTGGGATGTTTTTAGGCATTAACTTCCATTTATTACCATATGTGATTGCAGATTCCGGGTCAGTGTTCCCCATGGCCTGTTATTCCATGGTCTTGATAGCAACATAATTGTGCAAATGGTCAAATGAAGATGGGAGCAAAGATTTCCCCTTTTAATTCTACCCCTAGCAACTTTGCTGACGTTGTGCTCAGAGAATTCCTGAAAAGTATTCCAGCATTTGAGGACATTTGCGGCAAGCGATCCTGGCAGTTGGGGCAGTGGGGTGGTGTATTAGTCAGGGTTCTCTAGAGGGACAGAGCTAATAGGATGGATATATAGGAGTTTATTAAGGAGCATTAACTCACACCATCAAAAGGACCCAAAGTAGGCCATCTGCAAACTGAGGAGCAAGAAAGCCAGTCCGAGTCCCAACGCTGAAGGACTTGGAGTCTGATGTTCGAGGGCAGGAAGCATCCAGCACGGGAGAAAGATGTAGGCTGGGAGGCTAAGCCAGTCTAGTCTTTTCAAATTCCTCTGCCTGCTTTTAATTTTGGCCATGCTGGCAGCTGATTAGATTGTGCCCACCCAGATTAAGGGTGGGTCTGCCTTTCCCAGCCCACTGACTCAAATGTTAATCTCCTTTGGCAACACCCTCAACAGACACATCCAGGATCAATACTTCATATCCTTCGATCTAATCAAGTTGACACTCAGTATTAACCAGCATAGCTGGGATGGAGAGACTATGCTTAGAGGGGGTGTTTTTATTTAGAAATGTTATTCTGGCAGGGTGCAAACATCAGCATTTTCATGCCTTGAGGTAACTTCAGCACCTTTTCTAAAACTTAATGAGCTTCTTAATAACAAGTTATGAAAAACCTTGCTAAATTACATTTTCTTACAAATCTACATTACAGGAAACAATTGAGTTGCTTTCTAAGAGACTGTAAGACCTGTCTGCTGACTTAGGGACGCTTTTAGGTGGCTGAATTAGGTGGGAAAAGTGTTAGAGCTGGTAATGAGCAGTGGTGGTTGGGTGGGGTGGCCTGCAGGGTGAGAACTGAAGGCAGAGTTTCTGATCTTTATGCCAAGACCAGGCCACAGGAGTATTAAGTGCCTGGCTTAGGAATTTAAAGAAAGAAAGAGGTTGATTGTTATATTTAAAAAACTATTTCCGGGCTCTCTTTACCCAGGAAGAAAAAGCTAAAGGTCACTACAGATACGTAGGGAATATGATAAAGCAGGTCTGAAAACACAATTTGATTTTGTACAAATGATGTCGCTTCTCACAGGCTTCATTAAACAGAGAACGTGTTTGATGACAGAAACGCATAAAGGACGGAAATGCGTGCTGTAATATTTACTTATGTTTAAAAATAGCCAGATGGAACCAACTGGTGCCAAATGAAAAATGACCAGCGTAGGCTGTGTTTCTTGACAAAACACCTTCAGCACCCATTGTCCAAAAGCTGACCAAAGGTAGTAGATGGGAATGTGGCTCCCTTTGAACTAGGCAGAAGTGAAGCAGATGCCTTGTATATTCAAATGGTTGGCATGTAAATTTCTACGGGCAGTCCTATTTTCTGGAACAATGTGTATTTGTAGGAATTTGGACATTGTGACTTCAAATTTTCTTCCCTTTCATTGAGGCGGGTTTGTGGTCAGCTGATTTTTTTTCTGGTGATGAGATGTTTTGCGAAGTACCGTGTCAGCCTCCTACCCCTACCCCCGTCCCTCTTCAGCAAATCCTCTGGGATAGTGGGGAGCCGGGAAGTTGGAAACTGGAGATGGACTAGGAATGAAAAGAAAAAAGGTTCTGAGGGTTAGGAGCAAGTGTTGAAAAATCAGAAAACCCAGCCAGGCACAGGTGACCTGGACCCCGCCTCCTCAAGGATGAAGGATGTCTCCACACACAGACGAAGGAGGTGTGGGCATGTTTGGGACCTGCCTGTGAACCGCCAAGCAAACCTTGACGTACCTGGATGTCTCATTGAGCTAGGTTCGAAGCTCTGCTCCACTATGTGGTGGACATGGGACTGAGAAGGGAAGCAGCCCCCCCAAGTCTGAGCTTCCTCATCTGGAGAGGGGCTGGCCTTTAGCAGGCTCCATACACATTCACTCACCTCCCATCTTTCCTGCATGCCAGTGTCAGGATAGTTCTGCCCTTCTGTGCTCAGCTGGGAGGAAAGGATCTTGGGAAGTCAGCTAGTTCAGTAGTGAGTACGAATAGTGAGCGTGAGGCCTCATTGTTACCTTGTGACATTTACAGTTCACTGTATTGGGGGGAATCTGGGAATTTTAAAAATATCTGTCCATTGTCATTTAGAAATTATTGTGGAGGGGGAGTTGCCCAGGGGCTGGCCTTTAAAAGACCTAGTGTAATATATCAAAGATGTAGTCTGCTAGATATGAGAATTGATGGCCAGAGTTCCTCTCTGAAAGGTCACTGGATGGAAAAGTAGTTTTGTGTCTTTACAAAAAGAAGCACATGATGGAGTTCTGAGCAGGCTAAGATGCGTGTAAAATGTAAATGCTGAGAAGGACGCGGTTGGCGCTCTGTATCCGTGGATTAAAAATATTCCATGGAAATAAATGGATGGTATTGTCTATTGAACATTGCCAGACATTTTTTCCTTGTCATTATTCCCTGAACAATACGGTATAACAGCTACTTATTTACATCATATTAGGTATTGTGAGTAATATAGAGACCATTTAGAGTATACAGAAAGATGTGCATAGGTTATATGCAAATACTATGCCATTTTATATCAGGGACTTGAGCATCTGGATTTGGGTATCCTGAAGGGGAACAGCTGTATAGACCACATGTTAGGTATTAGAAGGAACAAAAAGGAATCATTTTTACCCCCGGACTGTGGTTCTACATGCTCCTTTGCACCCTAGAGATGGATCCCGCATTAGAACCCAGCCACGTCTTTGGCAGTCTCTTTAGAAGTTACTTGGCTCTGCCTCTCCCCCTTCTACTCCTTGCCCTCCTCTCTCTCACTCTCCCTTCTCACTTTCGCCCTGCGTCCACCTCCCTATCCCTCTCCTGCATAAACAGTAGCAACACAAGGGGCATTTAACTGCTATGGCTGGCAGATGCCCATTTGGAGATGGAGATGAATGAGTCTATGAGTGGTAAAGCTTGGGCTTCTCTACCCCTAAGAAATCCTCAACGGCATCATTTGCTTTTGCACTTAAATAGGAGAGTGGCACAAAATAACTGGCCATCGCGTTCCTGTTAGTCAAATATTGGTGAGAGTTCTGGCCTCGGAAACCTTTGATATGCAGATGTTCACGGTTTTCCTGCCCTTCCTGCCCCCAAGGGGGACTTGAACTTGTTTCCTAATTCAGCCCTTGTGGGGAGACTGACCTCAGGAGGAACCTGAGCTTGTAGAGATGTTGCGGAATATACTCATGACCACCGATTTCACTGTAGTGGGTTTGACTCACTATCTTTTTTTTTTTTTTTTTTAACTGGGAACACTATGTAACCACATTAAAGAGGTCTATAGCAGGAGGAATAAAAGACTCCTAAAGCCTGCTGACTCACTGGCTCATGACTGATTTCCTACACATTCAGCTGGGGTTGTCTGCTTTGCTTGCCCTGTTTCTTGAGCCCAAGCGACCCACACACACTGCCTGCTGATCAGTAGGTTATGTCAGAAGGCCGTAAGGGCCAAATTTAAGCTATTTTTCATTTAAATAGGCGTCCCTAGAAATAGCTACGTGGACTTACCTAATATAGTATTTAAGTCCCCAGCTTTTGAAGTGATTCTGTCTTGTAAAACCTACAAGCATTTCAGACTCCAATTGTTACAGCTTTGCTTCCCAGCACTCAGCTTGCAACCCCTTGCTTGTGTAGATATAACTAAGGTTGCTAACACCCTTTTTTAAATATAGCATTTCTGTTCAAAAAATAGCAACACTGGGCCAGGCGCAGTGGCTCACACCTGTCATCCCAATACTTTGGGAGGCCTAGGCGGAAGGATCCCTTGAGCCCAGGAGTTTGAGACCAGCCTGGGCAACATAGTGAGACCTTGCCTCTACAAATAATAAACAGATTAGCCAAGCAAGGTGGCACGTGTCTGTGGTTTCAGCTACTCAGGAGGCTAAGTGCGAGGATTGCTTGAGCTCAGTCAGACGGTTGAGACGGCAGTGAGCTCTGATAATGCCACTGAACTCTAGCCTGGGCGACAGAGCCTGCCCCTGTTTCGGGAAAAAAAAATAATTCATTATTAGAATGTGTGGTCTTTTCATAGAGCCACAGATTTTGAAGCACAGATCCTAATGTTTTGTGCCCTTCCCCTTCTTATTCAACCCCCTTTCTTGAAATTACAGTTATGTCTGACAACTGAGTGACAGTGTGACCTTTTATCCCGTATCATCGAGCCTTCAATTAGTGTCTCCTTTTGACAGATGTCTCATTTACTGCTTCATTTTCAAGCTTTTCTCATTATTCTAATTGCTAATTAGGGTAATAATAAATATCTTGCCCCAGGTTACATGTCAAGATGTTGCTTTATTGGGGATATCATTCACTTCTTTAACTTTGATTTAGCTTGTTTGCCTCCATGTTTCTCGGATTCCAGAAGATTATACACCACCAAAAACTTAAACCTAACTAAAAAATTATTTAGCTAAAAGTTTGTTATAAAATGGTCCTCCAGAGCAGTGGTTCTCAAAATAAAATTTGGGACATTGACCAAGGTGGTTGACCTGTCTTGAAGGGATATGGTCTCTGTATGTCCAAAGCTAAACTTCATCTCTTTTCTGAAGCCTACCCCCAGTACCCAGTCTTCTATTTGATTAAAGGGGACAGTTTTTCTTCTCAGCCCTCCTTCTTTCTGCTTACACCCCATTACCTGTTAAATCCTGTTCCTGAGTGCTGCAGCACGCCCAGTGCCTTGGTCCTTCCCGGCTCCCAACTCCCACTGCCCTATCCAGGTCTGTAGGAGTTGGTTTCTCCCCAGTCTCTTCCCTCCCTCCTGTTCCACACACTGCTTACGCTTCTTGTAGATTTCTTTCTAACCCATTAGCCCATCCTCACCACTTCCCTGCTGAAAACTTCCCTGCTGGAAACCTGCTGTCCCTAGGAAGGTGCTTCTCAAACTTTAGCATCCCCTGGAGGGCTTCTTAAAGCACAGATTGCTGGATCGCATCCCCAGAGTTTCGGATTCAGCAGGTCTGGTGTGATTTGCTTTCCTAACCAGTGCCAGGTGTTCCGCAGAGCACACTTTGAGAAGCTTGGCTCTAGAATGAGCCTGTGCACCTGAGATTTCAGGCTTGCTTCTGTCTGTTCATCCTGACTCTCCCTGCACTCTTCTGCTCAGCCAGGGTTCCCTGGAGTCCCTGTGGTCACTTAGAGACAAGACGTGGGCTCCTTCAGAACAAGCTTGTGTCTTGTTCACCTTATCCCCATCTGCCCATTCACAGCTAGGGGAACTCCTCTGCAGAGTGCAGAAAGTGGTGTTGCTTTTGAAGAGAGAGCACTGAAAAAGACCATGAATGCATTTCTGTTGTGTCAAGAGGTATAGAAGGCACCTTTGTAAGCAGAGCATCGTGAGGACCTCCCTGTGGGCGGCCAGGCCACCTGCATGTCTAGGCCATGCTGAGACAACCACACTTCACCATCATACTTGGTACTTTTCTTATCTCTTTTCACACCCACTCATTCTTCCTGTTTTCTCTCATTTTGTCCTTTCCCCCTTTCTCTTCCTACCTTAGCCTTGGTGCCTTCGGTGTGTTTGGTGGCTTCATGGGTTGAAAAGGCTTCTGATATTCACTACAAAGCCACAAAATTGCTTCTGAATTTCAGGCTATTTGTTGGAGTCAAGACTGAGGTGATGGAGGACTTGTACTGTAGTTAGAGCATGTTATCGGGTGCACAAGTAATATTCTACACAATCATATTTTACAGGAAAGTTCCTCTTTAACAAAAAATAACCCTGGAAGTGGACTCATGATGTCTCCATTTTACAGAAAAGAAAACAGACTCAGCGATTAAGTAACAATAATGCGTGACACTAAGCAAAGATATTCTCCCATTCTTATGCACACAGAGAATAACGTTTTTGCTTCATAAAGTAGTGTGCTGTAGTTAGTAAGCATGTTTGGAATCACAGCCATAGGTGTTAGAAAGTTTCTGCCGAGAGAGAAGACATTGTGATGATTAAAAGATATGGTTAGGTCATATTTACTCCAGAAAACTATTAGCAGTTTGGGATCAAGAGTGAAATACACACATGTAGCACACAGTAGATATTGACAGAATGTCTATAAATGTATAAGCATAAAAAAAAGACTGGGAGGAATTTACCAAACTACTAATAGTCATCATTTTTCCTTGATATACTTCTGTATCACTTAAATGTTTTTAAACAGTATATACATTATAACTTAAGGGTGGACAAAAAGCAAAAGAGCTTGTAGGAAGAGAAATGGATAATCCTAATAAAAATAGAAGAGTCCATGGAAACAGATCAGGCAGTCATCCCCTTCTAAAGGGTCTCCCTGTGAGTTCATCCCCTGGCACCCATCCACTTCCTCCTCAGCGCGGCCCTCCTCAGCCTGCCGCCCTACTCTGAGACCTAGCTTTTCCACACTTCTTTTTGGTGTCTCCTGTTTTGTTTCATCACACCTTAAGCCAGAAACGATCTCTTCCACTTTTGGACAGCTCTCTCCTCTTGGTACCAGAGGTTATCATATCACAGTCTAATTTCTCCAAGGGTTTCCAGACTGTTGTAAAAGTGAAGGCCCCTCTCTGAAATTAAAAAAAAAAAAAAAGGTAGGCTCTAACGTCATAGTCACTGAGCTTTTATTTATCAGTCTCTAAAGACTGCTTTTTGGCTTTCTGTGGATGTCTGGATGCCTTACAGTGTCCTTTGGCCCCAGAGGACTCAGCAGCTCACATTGGAGACCTGCTACCTGTAAAGACTACTGCTGCTACTGTGGGAGGCTAGGCCCTGCCGCCTTATCCATCATTAGGAGTTCTTGCACATAGCAAATATACTCAGGAAGCTAACAGATGAAGACGACTTAGAGAAAGGTGCACAGCGATGTCAAATCTGCACACCTATAAATGTTGCACCTAAAACTAATAAAGACCTGTGTCTGCACATGCATATGTTTTGTAGCTGATGATTTTAACTGTTAGAGATGCTATGCAAGAAAGTGAAGTTTCTAACAGATGATATTGCGCTTGGTGAGGAGATAAAATAGTGGAAATAGTCTCAAAAAGAATATAGGTAACATTTTAGAAGTATAACCAAATGGGGTTTCATTTCCACCAGAGCTGAACAGGATCAGTCCTCTGTGCTGTGGATGGCAGTGGCTTGAGAACTGTCAATGTGTGTAGTGGTGGCAGTTTGTGGCTCTTCTCTTGCTCTCTTTGGCCTTATCCGGCAGGACCAGCACTTGTAGGTCTGTAAACCTGTTTTCTCTCTTCAGGCATCTTTCTGACTTAGCCGTGGTTCCCCGAAGCCTGTGTTTACCTCCAGGCGAATGATTGGTTTACATCAGCACATCTTGCACTGCAGTCTTTCAGCACTCACTCACTGGGCAGCTGTTCCGCAGGTGGCCGCCTAGAGGGGTGCGGATACCACAGGGGCATATTAGACTTTATATTTAATTTTTAAGCATTTTATTTTTTAATGGACAAATACAAATTATGTGTATTTATGGTGTATAATAGGAACGAGTTCAGGACATCTATTTTTAATAAAAATGGTGACCATGTTCACTATTAGTTGGTGACTGTAGTTAATAACAATGTACCATATACCTGAAATTACTAAGAGAATAGATTTTAAGTGTTCTCACTACAGATAAGTGACAAGAATGTAAAGGAATGGATATGTTAATTAGCTTGATTTAGCCATTCCACAGTGCATAGATGTTTCACTGCCTTCTAACCTGCCCCCCTTTCTTTTTTGATAGGGTAGTGGTGGTGCACGAAGATCCGCACTACTTGACAGCGACGAGCCCTTGGTGTATTTCTATGATGATGTCACAACATTATACGAAGGTTTCCAGAGGGGAATACAGGTGTCAAGTAAGCATTTTCCTGCATTTGCGTGGCTCCCGCTCGCCGTGTTTCATGAAGAACGAGTGGCCTTTCAGAAATGCACATTTGCTCCTATCTTTCGCCTCCTTAGGATCGCTCAGGCCCCTCTGTGTCCACTGTAACTTTCCCAGAGTCGGTCCCAAAGCTCACTGGACCCTCTAGATGTTCCCTGTGGCCCTGGGGGCTCCATGGTCAAATATGTGAGTGTCACATCCTGTATTTTATGGTGAGTCACATGTTACACCAGTGCACAATAGGCTCTGACGTTTCCTGCAATAAAGAGGTCTGTTGAACTGGGCCCAATCCGGCATTTTTCATGCTTACTTGACCATGAGACCCATATTTTGAGAAAGAAATACTGACATCCCAGGATGGCAGTGTTCTGTTAAAGATACTTGGGAAATGTTGGCTCATGGGATTACCCTTAATTATTAACTGTAGTGTAAGAAACCCTGTGATATCCAGCATACCTCCTTTCCAGCCTCTGTCCCTCCCAGGCCTCCTGTATAGGGCCCTCAGGTCATACTGAACTTCCTGCAGAGCCACGACTACCTCTGCTCTCTCCCAGCCCTGAGGCTTTGTGCAGTTCTATTTTGCTTTTTAGAAATGGGGTCTTGCTATGTTGCCCAGGCTGGACTCAAACTTCTGACCTCAAGTGAGTCTCCTGCCTCAGCCTCCCAAAGCACTGGGACTACAGGTGTGAGCCACCATGCCCAGACTTGTGCACTTTTTTTTTTCTTTGGACGGAGTTTTGCTCTTGTTGCCCAGGCTGGAGTGCAATGGCATGATCTTGGCTCACCGCAGCCTACACCTCCTGGGTTCAAGTGATTCTCCTGCCTCAGCCTCCTGAGTAGCTGGGATTACAGGCATGCACCACCACGCCCAGCTAATTTTGTATTTTTTAATAGAGATGGGGTTTCTCCATGTTGGTCAGGCTGGTCTCAAACTCCTAATCTCAGGTGATCCACCCACCTCGGCCTCCCAAAGTGCTGGAATTACAGGCGCGAGTCACCATGCCCGGCCATGCACTTTTTTTTCTTGATCATAAAGCCTCTTTCTACCCCCAGCCTGGGTGCTTGATGTATTCTTTAATCTTACAAAACTCACTGCATTTCACCTTTTCTCTAAAACCTTCCTAGTCTATCATTTTCATCCCCTACCTCTGAGTGAAGCATTTCTTCCCTTTTCCCTCCCAGCATGTTATATTCCTTCTGCATAACTCCTGATGGCACAGAGGTGTTCACCTGGCATTCTGCCCCCCTAGCCCGAGCTCCTTGAGAACAGGGTGGTTATCAGTCATCTCTTTTCACAGCACTGACAGTGCCTGGCACACAGTGAGCGCCCCACTAATGCATCCTCAGTGAAGGAGGGAGTACCTCTGGTTTCTCCACCCCTCTTTCTATTTTAGCCACTTCATTTTTGCTTATACCAGGTACTTGTCTAAAAATGGTCTTGGAATCTGTGCTTTGTTATTTAAATCCTCTGATGCTTAGCTTTTATTTGGGCCACTGCTAGCTACATTGTAATCTTTTTACGGTCAGGAACCATGTGGTATTGCTGGCTCTATCCCTCATGATAGGTTGCATGTAATATGCACTCAAGAAGTGCCTATTGGCCGGGCATGGTGGCTCACACCTGTAATCCCAGCACTTTGGGAGGCCAAGGCGGGCAGGTCACGAGGTCAGGAGTTCGAGACCAGCCTGACCAACATGGTGAAACTCCGTCTCTACTAAAAATACAAAAGTTAGCTGGGCATGGTGGTGCATGTCTGTAACCCCCGCTACTCAGGAGGCTGAGGCAGGAGAATCGCTTGAACCGGAGAGGTGGAGGTTGCAGTGAGCCAGGATTGCACCATTGTACTCCAGCCTGGGTGACACAGCGAGACTCCGTCTCAAAAAAAAAAAAAAAAAAAGAAAGTGCCTATTGTTTTTTACTTGACACTGGTAACATTGGATGTCTCAGCTTGGCGAGTTTGTCCCAGTGTTCCCATAGCACGTGCATTAAGCCCTATTACAAAGGAAAAGCAAGCTTACTTGTGTATTATTTAATTTATGAACATTCTCAAAGTTGGTGTCAAGGTCAGGGTTTGTCTGTGATAGTAAATATCCATCAGGTGGATCAGCCTAACATATGGCACATGAAACAGTGTGTGTGTGTGTGTGTGTGTGTGTGTGTGTGTGTGTGTGCTTTGCCACCACCACAGAGCACATATACGGTAAGTCCTCAGTTAATGTCTTTGATGGGTTCTTGGAAACTGTAACTTGAAAACCACTATAATGAAACCAGTTTTTCCCATAGGCTAATTGATACGAACAGGAGTTACATTCCCACAGCGTATTTCTAGTCACAAAAACATCACCAAACTTCTAAATAAAGACCACGCTTCTTATGTTAAACATGAAATAAATGTGAGCGATACAGACATTTAGGAACAATTGATAAAAATAAGATATTTACCTGTTTATTCCAGTTAAGGGTCGTGGGCGGCTGGAGCCCATCTGGGCAGCTCAGGATGTCAGGTGGGAACTGCCCTGGCCAGGACACCCTCCCATCGTAGGGAGACTCATACTCACACCCACTCACACTCACACACTCACTCCGCTCACCCACACTCACTAGGACCGTAGAGATGCACCAGTTCACCTCACAGGCACAGCTTTGGGATGTGGGAGGAACCCAGAGTTCCCAGGAAAAACCACATAGATGTGAGGAGAACGTGCAAATGAAATGCCGTTATTTGAGGACCTGCTGTATACATGTAAATGTATATACATTCATCGAGGAGCATGGTGACTTACTTTATGCTTTTGACTCTCCTCTGATCTGAAGACAAGTCACATAACTTTTCTTTGGTCGCTTGCTCCCCCTGGAAAATGAAAGTCCTTTTATGGATGTGTCAGAGAAGGTGAAGGAAAGTATGTCCAGTCTTCTTGATCTGTACTCATTGAAGGGAGCTGCTTTGCAGGTCTCGATTTGCTTCCTTCCCCCCCCCCCCCCCGCCCCCGCCCAGGAGGATCTTTTTATTCTAAGCTTTGATTTTCTTAGGCTACTGTAGAATTAAACTGAAACAAAAGAGCAAGACCCAGCACTTGGATAAGGGGTCAGAAGTTTGTTGAATGATAGAAGCAGCCCGCCTAGAGTTTTTAAACCTAGTACTTTAAAACTGCACCAAGGAAGCCATTTATAAAGATTGAGCTCCCTGCTTCTCAGTGGCTCTCATCTCTAGCTGCACTTTTGTGCCATCGGGGAGCTTCTAAAAAATACTGAGGCCCAGGCCCCATCCCTATTCAACTGAATAAAAAATTCTAGAGCCTGGGTATAGTAGAACCTGGTATAGTATCAAGTTCCCCTGGTGAGCCTGCAGCTTAACGGCTAGTTCTGGAGCTGGAGCTGGCATATGTTTTCTGTAAAAAGCCTGGTAGTAAATATTTTTGGCTTTGGTGCCATATGGTCTTGGTTGCAACTACTCAACTGCAGCCTCACACAGAACAAAAATGAATGAGTGTGGCTGTGTGCCACTATCACTGTGTCTACAAAAACAGCCAGTGGGCCTGATTTGGCCCTTGGCTGCAGTGCGCCCGTCTCTGTTTTTGAGGAATAAAATCGCATCATTTCATATGGCTAATGCAATTTTTTTCCCATCTGGAAGCAACATCTGATTGGACTCATCTTGTATGGTGCTTGTTACAGTCTCTGTAAATGGGAGAGGGTCCGAGAATAGCTCTTCCTGTTTTCATCAGGACTGTTTTTAGGGATGGCAAAGAAGTCAGTGTGTCCAGCCTGTGTCCTCCTCAGCCACGTGGCTGATTCCTGAATCTGCATGTGCAGCACACTGCCGTTGTCTGGGGCATGATCTGTGTGATGGGGCCAGCCCTGCCTTCCATCCTACTTCCTTAGGTCCTCATGTCAAATCAGAGCCTCCTCACGAACACTCAGACCTAATATGCTAAAGCCAGATGCACTATGGTCCCCTTTTGCTTCTTTGAAACCTGAATAGGAATCGGGAAACATCTCGGTATTTCCTAACTTTTGCTTCCCAGATACCGCTTCACGTCACCTCATTTTGCATCTTTTCTTTGTTTTTGTTTTTCTGCAATCATGACTTCACCCATGTAACTAGGATTCCAGGTAATTCTTGATACCTTTGGTCATCAAAATTTGGACACATAAAGAATTATATTTTCCTTTCCGTATTCTGAATTAGAATGCTTTAGACTTCTTGAAAAGTTTTGATGAATACCTCTTCTGAAAAGGTATCTGTTTACCACTACAGCAGGTTCTCTTTACCACTCATCTGCTGACTCCTGGTCTAAACCAGTAGGGTGTTAAAGAGGAATCACAAATTAAGTGCCCTTAAGAGTTGGATATTGCCTTTTCTCCCCTCTGTCCCCCTCTCCTGCCCCACTTAAACAAAACAGAAATAAACAAGCAAAGAAAAAATCAGACCAAAACTGAGGGAGAAAACATTTCCAATCTGAAGCCACCATTTCTTATCTGAGGACTAAAGTAGAGTCTAGCTGATGTTTAGTATTAGAGTGCGGTTGGGATACAAATTAAAATCTAGGAATATTTATGTACGTTCAGCCCATCTGTTGTTTTTTCTCTTTTTTTAGATAATGGCCCTTGTTTAGGCTCTCGGAAACCAGACCAACCCTATGAATGGCTTTCATATAAACAGGTGAGTTTGTATGAGACAGGCTCTGTGGACTCCTCTTGCAAGCAGGGGTGCTTCTGTATGTGCATTCTTGGAGCCGGAAGGTTTCTCCAGAGTGTATGTGCTGGACCAGCTCAGAGCCTTGCCGTAAGCATGGGGCATCCAAGGAGAAACTTGACACAAAGGTTTGGGGAGAACAAGTTAAGGAATTTAACAGGTGGTTCAAAGCATTGTATTTCAAAGCTGATGTGGATACATTGTGAAGTCAAGTATAATTTTTAAGATAAAATTCTAGAAACTCTCCCGGTCCCCCTGGCGGCATAGCATTATTTCTCTCCACTTGAGGGGTACTAGAAAAACTCAGAAGCTGGAACGTGGGAATACATCTTCATTTCACAGATGAGGAGGACCTGTCTCAGGAAAAGAGGTGACTCACCCAAGGTTATAGCTGGTTAGTGGCAGAACCAGGACCAGAAGCAAGGCCTGCAGCCTCTTGTGTAGGCTTTCCTAGTGCATGCTGCTGACCCTCAAAGCTGTCCTTGGCCAACTCACCACCTGTGTGACACTTACCCCCAGGCAGCTGTAGGGAGGAACACAGATGTTCGGGGAAGGCACTTGTGTTACTGTATAAGCACAAAGGAAGCTGGGATCTGAGTATGGTGGCCCTTGTCGGTCTCTAGTCCCCACCCATCAACGGCTACAGCTGTTGAAACAGCGGCTCATGAGTGGCAGTAGCAGTGCAGGAAGACGTTGCTGTTTATTTTTATTTTTATCATGATTACAATGAATGTGGGTGCCACAGCTCTTCCCCAGTCCACACGGCACCCCGGAACAGGCACGTGCTCCAGACAGGCCAGCTCTGCTGCCTGCTGCTTCCACACAGCTGTCCAGGAAAGGCTCCCGTCCCTGGCCCCCCTTCTCCTGCTCTCGGGGCAGGTAATCATGCGGATTCATGAATACAAATGCACTTCCTCCTTCTGGGTTTTGTGTGAAGGGCAGCTTAGGAGCTGGTGTATTTGGGGTGCGTCTGTGGAAGGGATCGTTCTCTGCAGCCTCGGAGCCACACTCCTGCAGTAGTGCTTGTTGGTTCTTCTCAGACTGAAGTGCATGATTTCTCCCCGTCCGTCCTCTGGGGTCGACAGGATGCAGAAGGCTTTGCTTGAGAGGTGTTCATCTGTCTCTCAAGAGAAGGGGAAGCAACTTCTCACACCTCCCCTGTAGAAGGAGCTAGGGGCAGTATCTCACATGATTGGAAGGATTTCCCATTTTTATTCTGTCCTGTCAGAGCCAAATAGTAGTTTCTTGCACAAATAGTAGTTTCCAGGATCCCTCATTTTCACAAGTGTAAGAACAGCCTGTGTGTGTTGAACATGTGTGTGTTGTGTGTGATGGTCCTGAGGCATCATGGAATCCTCTGTGCCTCCTGGGTTACTTCTGTTGTTTAGTGGCTGGAAGAGAGAAGACACGTCCATTGCAGATAGGCGTTTTCAAGGCAGATTGAAAATCACTGGGGTTTCTGAAGGTGTGAATCTATGACTTGCACACTTCATTTGGAAGCAGGTGAAGATACAAAACTGAAGCCAACTTTGGATTTGTACATTCAAATCTTTTTTTTTTTTTCAGTCATCCAATGAATATGACCTTTTGGTGGCTAGGAATGCCTTAAAGGGTTGTTTTTTTTTTTTTAAGAATGTATGACCGATCTAGAAATATAAATGTGCGTGTATTATTCAATCATATTTACCAGCTGTATAGCATCCAATTGCAGGCTTTTCTCAGGCTCTGATTCCTTAAATGCAACCAAGACTTTTGAACTCGTCTGTGAAGGAGAGAGTAGTAATGAGCCTGTTTGTGTCATCCTATTGTCACCTTACCACGATCAGTCTGTTCCCCATAGGCAGGGCCAGGATGGTGCCAAGGCCCAGAACCAGTAGGGTTCCAGGCCAGGAGTAGGTATGGTCTTATTTCCTATGGGTATGGGTGTGCTTTAAGAGTACTCTTGAGAATTTGCGAACTGAGAATAAAGAAAATAACTCCAGGCCAGGCACGGTATGGCTCACGCCTATAATCCCAGCACTTTGGGAGGCCGACGGGGGCAGATCACCTGAGGTCAGGAGTTCAAGACCAGCCTGGCCAACATGGCAAAACCCTGTCTTTACTGAAAAATACAAAAATCAGCTGAGTGTGGTGGCAGGTGCCTGTAATCCCAGCTATTCTGGAGGCTGAGGCAGGGAGAATTTCTTGAACCCGTGAGGAGGAAGTTGCAGTGAGCCAAGACCATGCCCTTGTACTCCAGCTTGGGCAACAGAGTGAGACTATGTCTCAAAAAGAAAAAAAAAGAAAGAAACAAAGAAAAGAAAAAGGAAAAGAAAATAACTGCAAAGTTTAAGATTTTTTAAAAATTTTAGTTTATTTGGGGTAGGAACAGGGAGAGGATAGGATAACCCTGCTGAATTTTGCAAACCTATCAATTTTTACTTAGTTATTATAATATGCATTTTTATATTTACATGTGTTGCTTATCATTGTAATATTGTCCTAAGTTTGATAGTTTTCATAATTATAATATTTACTATGTAGCATTTTCTTAGTGATTTACCATCATTTACTTAATCATCCAGCCATGATTAGGTTTTTTACCCTAGAGATTTTTGATGCAATAATTTTGAAATATTTGCATATTGTTTATATGTAGGCTTTTTTTTTTTTTTTTTTTTTTTTGAGATGGAGTCTCGCCTGTCACCCAGGCTGGAGTGCGGTGGGGTGATCTCAGTGCACTGCAGACTCCGCCTCCTGGGTTCAAGCAATTCTGCCTCAGCCTCCTGAGTAGCTGGGATTACAGTTTCACGCCACCATGCCTGGCTAATTTTTTATTTTCAGTAGAGACGGGGTTTTACCATGTTGGCCAGGCTGGCCTCGAACTCCCTCAAGTGATCTGCCTGCCTCGGCCTCCCAAAGTGCTGGGATTATAGGCGTGAACCACCGTGCCTGGCCTGTATGTAGGCTTTTAAAAACCTCCTCCTGAGTTTGAATTGTTTCCTAAGAATACGTTCTCAAGAATGGAACTGTAGAACTTAAGGATAAGAGCTTGCTCTTATTTTTTATAGGTCTCTCAAAAGTTGCTGTTTCTGTGTTTATACCAAATAAACAAGTTTTGGCTGCTTTATAAATAAAACAAATCCATCTCTCTATCATTTTTAAAATTGTATAAAACTAAAATAGAAAAAAATGTATAAATAGCCCTGCCATATAATTGTCTGTGACCTGCAGCCATTGGGATAAGATTAATTTTCTTTGCAGAAGGAACCCTGCGGTCAGTTCTCTTAATTCTGATTTCTTGTGAATAAAACCTTGTGTTTTACCAAAAAATCTATCAATAAAGGAATACCTGCATGTTCCCTCTCCGTTTCTGTGTGCAGCATTGCTTGCTGGCTGAGATACAAGCCTGCCGTCTGGTCAGCTTTGTTTCTGGAGTTGGGGCCCAATGCTGCTTCTGACTTTTTCCTCTCCATTTTAGGTTGCAGAATTGTCGGAGTGCATAGGCTCAGCACTGATCCAGAAGGGCTTCAAGACTGCCCCAGATCAGTTCATTGGCATCTTTGCTCAAAATAGACCTGAGGTATGAACCAGTAGGTACTTGCTATGCATGATTTTGAGAATTCTCAGATATAAGAGCCTAACTTCTGCTAGAGACCAGATTTTGTAGTCTGATTTCTACTAAAAGTATAGCTTTACGTTACACCTTAGAAAGTTACACATATGAAAACCTCAACCAGGGCCGCTGGGCACAGTGGCTCACGCCTGTAATCCCAGCACTTTGTGAGGCCAAGGCGGGTGGGTCACCAGAGGTCGGGAGTTCCAGACCAGCCTGACCAACATGGAGAAACCCCATCTCTACTAAAAATACAAAATTAGCCAGGCCTGGTGGCACACATCTGTAATCCCAGCTACTCGGGAGGCTGAGGCAGGAGAATCGCTTGAATCCGGGAGGCAGAGGTTGCGGTGAGCCAAGATTGTGCCATTGCACTCCAGCCTGGGCAACAAGAGCGAAACTCCGTCTCAAAAAAAAAAAAAAAGAAAGGAAAACCTGAACCAGGGCCTTTTAATCGCCTTTAAGAGAAAAAAGAAATCACTTTTTTGGGGGGATTATTTTAGTTTTTTTAAACCAGGTTCCCAAATAAAATCCTTAGAACAGATAACTAACAAAGGAGTCTTTTTACTTTAAGAGTCACCTCTGTGGTTAGAAAAATGGCATTAATAAGTTATAGAGAGACTCAGATACATTTTTGTCAATAGCAGGTTCCTTTTTTTCCTTTCTGAAAGGTATGAGGCTTTCCCTCTGGTTGGTTTCTAGAGTTTAAAATACCATGGGTGATGGGGACAGTACTCACTGCTAGCCAGCCTTCCTTTGGGCAGTCTGTCATTGGTGGTCTAAGCCCAGCACGGTTTCTGTAAACCAGTGTGTAAAAGTGTGTTAGTCCATTTTCATGCTGCTGATAAAGACATACCTGAGACTGGGAACAAAAAGAGGTTTAATTGGACTTGCAGTTTCACATGGCTGGGGGGGCCTCAGAATCATGGCAGGAGGTGAAAGGCACTTCTTACATGGTGGCGGCAAGAGAAAATGCGGAAGAAGCAAAAGCAGAAACCCCTGATAAACCCATCAGATCTCATGAAACTTACTATCACAAAAATAGCATGGGAAAGACCAGCCCCCATGATTCAATTACCTCCCCCAGGGTCCCTCCCACAACACGTGGGAATTCTGGGAGATACAATTCAAGTTGAGATTTGGGTGGGGACACAGCCAAAACATATCAGAAACTGAGTTTAAATGAGCAGCTCTTTTGGAAGTATTGCTTATGGTATGACTCAATAGATTAGTAGATCTAGCTGGCTTAGAAAAATGGAAGCATCTGGCTTGAAGAAATCGAATTTATTCTTATACCTGCTTGTGTCCAGAAGACATGCTGACTCAATCCCTGTGCTACTGACTTTTTTTTTTTTATATAAATAAAGATGGCTTCTTAGAGTTTTGTGGTCTTTCAAGGGGAAAACAGCATTCTCCACAGCTGGACTGTGACTGGGCTTGTAGAATTTAGTTTTTTTCATCCCAAATGAACACATCAAAATGTTTGTTTTGATGGAATTTTATCATGAATCTAGAACTGCAAAACAAATAAGAAATAGGTTCCTTCCTGTATTTATGAGTTCATTCAACAAATGTTTGCTGAGCACCCACTATATGTCAGACACTGTGTTGGGGTGCCAAAGCACAGTGACTCGGCCTCTCTTCCTGAGGTACCACGTAAGGCAAGACAGACCTAAACACCGGTGCTTTCTCTGTCAAGTGGTAAGTGTGGGCGCAGGGCAGAAGGATTATGGGAGCTCAGTCAAGGAGGGCTCCCTGGAGGTGGCACCTGAGTAGAATCTTGAAGGAAATAGGGGCGGGGAGGCCAAGGGAATGCCCACGTTCACACCTGTGTCTGGGAGTGGAGCATTTTCATGTGGTGGAGTGGCAGGAAAGACAGCCTTCCTCATGCGTCACATGTGCCTAAGGAGCTGGGACCTGATTTCTATGTTGTTGGCTGAAAATTCCTTCTGGGAAAAAACCGAAACTCAGAAGCCTAGTTCCAGGCCAAGTGGATGTGAGTGGGTTGTGCCCCCTTCCCCCGGCTGTGCCTTTTTCTGTCCTGTGTGTCAGAGTTCTGCAGATGATTTCATTAGAAAGGTGCAGCCGGAGGCAGTGGGGTACCCCTGGGTATGGTAGTGAAAGAGTGATCTTTCACCTTTGTCCAGTAGGTAGGGCAGTGGCTATGTGGCCAGTGCCTTCAGACACATCTTACTGCATCTTGCATGTGGCAGTGTGGCCAGTTATTGTCTCACTTCTTTCCTGCACTTTTCTAGAGGGATTTTATCAAAACAGTTTTGCTGCTAGACAAGGTACTTCTTCCCCTATTCCAGGGCATACAGTGCCCTGCTGCCAGAGGGGTCTTCCTTGAGCCCCACAGCCGCTGTTTTGCTGAGAAACTCTCAGTGGCTGCTCCGTGCTCTCCAGCCAGAACCATCTGTGCCAGTCAGATCGCTCTCACTACCCCTGCTTTTGATCCTGCCATCCCCTCTGTTAGCATCTCCCTGCCTCCCTCTGTCTCTGTCTCTCTCTCTCTCTTTCTTTCTCTTTCCAAAGGCAATCTCAGTTACACCCTCCCAGTAGCATCTGTAGCTACCTTGGCCGATGGTGGGCTTTCTTATCTCTGGGTCAGTCCCTGTCTGATAATTATTGCTAATTATCTTTTAACATATTTGCCTCAATTCTTCAGGCGGATTTTAATTTATCTTTCTTTCTCTCTTTCTCTCCTTTCCTTTCCTTCCTTTTTTCTTTTCTTTCTCAATCTCTCCTCTTTCTCTCTCTGTCCTCTCATCTTTCTTTCTCTCTCTCTCTTTCCTTCCTTCCCTCCCTCCCTCCCTCTCTTTGTACATGCATACATACATACATACAGGATCTCACTCTGTCACCCAGGCTGGAGTGCACTGGTGTGATCACAGCTCACTGCAGCCTCAACCTCCTGGGTTCAAGCAATCCTCCCGCCTCAGCCTCTCAAGTAGCTGCGACATGGTGTGTGCCACCATGTCCAGATAACTTTTGTAGAGGCAGGGTTTTGCCATGTTTCCCAGGCTGGTCTTGAACTCCTGGGCTCAACTGATTCCCCCAACCTTGGCCTCCCAAAGTGCTGGGATCACTGGTGTGAGTCAGTGTGCCTGGCCTTAATTTCTTTTTAAGAAGGGGGCATGTGTTTTGTTCTCATTCTGAATCCCTTATAGCACCTGGCACAGAGTAGTAGCTAACACAGATGTTAATTTTGCTGCGTCAAATGTTTTCACTTTGAATCTCTCTTGAGTATTGTTCTCCTTATTGATTACATGATGACATCCTGTTTTCTCTCCCTGACCTTTACTGTTTGTTTAGTGGGTGATTATTGAACAAGGATGCTTTGCTTATTCGATGGTGATCGTTCCACTTTATGATACCCTTGGAAATGAAGCCATCACGTACATAGTCAACAAAGGTACGTCTGTGATCTTTGCCTGGATTATTGGCATAGTTATTGGTTAGGTTCAGTGACTTTACATTTGCTTACATTTGATTTGACAAAGATTTTACATGTAAATATATATCTACCTTTTTATTCAAAGAATGTAGTACTTCAAGTATCCTTGTGCTGGATATGACAGAGTGAATCTTTTAACATCCCAGAGCTTATTCTTCATTGTATCTCTTCATTTACAGCTGAACTCTCTCTGGTTTTTGTTGACAAGCCAGAGAAGGCCAAACTCTTATTAGAGGGTGTAGAAAATAAGTTAATACCAGGCCTTAAAATCATAGTTGTCATGGATGCCTACGGCAGTGAACTGGTGGAACGAGGCCAGAGGTGTGGGGTGGAAGTCACCAGCATGAAGGCGATGGAGGTGAGTGCCCTGCCTCCTTCCCTTCTCTGAAGGCTTTCCCTGGGGCCGTGTTGGCTCACACGTGCTATCCAGTGCTATCTAGTGCTATGGTGCAGTCCCAGCGCTGGCCGGTTGCCTCCGCAACCCATGAAAGAGAGCAGAAACTTCTGTCTCATTGCTGGAAAAAGGATTCTACATGTGTGCCCAGTGTTAACACCTCACACCTTACCCAAGTGCTTTCAGCACTCCAATATTTATTCCAGAGCACTGACAAGCTGTGCCCGGAAATGCCAGAAATGGGAATTACAGCTTCAGGCAGGTGGAACTTTCAGTTTCTGTGTCTCCTTTGGGCTTTAATGCCTTTTACTTACTAATTTGTCTCTAATGCCAAGCCAAGTATAGAAATCAGCCTCATCGTTCTTTTCCCTGGATGGCTCGTGGAGAGTCTTGGTGAATTTCCAACATGCATGTTTGATTTGGTTTGTTTTCATATTGACTCTTAAGAGTCATACCAATCACAAGTTTAAAGGCAGCCATTCCAGGAGAATGAGCGTGGTGGTCCATGCTCAGCTTGGGTGCTTGATGTCAGATGATATAAGAAGTTGATCCCCGTCAGTTGGACTTGGATTAGAGTTCCATCCAAGGAACATGGCCGGAGGAAGATCTTTTCATATACATATCATAACAAGTCATAGGAAAACAGAGTCAGTCCTTCTCTTTCTGAAGGTGTTAGAAATATTTTTCTGAAACTGTTATAGATAGGATTTTAAATTTTTATGTGTAGTTTTCCTCCTCCTACAAAGAATTTGAGGCTATAAGTAAGGATCTGTAGAACCTTTCCTGAGGAACCCAGTAGGCACAGGGAAGCGCGGGTGTTCTAACAGAACCTTCTCTCTTGTGCATGTGTGCGCCCCTGCCCAACTCTCTCTCTCAGTAGCATCGAACGTGATTCCGCAAGTGCTGACCCGGGTGCTTCCTTGTTGAATTGGGGTTTTATAGCTTCTTACCTAGTGTTTCCCCACTTCTGTTTTTTTACTTTTAACCCTCTTTTACTATAATGTAATCTCTTTTTCCCTTACCTTCCCACAGATGCAAGAATTTTTCTGGTGTTTTTTGACTGCTGTATGATAAAGAAGTAATGTTGAAATTTAAAAATTATTTAGTTGATTGAAGATTATAATATAAAGTTTATATTAAAATATTAATTTATAGAAGACATTGTTTTACACTTACCTGTTTAATATGATCTGTACTTAGTTTTTAAAAATATTCTGAGCAAAAGGTGAAGAGATCGCCCCACTGCACTGCAGCCTGGGTGACAGAGCGAGACTCCATCTCAAAAAATAATAATAATTGCAGTATTTTTCCTAAGTGATACTGTAAGAGAGATGTAAGGCTGTGAAACTTTTGCGGCAACAGTGCACTAATTTGGATAATGTTTGTTCCCAATAAATTAAGAGCCAAATTGTATGTAACTGGTGCTTTATTTTATTTAACATCAGTTTTTGAAGAATTGGGCATCTCCAGAAGTTATGTAAGAATTTTTAATAGACAAATAGAAATCTGGAGCTAATAAAGGTTATTTTGAAAAAAATGTACAGAATTATTGCTTTAGCTTTTGGCTGACCTCTAATTGGATATATTAGTTCCTGTTCTTAATCGGTGGTCTGTCACTACATCATTTAAAATGTAATTAAGATTGAAAACTTAATGTATGCTGGGCAGAAACTCACTAAGCCCTGAGCACACCCATCTAATTTCCACGTGAATTGAACATGTTCAATGGCGTGTTCAATGGCATGTTCATTCCATATCCTCATTCAAGCTGTTCCATTTGAATAGGAAAAGAATATAAATAGTTCATTTGTTAAAATTAATAGATATTAAAGTGGCCACCAAGACTGCCCTAATGCAGTAAACCGAACCCCATCAGTGGTAGTGACTGGAAGCCTGCCGCTGGGAAATGCTGTCCCCGCGCAATGCTTCTGTCATTCTTAACCTTCAAGTCCATTCAGGAAGGAGTCTTAGAGGGTCTGCTGTGGCCTGTTTTATAATTGGGGGCTCCCAAATCCTATCTCCACTCTACGAGGGGAGATATTTGAGCAGATATTTGAGCCTCTCCAAAATGCCTAGCATTTCAATCGAGCAGAGATTGATTTTTCTTCTTCCCAGATTGCAGATGTCAGTTGTGCAGAATGTGGGGGTGAGGTAGTGCTGTGCTCTGATTTGAGGAACCTACGAAGTATCTGCAGTATCTCGTTATGGTTAAGAACAGGGCTTTATTAAAGGCCCTAATAAGAAGTGGAAGTGGGGACCAGAAATGCATGGTAAAGACTTTGGCTGCTGTTTTTTTAATACATCCTATTTCAAAGACCAGTCCTAATACCGTTTATGTAGTTTTATGTAAGAGAAGAGGTAACTGGAAAATGGCTTCTCAGAACAATGAATAAATATTTTGGTTCTGGTTAATTAAAACTGCCATAGTTTCTTTAATTAGAAAATTATGCTGTTTTCGAGCCAGGTGTGAATGAACCCCACAGTAAAGCCAGCTTTAAGTGACTCGATGTGACCTTATCCTTTACAGTTAGAAAACGTTTCCATTTAAGACTTTTTTTCTCTTCTAATTAAGGACCTGGGAAGAGCCAACAGACGGAAGCCCAAGGTAAGCACACCGTGTCAGACCCTGCTCTGTCCTCTTTGTAGTTTTCAATATCTAGCCTGGTACCTTGTGGCTTATAGTTCTCTTTTCTGTTCTGATTTATACCAGCTTTTTTTTTTTTTAATCTTTAGCCTCCAGCACCTGAAGATCTTGCAGTAATTTGTTTCACAAGTGGAACTACAGGTGAGTTTTGAGATAGAATTGCTTCTACATATGGCAGCCATTGGTCTGGACTCTCCCCTACCTCTTTTGGATGACTTATCAGCTAACAGTAGACGGACCAAAAGCAGAAGAGAAGGAAGCGGTTCAAGTGCTGTCTTCTTGTTGCTCTGTAAGATCTTCTCAGAGTCCAAGAGTGCCGGATAATTCCTCAAACATTTATTGAGGGTGATATTAGATTCACCTGTCTTCCTAGGACAGACTATATCGGTGGCTCCCAGGAAGAAAATTTCTGGTTTTTCTTCTCTTATGACTACGTATATACCCTTTAAAATGTGCCCATATTAATAAAGGTTTTTAAAGATAAGTCAGTGTAAGGATTGCAGGTTGCTTAGGAATTTAGTGTTCAACATTTGGTTTTCACGATATATCTAACAGTAGAGGTGTCTGAAGCCCTAATTATGTGAGGTTTCTGGGCCTCCTTCATTTCTGTCATTCTTTAACTTTGTTCTGCTTCATATGTGCTCCACAGGCAACCCCAAAGGAGCAATGGTCACTCACCGAAACATAGTGAGCGATTGTTCAGCTTTTGTGAAAGCAACAGAGGTAACTTTTTGGGATGTCGTCATCTTTCCTCATTGATTGACATTAGTCCTTGAGAATGAAAGTGCTGAAGGTGGGCACCAGTGTGTTAGGTCCATGTGGCATTTAGAAACGATGTGACATATGGGTAAGGTCAGAACTTTAGGCCCAAGTCCACCTTCTCTCTTTTTTCACTTTGAACCTAATCGCCAACCCTTGCCTTATGATAATTAAGGTGAATTGACAGATGAAGTTCACTGCAACATTTATATAGAGAAACTCTATTTGGATATTGCCCTAGAAACATGTCCAAGAAAGGACAGAGAAGAGATGGACTCTCTTGTGTTTTTATCCAGCGTCCCTGTATTTGGGAAATAATTTATTTTAAATTGGCAATGATATGTTAAAAGTTTTTGAATGATTATTATCTGTTGTGGTCAGTGTGACTTCCATTGCACTAGAAGTAGTAAAGCCTTGCACTTCAGCTAATTTCCCATGCTTTTAAAGTTTACTATCCAGTGTCTTAGTCTATCCAGTCACAGCAGGGCCCCATCTACATTGGGAGTTAGGATGTTGACATACGAATTTAGAAGGGGGTGATGTGATTCAGTCCATAACACCAACAGCCTATTCCAAACTTGCCTTTTAAAAAGGTGCTTATTGAACCATATGCCTTTTCCTTATACTCTTTTTTACATTTAACATAATTGGCTTTTGCAGTCTCTTTGGAAGTATTCTGTAGCTCTGATTTTTGTAGCAGGAGCCTGAGCTTAATGGCTTTGGGGAATGGACATGTTTGGTGGCTGCAGAAAACTGATCTTTGAGGGATCTTGCCACTTACTTTACTTGGCTCACACTTTCCAAATGCCCTTTTTAAAGATGTATACTTTCTAAACAGAGTTCAACATTTAGTACCTTACCAAAGTGAAATTTTAATTTCCTAATTGGCCTTCAAACAAAACTTAAAATGCATTGGTGGCTCATTGAGGCAAATGATTACAGAACTTTGTTTAAAGTCAGTTACAATATCAAATCAATTACAATATCAGTATCTTCTCAGCTTTGTAAGATGTCTAATCATGATAATGGACAATATTTTTGTTCTGAGTCAGAAAGTTGAAAAGTATAGATAGAATGGAGTCCGATTTCTCATTATATTAATATAACAATTTCATCCTGAGAAGTACTACTTGGGATGCCTGTCAGACTTGAATAAAATCCAGCTGAGATTATAGCATGCTCAGCCCACATCCAGTGCTTCTGGGGCTGCTGTGTTTGCTCAGGATTGATGCTTTCATCCATTGTCACATTATTATTAAGGGTGACCCAGCTTTAGGAAAGGAAGGGGCATGGCTCAGAACTTGGTATATCATCCCCTAGGTAACGACAATGCCCTCATTTCTTAGTTGGTATGACAGCAGCTGCTCTTGCACACCCCCTGTTTTGGCCAGAATTCTTTATGTTAATAACATGAATATTCTATACAAACCCTCACTGTGCCTGCCCTAAGTAAGGCCCATTCTGAGGGAAACCAGATGTCCAAACTTAATCTGTCTGTGGACCCATCATGATCAGCATTTTATAGGAGAGCAAATTCCTGGGTGCCAGATCTGAGGTTGCATTAAACAAATTGTGATATGTAAAGTAGGGCTTTAAGGTATTAAAAATATTGATCAAACTCAAAATACTCTAAGGACCTTGGAAATCCACCTTCTTTTATCTTCTTTCCTCCTTTCCCTTAACAACATAAAATGCAATTTTATGTTGAAATGGGTCCTGTATTTCTTAAGGTAAAATTGAACTTGCTGGGTACTAGGATACTGTAGTGATGAAATACTAACTGATTAGAGCATATAATCCCTTAACCTTCCAATTTGAGCAAAATTTTCCTTGTTTTGATTAAAGCCCTGAAGTGGATTTACTTTGTCATGGGGAGTGACTTCCACTTTGTTTGAATAATTAAAGTATTGCTTTTTTTTTTGATTCAGAGTCTCACTCTGTTGCCCAGGCTGGAGTGCAGTGGTGCAATCTCGGCTTACTGCAGCCTCCGCCTCCCTGATTCAAGCAATTCTGCTGCCTCAGCCTCCTGAGTAGCTGGAATTACAGGCATGTGCCACCATGTCTGGCTAATTTTTGTATTTTTAGTAGGGATGGGGTTTTACCATGTTGGCCAGGCTGGTCTTGAACTCCTGACCTCAAGTGATCTGCCTGCCTTGGCCTCCCAAAGTGCTGGGATTACAGGCGTGAGCCACCATGCCCCTTGTTTTTCATTTTATTCTTTGGTGAGAAGAAATTGCAGACCATAAGCAAAAGCCGTTTCTCCTCAGTGTTGAGGTACTATGTGCTCAGAAATAAAATGGAAGTTTACTCGGAGTCTTTTTTTTTTAATTTTATTATTATTATACTTTAAGTTTTAGGGTGCATGTGCACAACGTGCAGGTGTGTTACATATGTGTACATGTGCCATGCTGGTGTGCTGCACCCATAAACTTGTCATTTAGCATTAGGTATATCTCCTAATGCTATCCCTCCCCCCTCCCCCTACCCCACAACCGTCCCTGGTGTGCGATGTTCCCCTTCACTGGGAGTCTTAATGCTTTTCTGCCTTGCTGGTGTCTTTGCTTACAGAATACAGTCAATCCTTGCCCAGATGATACTTTGATATCTTTCTTGCCTCTCGCCCATATGTTTGAGAGAGTTGTAGAGGTAGGCATTTAATTTTGTTTTCCTTGCTTGTTTGTGTATGTTCTGCTAAGTTGTTGTGTTTTACAGAAAGCACTTCCCTTGAGTGCCAGTGACACACACATTTCATATTTACCACTTGCTCACATTTATGAACAGTTATTGAAGGTAAGTGTGGCGTGCGGACTGTCATCCCTATAGAGAATTCTCTGCTCAGCCCCGTTTTAGAAATGGTGCAGATTATTTGAAAGAATATAAATTCTTTTTCTGAGTATGAACAGGATACTGGAATTTAATCACTCATTTTAAAATTAGGAGTTCAGACTTTTGAAGGATACTAATGTGGACATGAGTCCAGAAAAACCAACTATAAAGGTAAAGTCATTATTAATTCAGTTCTACAAAGCCCAGCGAGGCTTCCGTTCTGTGAGAAGTCTCTATTTTTGATTGTGCTTGTTCCTAATGCACAAGTTGGCTTGCGACTAATTTTTTCAGCAATATTCTAAGTGCCCTTGGAGAAAGAGGATGATCCTTGAGTTGACCTTTGCCTAGGCTCCCTGTAATCAACTGTGTGACTAATTTTAAAACTGACCAAGAACCACCTTTTTTCCTTCTTTGACAATTTTGGATTTTATGCTGTAGGAAAAAACAATGAGCACCATTCATTCATTTAGTGAGTAGTTACTGAGCTCTAGCTGTGTGCCCTCTGCTGTGTTGGAGACAGAGGTGACTATCAGCCGATGCTTTGGATGACAGCTGCCCTGTCGGATTTGCTCATCCCAAAGGATCGAAGGCGATTAGATCCCATCTGCCATCTGTTCCTTCTACTTCCTGCACACCTCAGAGTCTTCTGGGTTTATAAAGCAATCTCACATGAGTTGCTGTACCTAACGAGTTTTAGAGGTGTGCCTAGAAGGCAGGCCACGCTGAACAAAAGCTTTCTGAGCTGTAATTGTTAAACAGTGAACCATGGTGTACCTTTCTCGTGGTTTCTGCTTCTAAGACAGAGAACATTTGTACTTCCCTTGTGTCATCTTTTGAATCTTTTCTTTTTAAATTTTAAAATAGGCAAACTGTCAGGTCCATATGGCTTGCCAGCATGGTTTGTACTAGACAGGAAAAAAATCATGCAGTGTATTCTAGCTGAATGGCAAGCCACTCTGGTATTAGATACCCTGGTGTCACAAATTCATCATACTTGGTGGCCTTTCAGAAACTTCTAGTTAGATTCAAACAAAAGAAAGTGAGACTTTAACAAACTTGGACTCTAGGCAAGAAGTTAAGTTTTTATTTTGAGAATAAATTAAATGTAAAGTTTCTGGAAGGCTATATATATATATATATATATATATTTGAGACAGAGTCTCCCTCCGTGGCCCAGGCTGGAGAGCAGTGGCACAATCTCAGCCCACTGCAATCTCCGCCTCCTGGGTTCAAGCGATTCTCCAGCCTCAGCCTCCTGAGTCGCTGGGACTATGGGCACCCGCCACCAAGCCCGGCTAATTTTTGTTTTAGTAGAGATGGGGTTTCACCGTAACGTGGCCAGGCTCGACTGGAACTCCTGACCTCAAGTGATCCACCTGCCTCGGCCTCCCAAAGTGCTGGGATTATAGGTGTAAGCCACCGCGCCCAGCCACTAAAAATATTTAGAATATGTAATACCATGTCATTCATTGAACAGATACTTACCACCGCACTAAAAGAGTAGAACCTCTGTGGTCATCACTAAAAACAACATAGCCTGGTTTTTTACTGAGTCCCATATCTTCAGGATAACCAAGAGAAATACCACATTTCCATGTTGTACAATGACTAGTAAATGCACATTTTTTTTAAGTTACCTATATTTAGGAAATTTAAGATTTCTGGAAACTGGCCTGAAATGCTAAAACTGAAATGTTGGATGTTGTCCATATGTTGTGTAACCCCTGCTGTGGTGATAAAATGTTTGTTTTTTCCATTACCCCTATAGTGTGTAATGCTGTGTCATGGAGCTAAAATCGGATTTTTCCAAGGAGATATCAGGCTGCTCATGGATGACCTCAAGGTGCTTCAACCCACTGTCTTCCCCGTGGTTCCAAGACTGCTGAACCGGATGTTTGACCGAGTAAGTTCCAAGCAGCGAAGTCCCAGGACTGAGCACTGACTTGGACGCAGGGGCTTGGGCTTGAATTGGGCTGTGCCATGTGCCATCTGTATGACCCTGGACAATCCTCCCAATCTTACAGAACTTCAGTTTACTCATCTGTAAAGTTAGAATGCGTTTACCTCTCAGAGTGGCTGATAAGGATTATAAGAGAAAATGCATGAACACACTTTGTAAACCATGGTCACAACACAAGCATAATGTGGGAGGTCATTTTATTTTTACAATAAACACTTTGAGCCTCTGCTTCCTCATGTGTAACACGGACTGTTTACCTCTTCTCTCCTACTGTTTGTCTCCAAAAGTTGCTAATGGGATCACGTAAGAATAGTAACTATGAAATGGTTTTCTTCATTGTAAAGCTCCTTGCATGGACATGTAAAACATTACTTAATTGGCCACACTGAAAGAAGTGACTAAGCCACAGCAGAGCCCAAGAGAACACCAGCCCCTCTGCGGTGGGTATCATTGCGTGGACCGCACAGCCAGGGCCAGGCGCGAGGGGCATGAGCAATCTCCAGAAAGAGTGTTCACTTACTCTTTATTTTGAGGCAGGACTTTTGTTATCTCTCAGAACGTTCTTATGTTTTTAATGGTTCTTTTTAAAAGGACAACTTTATCAACATATAATACTCTGTATAATTTGCTGATTTAAAGTGTGTAATTCAAAGGTTTTGAGTACTTTCACAGTTCTCCAGCCATCACTACAATCAATTTTAGAACATTTTCATGACCTCCAAGAGAAACCCTTACCTATTCTTTATCAGCTCCCCGACCCCCTCCACCCTTCAGCATCCGCTCATCTGTGTATTTCTCTATTCTGGACTTTTCTGTGGATGGAATCATGCCATATGTGCTCCTTTGTGACTGGCGTCTTTCACAAGCATCCATGTAGCACGTATTAGCACTTCATTCCTTTTAACGGCCAAATAGTATTCCACTGTATGGGTATAACGCATTTTATTTATCCATTCCTTTTTTTTTTTTTTTTTTGAGACAGGGTCTCTCTCTCTGTCATCCAGGCTAGAGTGCAGTGGTGTTATCATGGCTCACTGCAGCCTCCACCTCCAGGGCTCAAGCAGTCCTCCCACCTTAGCCTCCTGAGTAGCTGGGACCGCAGGCATGTGCCACCATGCCCGGCTAATTTCTGTATTTTTTGTAGAGATGGGGTCTTACCATGTTGGCCACACTGGACTCAAACTCCTGAGCTCAGGAGATCTGCCCACCTCAGCCTCCCAAAGTGCTGGGAATACAAGCGTGGGCCACCGCACCTGGCCTACACATTCCTACTCGATGGGCATTTGGGGATGTATGTGTCCATTGCTCCTGGGTGTATACCGAGGTGTGGAATTGCTGTCCTGTGCTGACCATGTGGGGCCGTTAGAGGACCGGCCAGGCTGTCAGAGCAGCTGTGCCATTTTGTGTTCCCCAGCTGTGTGTGAGGGTTCTGATTTCTCCACACTCTTTGACTCTGGCCATCCTAGTAGGTGTGAAAACTTTCTCATGTCTTGCCTCATTAGATTTTCGGACAAGCAAACACCACGCTGAAGCGATGGCTCTTGGACTTTGCCTCCAAGAGGAAAGAAGCAGAGCTTCGCAGCGGCATCATCAGAAACAACAGCCTGTGGGACCGGCTGATCTTCCACAAAGTACAGGTAACACGTGACTCACAGCCACTGCTCCCATGGAAACCGACTTCGCTTTTCAGAGTTCTGGGAGGGCCTTTTTTGTGAGAGGGAGAGATGAAGGTAAGGGAGAGAATAACATGTTTTTGTTAATTCTGGCACACATTTAAAAACTAAGGCAAAGCCATTAAGGAGGCCTCAGTTTCTAAGATCAATAGTATTGCAGCCATCTAGGGGGAAAAGGAGTCAGGGTAGTGGAGCCTTTCTCATTCTCCATTTTGTTGCGTTTTTCCGGAACAAGCGTGTCACTCTTGAGGTAATTTTTCAAGCATGAGTGATAACGTGTAACAATATCATGCCCCCCAGAAGGCCAGAATTGTGGTAGTTGCCACAGATCTGCCCAGTTGTGTTCTAATTCCCTGAAATAGCTTCTGCAGAGGTGGGGCTGACTTCCATCCCCATTGGGAGGGAACAGGGCAGTCACGGGTGGAAACAAACCGTAGCCCTGTGCTGCCATCATGAGGGCTGTGAGTTCTCCGTGTGGCCTCCGTGTGGTCTGCAGCTATGGGTTAGGGAACGGGGTCCCAAGCAGGCCCCCTTGGCGGAGAGGCCGCCGACTTCCAGGTGTGTAACCCTCACCTTCTCCCACTCTCCCTCCCTGAAAGTCGAGCCTGGGCGGAAGAGTCCGGCTGATGGTGACAGGAGCCGCCCCGGTGTCTGCCACTGTGCTGACGTTCCTCAGAGCAGCCCTGGGCTGTCAGGTGAGGTGGATGTCACGGCGCCTGATTCTCCCACACTAGGATGCCCAGTCCTCTTCTGCACCAAAAGTCATCTGTACTGTGTGTGTGTGTGTGTGTTCTTTCTTAATTGACAAGCGTATCTATATTTATGGCGTAACAACATGATGTTTTGATGTATGTAATATGTAAACATTGTGGAATGGCTAAATGAAGCTAATTAACATGTGTCTTACCACCCATACTTTTTTTTCCCACGTGGTGAGAACACTTGGAATCTACCCTCTGGGCAGTTTTCAAGTATATGATACATTGTTGTTAGCTCTAGTCACCACGTGGTGCTATGGAGCTCTTGAACCAGTTCCTCCTGATGGAGACTTTGTGTCCTTTCACCAACATCACCCCTATCCTTCCCACCCCCTACTTTGTGTGTGTGTGTTATGTTTGTTTGGAAGATATGTTATTATTAGGTTGCTTGGAGAAGCAACCATATGTATATTTTTTACCCTAGGCAGGGGAATGTGTGTGTCTGCCATTTGTTGAATTTTCTCTAGGATCAGGTGCAAGACAACCTTTAGAAGCAGGTATGCAGCTGTGGAATGGGTCACAGGTGATGAGCCTACCCGCACACCATGCTGACAACCTGTAGTAAAGGGAGAAAGGAGGATTTGGTGGCAGACGGGGCATGTGTGGGGTACATGTCCTGTGAATTGGCCAAGGGAGTTCACTGCTGCTGGGTGGTGACCAGTCACATAGGGGTTCTCCCTCGCTTGGCCACTGGAAGTTAAATAGAAGGTGTACCTGGGTGACGGCTGGTGTTGGCGTAAAGCACACTGGACCATTGAATGAACTTACTGAACAGACCATTTGAAATGAGATTTCACCAGTCAGCCATGACTTGGGAGTTAGTGAGACTTCATTGCTTGTGCACTTCCAGTAAAGGTGTGATTGTGCTCTCCTTAATAATGTTGCATCTCTTGGTGCCCCAGTTTTATGAAGGATACGGACAGACAGAGTGCACTGCCGGGTGCTGCCTGACCATGCCTGGAGACTGGACCGCAGGTATGGCTGTAGGAGGCTCCTTTTTGGAATTTTGTTATTCATACTGGGTTATTGGTATGTCTGGAATTGGGTTAATCACTGACTGGTTCATTAACCATCTTAAACAAAAGTGCTATGTTTCTGATCATTAGGCTCTGGGGGCAAACACTCTTGTAAGTCAGGGCACTGTGGGGAGAACACCTCCTGCAACTGAGGGGTGGCGCTGGGGATCTGACTGTAAAGCTGGTGGCAGCAGAGACTTGCCTAGACTCTACTAGTGACATCTGAGAGGGGCCCTGTGTTCCAGATTGAGAGTGTCTGGCCCAACAGAGCTTCCTAGTAATTGAGTAGGGTCTCGTTATTTGCTGGTCATTTTAAACAACAAATAGTTATTGAATTTGTACTGTGTGCTGTGCTAGGTGTTGGGACTACCAATAGGAATAAATACAAGTCCTTTTTCTCAAAAAGTCATTTCTCAAAAGGAAAAAGGAGGAGGACAAACAAAAATAATTGAGCATCTGTCATGGGTAAGCCTCTGTGATGGGTGCTTAGGATGTACCTAATGTCAGTGTAACCCCAACAGTGTCCCTGTGAGATAAGTTCTGGTACTTCTCAGAGGAAATTATAGATTGTTGCTTAAGTAACACATAAATGATGTATGAGAATTTACGCGGCATTATGCTTTGGAGCCAGGATTTCAACCCCGGCCTGACTGCAGAGCTTCTGTGCTTCCTCTGTGTCACCTGAGTAGTAAATTCTACACTGTGATAAATAAACTTCCCAGCTTATTTGGAGTATTATAAGTATTAGCACCATTTAGTAACATATATTCTAGAACCTAGCACTGTCCACTAACATCATTGTCCTGGAATTAACGCAGACAGTCTGTGAATCTTCTTTATGGTATTTGTTTAATTTTTAACCTCAGTTTCCTTAACAGAGAATTTGGAATACTGATCTCTAGAAGCTCAAATTATTAAAACATAGGAAGAATTATTTGTGATATCTAATGTGATATCTAACATATCTAATGTCTGTTGTTGCTGCTTTTGGAAAAGACAGCCCAGTCTTAACAGCCTTTGGCAAGAGAGTTAAGTTAGCTGTAGAAATAAGCACTGTCCCGTCTTAGTAAAAACTGTAAGACATGCTTCTTCATACGCAAGGAAATAAAGGCCGTGTTGATCAGAACCAGGTGGTGCGTGAGGTTTGCCAAAGCTGCATATGTTCTCTCTTCTTACAGAGAACAGGATGCTAAGAATTCTGTGTAAGATGAGTGCAAGTAATGGGTGGGGGCGATCGGAGGGTGGAAGCCGAGTGAAGGTTTGAGAGAGGCTGCTTCCAGGTGTTTGTAGGAACCTTCACATAGAGGCCAAATTACTCATAAATAACTCAGAGCATCACACTTGGAAAAGGTCCTGAAGACACTAAATATGTTCTTCCCTAGTCTAAGAATAGACTCTCTTAAATTATACTAGGAAGAGAATGGCTGTAATTGCAGAAATCAGAAGTTTATCCCAGCCGTTTTTCTTATGTGGAATCCTGTTTGCTATCAAAATAATTTGACCTGAGGTTATGAGTAGTTCCCTTAGGAATGACCATTTGCTTATTTAATATACAGGCCATGTTGGGGCCCCGATGCCGTGCAATTTGATAAAACTTGTTGATGTGGAAGAAATGAATTACATGGCTGCCGAGGGCGAGGGCGAGGTGAGTGAAAACCGTCAGTCATTTTCCCTCGCTGCCATTTCCTGTGATCGCTGGCCTTTGCGAATGCTGTGGTATTTCCCAACAGCTCAATAAAGCCATTGAACTTGACTTCATTGGTGATCCTGGAGTCTGCCAGGCTTCTTTCTGAGGGTACATTTATGTTCAGCTCTCGGGGAGTGGGCAGGAGGGACACTGATGCCTGTCTTCCTCTGCCAGGCCTCATAGGGATTTGGGCTGGAGAGCCTGCAAAGAAAGGCCCGGTGGCCTCAGTTCCTGGGACGAAGGTCCTGCCTGTTGATTGCCCTGGGTACCTATTAGTGAGCTGCTGGCTGCTGGATGGGAAGCCTAATTACTTAAAAGTGATTTCATCCCCTGCGGGGCTTTCCAACAGCTTTGAGCCAGAACCTAGGGCAAGCATTTGCCCTACAAATCGGCCAGAGCTGAGGTAATTCAGGAAGGGAAGTAGGGGCACTGGAGATCTCTCGCAGACCCTGGTGGGGCTCTGGTAACTCCCTCTGCATCCTGGAGTTTAGGGCTTCCAGCTAAAGGTTGGGGCAGACACACACGTACACACATGCACACACCAGTTTTCTCTGGAAAAACCCCAGTAAATGCTGTTCACTGATGATCTTCTTTTCTTTAGGTGTGTGTGAAAGGGCCAAATGTATTTCAGGGCTACTTGAAGGACCCAGCGAAAACAGCAGAAGCTTTGGACAAAGACGGCTGGTTACACACAGGGGACATTGGAAAATGGTTACCAGTAAGTTGCCGCCTCCTCAGGTCACAAACAGTTCAGTTCCACTGTGGGGAAGAAAATGTCTTATCTACTGTGCAGCTGCCATGTGGCAGTGGCACCCTGAATTTTCTCTTTCCCTTCCTCCTTGGTGAGTGGTATGATGTAGACTGTTCCATTTCCTGCAGGGGACAGGGTTACACTTAGCATCCTTGGTTGGATTTTCACTTTCACTTCAGCGAATATGTTTTGTTCTGATGCTTTTTTGTTTCTTTGTTGTGTTTTTGGGGTTTTTTTTTTTTGAGACGGAATCATGTTCTTGTCACCCAGGCTGGCTGGAGTGCAATGGCGTGATCTCGGCTCACTGCAACCTCCACCTCTCGGGTTCAAGTGATTCTCCTGCCTCAGCCTCCCAAGTATCTAGGATTACAGGTGCCCACCACCACACCTGGCTGATTTTTATATTTTTAGTAGAGACGGGGTTTCACCATGTTGGCCAGGCTGGTCTCAAACTCCTGACCTCAGGTGATCCACCCGCCTCAGCCTCCCAAAGTGCTGGGATTACAGGCGTGAGCCACCACCGCGCCTGGCCCGTTTTGATGCTTAACATCAATTCTGGTTGTTGCTTCTCAACCGGAATACAAAGAGACAGTGGCTTTTTTACAATATCCGTACTGAGCCGTGATGTTGAGGCCTCAGTTAAATAAGATCTGGGGGAAGTTGTGGTAGACTTCCAGCAATGTAGGATGGGTAAGGATTTGGGAATAAATGTGTTTCTTAGGTTTGTCATCTCATTAAAAATAGGGTGTTTCACAGATTAGGCGAACTCCTTGAATTTAGTTGAATGTAGTCTCAGAACCATTTACTGTAGAGAAATTCTGAAGAGTCTATCTTAAGAGTGAGAAGCTTGTGCAAGAAGCCTGACCTGTCCTACCTGTTGGTTTGACCAGTAATCTGCTGTTTCGAAGTTATTATGATGCTGATTGCAAGCCCTAAAATTACAAATATAATTTTTATTACTGTGTATTGGCAGATTCTTGTAGATTTTAGGTGCTTATTTCTTTGGAATTTGTATTGATTAGAAAAATACCTCCCAAAATTACTTCAGATTTTGCAATACCCAAACTATTTAGAGCTAAATTAAGTCCCCCTCTTCCGGTTCAAGAGAGATTAAATGTCAGTTCCAATTCTACTGTGGCACTCACGAACACATCCCATAGTCTCTCTGGACCTTGGTTTGCTCCTTTTGAAAATGGAGAACTGGTGTGGAACAAAAGAACCCTAGACACTTTCTACAGATGACTTTTGGAGGCATGAGAGTGGCCCCGGGGTGGGGATGGGGTAAAAGTGGGACTAGGGTTTTGCTTACGGCACTACTGGGATGTGGCTGGTCTGGTCCAGAGATGCTAGAGCACTTCCACAGTTGACTCACTCTTCCCAAAGGGCCAAGAGCACCCCTCCAGACATCGAGGAAGAAAACAGGAATTTGGCCTTTGTGTAGGAAACATTTCTTGAACTCTTACTCTGTGCAGAGCACTTTGGAAGGAAAAGTTGTGTTCCTGCTATTAAGGAACTTGAGTCACTTGGTGAGCCAGATGTGTATGCGCCTAATTCAGACAGGAGGCTAAATGAGCCAGCAAAGCCTTGCTAGTGTTGACCAGTCAGTGGTGCCAAGTGGTGACGCTGAATAAGCACGGGCTCTAGGACCCCTTCTCTGTCTCTGCACTTGGCCAAATAGCCTTGGACAAGTTCCTCAGTCTCTCTAAGCCTTTGTTTTCCTCTCTGTAAAATGGGATCATAACTGACCTCTGTGGGATGTTATTAGAATTAATCAATAGTGTGTATTAAATACCTTTCAGTGTTGTACTGGGATCCATCCTGGTTGGAAACCAGCCATCAGCCCATTCATAACCCCCTCCCCTCTGATCAACAGAATGGCACCTTGAAAATTATCGACCGGAAAAAGCACATATTTAAGCTGGCACAAGGAGAATACATAGCCCCTGAAAAGATTGAAAATATCTACATGCGAAGTGAGCCTGTTGCTCAGGTGTTTGTCCACGGAGAAAGCCTGCAGGTATGTGCTTTCTGGGTCTTGAATCTTGCTGCATACACATTGCCATTGCCTGGTACTCCAGGGGCTTTAAATGTGATTGGAAGTTTGAGACGCCTATCACTTGGCTTTCATGTCTAATCTGCTAGAATATCATTGACCTGTTACTGATTTTTGTTGCTTGGCATTTCCTGCTCAGGAAAATTTGTTCTCTTTAATTTCCACATTTTTATTTTACTTAGAGAGGTCTGATGTACCAAGGGGAGGTTGGATAAACATACTGGGGGACAGGGGCATGGGTAATATATGTTTCCAATTATGAAAGAAAATATTGACATGGGTTATAAGAAAGTTTACAATTTTCAAACATATTAAACCCAGCCTATTGATGATATGCTTCCTAATCATTTTTGAGCAAACGGTGGTTGTGAACCAAGAATACTCAAAGTTGAAAATCAAAATCAGTATTGCAGTGAAACATGTATGGTATTTGCCAAAATGTTGGACAGATGATGCCAAGGAAGAGAGGATCTGGTTTCCTGAAAATTAACCTTTTGGAAAGTTGGGTCAAATGGTATTTCTAGTTCTAGATCCCTGAGGAATCGCCACACTGACTTCCACAATGGTTGAACTAGTTTACAGTCCCACCAACAGTGTAAAAGCGTTCCTATTTCTCCACATCCTCTCCAGCACCTGTTGTTTCCTGACTTTTTAATGATTGCCATTCTAACTGGTGTGAGATGGTATCTCATTGTGGTTTTGATTTGCATTTCTCTGATGGCCAGTGATGATGAGCATTTTTTCATGTGTCTTTTGGCTGCATAAATGTCTTCTTTTGAGAAGTGTCTGTTCATATCCTCTACCCACTTTTTGATGGGGTTGTTTTTTTCTTGTAAATTTGTTTCAGTTCATTGTAGATTCTGGATATTAGCCCTTTGTCAGATGAGTAGGTTGCAAAAATTTTCTCCCGTTCTGTAGGTTGCCTGTTCGCTCTGATGGTAGTTTCTTTTGCTGTGCAGAAGCTGTTTAGTTTAATTAGATCCCATTTGTCAATTTTGGCTTTTGTTGCCACTGCTTTTGATGTTTTAGACATTTGACCCAGCAATCCCATTACTGGGTATATACCCAAGAGATTTATAAATCATGCTGCTATTAAAGACACATGCACACGTATGTTTATTGCAGCACTATTCACAATAGCAAAGACTTGGAACCAACCCAAATATACAACAATGATAGACTGGATTAAGAAAATGTGTCACATATACACCATGGAATACTATGCAGCCATAAAAAATGATGAGTTCATGTCCTTTGCAGGGACATGGATGAAGCTGGAAACCATCATTCTCAGCAAACTATCACAAGGACAAAAAACAAACACTGCATGTTGTCACTCATAGGTGGGAACTGAACAATGAGAACACATGGACACAGGAAGGGGAACATCACACACGAGGGCCTGTTGTGGGGTGGGGGGAGGGAGGGAGGGATAGCATTAGGAGATATACCTAATGTTAAATGACGAGTTAACAGGTGCAGCACACCAACATGGCACTAACCTGCACGTTGTGCACATGTACCCTAAAACTTAAAGTATAATTTAAAAAAAAAAGAAAAAGTTGTTAGATTTTAAAATTATTTTAGGATATTTTCTTATAAGAGAATGCACTTATTTTTCTTTGAGATTGCAGCTATTTTCGTTTGATCTAGAATCTTCTCATTCTTTTGATTTTTAATTTTATTGTTAGTAGATTATAAAGAATGGGATATTAGAGATTTTTCTTTAAAAATGAACCTATATACATTTTATTTATTTATTTTCTTAAAGATAGGGTCTCACTCTGTTGTCCAGCTGGAGTGTAATGGCAGTCATAGCTCATTACAGCTTCAAATTGCTGGGTTCCAGGGGATCCTCCTACCTCAGCCTCCTGAGTAGCTGGGATTACAGGTGCAAGCCACCACACCCAGCTGATTTTCAATTTTTTGGTAGAGATGGAGTCTCACTATATTGCCCAGACTGGTCTCGAACTCCTGGCCTCAAGTGATCCCCATTGGCTTCCCAACGTGCTAGGATTACAAGCATGAGACAGGCTTCCTTTTTTTCCTTTTTTTTTTAAAAGCAGTTATCTGATATCCATCACCTTGTTTACTTGACCCTGCTTTTAAAAAAATAAGTATATAAAAGTAAATACGAATTAGAGATTTGTTAGATTGGTATTCCCAGTGGTTTTTTAAAAACATTAATTGCAAAATTCCTGATGCTTACCACATTTTAGAGCCAGGAGTTCTTAATCTGGGCTGAGTGAACTCCTGGGGGAGGGGGGTAGTATGTTCTGAATAGATGAGCCATAACTTTCATCATATTCTCCCAGGGGGCCACAAGATGGAAAAATAAAGAACCACTATTTTAGAGCATTTGGATCAAGCTATGTAATAACTCATTTGTCTGTGTTAAAGGCATTTCTCATTGCAATTGTGGTACCAGATGTTGAGACATTATGTTCCTGGGCCCAAAAGAGAGGATTTGAAGGGTCGTTTGAGGAACTGTGCAGAAATAAGGTAAGGTTCTGAAGGGTCCAGTCTGTCCTCATCATAACTTGGCATTAAATGTACCTGTAGATATTCAGGGACCTCTAACAGAGGAAGTAATTTATTTTTCTTACCCTTTTAGGATGTCAAAAAAGCTATCCTCGAAGATATGGTGAGACTTGGGAAGGATTCTGGTCTGAAACCATTTGAACAGGTATGACCTTCATCTGAGTGGGTGAATTCCTGTAAAACAAATTTTCCATTAAGATTTTTTTACAGGTAGATTATATAAACATATGGGGTGACCTAAAGACATACATGAGGAATAAATAATGGAGTAGTTTGACAGGGGAAAGGTTTTTAAATCAAAAGCATTTATTCTCTTTTCCTGGATATCAGAATATGATCCCGAATCCTATCCTAAGAATAGGATGCCTGTCCTTTGTTGAGAAGGTGCAGCTTGGCTGAAATGAGAGGATGGATTGGATGGCTGGAGAGTGTTGATCCCCTCCAAGGCTTACGTGCTTTTGAGACTGGTGGCCCGTGTCCTTTTTCCTCTTTTAACTGCCTTGTTTATTGGCAGGTCAAAGGCATCACATTGCACCCTGAATTATTTTCTATCGACAATGGCCTTCTGACTCCAACAATGAAGGCGAAAAGGCCAGAGCTGCGGAACTATTTCAGGTCGCAGATAGATGACCTCTATTCCACTATCAAGGTTTAGTGTGAAGAAGAAAGCTCAGAGGAAATGGCACAGTTCCACAATCTCTTCTCCTGCTGATGGCCTTCATGTTGTTAATTTTGAATACAGCAAGTGTAGGGAAGGAAGCGTTCGTGTTTGACTTGTCCATTCGGGGTTCTTCTCATAGGAATGCTAGAGGAAAGAGAACACTGCCTTACAGTCACCTCATGTTGCAGACCATGTTTATGGTAATACACACTTTCCAAAATGAGCCTTAAAAATTGTAAAGGGGATACTATAAATGTGCTAAGTTATTTGAGACTTCCTCAGTTTAAAAAGTGGGTTTTAAATCTTCTGTCTCCCTGTTTCTCTAATCAAGGGGTTAGGACTTTGCTATCTCTGAGATGTCTGCTACTTGCTGCAAATTCTGCAGCTGTCTGCTGCTCTAAAGAGTACAGTGCACTAGAGGGAAGTGTTCCCTTTAAAAATAAGAACAACTGTCCTGGCTGGAGAATCTCACAAGCGGACCAGAGATCTTTTTAAATCCCTGCTACTGTCCCTTCTCACAGGCATTCACAGAACCCTTCTGATTCGTAAGGGTTACGAAACTCATGTTCTTCTCCAGTCCCCTGTGGTTTCTGTTGGAGCATAAGGTTTCCAGTAAGCGGGAGGGCAGATCCAACTCAGAACCATGCAGATAAGGAGCCTCTGGCAAATGGGTGCTCATCAGAACGCGTGGATTCTCTTTCATGGCAGAATGCTCTTGGACTCGGTTCTCCAGGCCTGATTCCCCGACTCCATCCTTTTTCAGGGGTTATTTAAAAATCTGCCTTAGATTCTATAGTGAAGACAAGCATTTCAAGAAAGAGTTACCTGGATCAGCCATGCTCAGCTGTGACGCCTGAATAACTGTCTACTTTATCTTCACTGAACCACTCACTCTGTGTAAAGGCCAACAGATTTTTAATGTGGTTTTCATATCAAAAGATCATGTTGGGATTAACTTGCCTTTTTCCCCAAAAAATAAACTCTCAGGCAAGCATTTCTTTAAAGCTATTAAGGGAGTATATACTTGAGTACTTATTGAAATGGACAGTAATAAGCAAATGTTCTTATAATGCTACCTGATTTCTATGAAATGTGTTTGACAAGCCAAAATTCTAGGATGTAGAAATCTGGAAAGTTCATTTCCTGGGATTCACTTCTCCAGGGATTTTTTAAAGTTAATTTGGGAAATTAACAGCAGTTCACTTTATTGTGAGTCTTTGCCACATTTGACTGAATTGAGCTGTCATTTGTACATTTAAAGCAGCTGTTTTGGGGTCTGTGAGAGTACATGTATTATATACAAGCACAACAGGGCTTGCACTAAAGAATTGTCATTGTAATAACACTACTTGGTAGCCTAACTTCATATATGTATTCTTAATTGCACAAAAAGTCAATAATTTGTCACCTTGGGGTTTTGAATGTTTGCTTTAAGTGTTGGCTATTTCTATGTTTTATAAACCAAAACAAAATTTCCAAAAACAATGAAGGAAACCAAAATAAATATTTCTGCATTTCAGGTGAGTGAGGCATCTTTTTTAATGTCATGTTTAATATTCGGAACAGCCTGTAATGTGCACAAGCGAAGAGCAAGAATGGCCCTGGGCCTGGAATCCTTCCCAGTTGTCTTCTTTTCTTCTTAGTCACCCTCCTCTAACTCAGCTGGCCTCAGGCACTGACAGACACTGACCCGAGCCTCCCACCAGGTTGTCTGTGGCAAAAGTCCTAACTGGTTGTGGAAAAGAAAGTCATGGTGTGAATAACAGAGAAGGTCCTGAAAATGCAGCTTCCTTGCTGGAAAATGTATTTCAGGCGACGCTGGCTGTAACTGGTGATTCCGTGGTGAATGTAATCCCACTATTGTATTTTAGCACTGTTTAGTCATTCTCTTACTGTAGAATTATTTCAGATGTCTCTTTATAGCAGCCAACTTTTTCTTGTTTCTTTTCTTCTATCTCCACCCTATTCCTTCTGTTACCATTTTAAAGATTTTCTTTTCCACAGGTATTAATGAATCAACCCCCTAATTTCTTCCAAGCCTGTTGTGTTTAAATCTAGTTTCCTGTCTTAAATTCTGTTTGGTGTGATGATGTGTACATCAAGCCATGTGCAGATGCTATCTTGTCCATTCTTCCACTTTTATTTATTAAGATCCTTATCTTAGCAGGGGGCAGTGGCGTGCACCTGTAGTCCCAGCTACATGGGAGGCTGAGGCAGGAGGATCCCTTGAGCCCAGGAGTTCGAGTCCAGCCTGCCCCTTAAAAGAATTTTTTTTGAGACAGAGTTTCACTCTTATTGCCCAGGCTGGAGTGCAATGGCACGATCTCGGCTCCCCGCAACCTCTGCCTCCCAAGTTCAAGCTCTTCTCCTGCCTCAGCCTCCCAAGTAATTGCGATTACAGGCGCACGCCACCATGCCCAGCTAATTTTTGTATTTTTAGTAGAGACAGGGTTTCATCATATTGGTCAGGCTAGTCTCGAACTCCTGACCTCAGGTGATCCGCCCGCCTCAGCCTCCCAAAGTGCTGGGATTACAGGCGTGAGCCACTGCACCCGGCAGGAATTTTTTTTAATGAAGATCCTTCTCATGTCTTCAGGGCTTACCTTCCTCCCCTTCTCTCCTGATGAAGTGTGAGGTTCTTAAGGCCTTTCCTTTCTCCCCTCTCCCTTAGCACTGAACACAGGGCTTAGAAACTAATAGATATTCATTAAATAAACCTTTTGAACAAATACTTGAAATTTTGAACAAAGCTCCTCTTGCAATGAGGTTGATAATAAACACTGGGCTCTTTTAAAATCATGGTGAAATTCACATAAAGTTAGCACCGTCACCATTTTTCAGTGTACAGTTCCGTGGCATTCAGGACATCCACACTGCTGTGCTGTCATCACTACCATCCAGCTGCATAAGCTCTTCATCTTGCCAGGCAAACTCTGTACCCATTAAACAACAACCCCCCGTTCTCCCCTCCCGTTAAACTCCTGGCAGCCACCACTTATTCTCTGTTTCTATTAAATTGACTAGGTACCTCATATAAGTGGAATCATACAGTGTTTGTCCTTTTGTGACTGGCTTATTTCACTCAGCATAATGTCCCCAAGGTTCATCCATGTTGTAGCATGTGTCAGAAATTTCCTTCCTTTGCAAGGCTGAATAATATTCCATTGTATGTATCAGCCACGTTTTGTTTATCCACTCATCCATCGATAGGCACTCACTCACACTCTTCTTACCCTCTGGCTGTTGTGAATAATGCTGCAGTGAACACTGGTGTACAATTCTATTGGAGTCCCTGCTTTCAATTCTTTTGTGTATATGCCCTGAAGTAGAATTGCTGCATCATATGGTAATTCTATGTTTCATTTTTGTTTGAGGAAATGCCATATTGTTCGCCATATCAACTATATCATTTTACATTTCCACCAAAAACGCACAAGGGTTCCAATTTCTCCACATCATCACTAACACTTGTTTTCTGTTATGTTCAGAAGTAGCCATCCTAATGAGTGTGAAGTGTTGTTTCACTGTGGTTTTGATTTGCCTTTCCCTGATGATCAGTCATGTCGAGCGTCTTTTCACATGCTTGATTACCATTGGTATCTCTTCTTTGGAGAAACGTCTATTCAAATCCTCTGCCCATTTTTAAAAAGTGAGTTGCTTGGGGTTTTTATGTTATTGAGCTGTGGGAGTTCTCTATATATTCTAGATATTAATCCCTAAACACTGTTTTTAATTCTTAATTTTCACTCCCCTGCTTGGGTTCAGTGCCTCCTCGACAGCACTAGAGATGTGATGGTGCTTCTTCCCTCAAATCAAAACCACCTCAAAAGCCCAGTGGTCTCTCTCCAGCCAGAACAGAAAAGAAAAAATATGATTGATTCCAAGATGGTTGTTTGCCTGGCTGTGTGGCAGTCCTTTCTTCCGTCCAGGCCCCCGGCATGCTAATACCACTTATTTCCGCAACTTCCCTGAGAGCTGAAGTCCCCAGCAGGGCCTGAGTCAGGAGGCCCAAGTGGGGAAGTGAGGGTCTGGCAAGAGCCACCCTGCTGCCCTCAGAGCTCCCCAGGGACCCCTCCCAGGCCCCAGCTCTGCCATACCCTCATTTTACATCTAAACTCAGAAAGCAATCTATTTTTAAGTCTCTTTGGCATGTGGTCATTAAATAGTTTTGTCCCACTCCCTATTTGTAGATTATTGGAATAATTAAAATGTGTTGCTGCACGCCAGGAATATTTTACATAGATTATCCATTTTATACTTACAAACTTTTGAGCCACATGCCGCCATTATTCCAGTTTACAGTTGACGAAATGGAAGTACAGCAATAATTTCATCAGCGTCATGCCCCCAGACAGAATTAGAGCTAGCCATCTGCCTCCAGAGACTGCACTCGAAACCTCATGCTGTGGATTGCTGTTCCTTCATGTGTGTTTTTGGCACTGAACTTCCTGACAAGACCTGGACTGCCTGGTGCCAACAATTCTGCCTCCAAGCTTCAGTACAAATGGTTTCGATTCCAGTCTAATGACTTTGCCTTGCCCCAGTAGAGGCTAATGCCACTTCCCAGAGTTTTATTCTGGTTTTATGACTTAGCAAAAATGAAACCCCAAATCCATCAAGAACAAAAGCTTGACAGAAACACCATTCACCAGGTGTGGTGGCACACACCTGTAATCCCAGCACTTTGGGAGGCCGAGGCAGGAGGATTGCTTGAGCTCAGGAATTTGAGACCAGGCTGGGCAATACAGTGAGACCTCATCTCTACAGAAAATAAAACAATTAGCCAGGCATGGTGGCATTCACCTGTAGTCCCAGCTACTTGGGAGGCTGAGGTGGGTGGATTCCTTGAGTCCAGGTGGTCAAGGGTACGGTGAGCTATGATCTGCCACTGCACTCCAGCCTGGGTGACGGAACAACAACATGTCTCAAAAAAACAAAACAGATACTCTGTATTAGGAGGAACATATGCATGAGTCACAGATACGCAGGTTCATGTGATTCCCCAGAACATCCACGAATCACCAAGCATGGCGATAGTAATAGCTATAGGTATTGTGGATTTGCTAACGGGCAGTATGCTATGCTGTGCTCTTTATGCTCTCATTTAATTCTCACAAAACCCCTGTTAGACGAGTGGCCGGTCCATAATGATGTATTTACCGTCAACTAAGTGCCAGGTGCTACTGTATGCTGTGGAGGTGCAGCAGTGAGTGTGGCAGACGAGATCCTTGCCCTTGGGAGGCTTACTTCCTAATAGAGAGAAGGAGGCAATTGACAAGAAAACAAACGAATACTGCAGATTGTGATGGATGCTTTGAAGAAAGCAGTTGTATTGACAGTGCCCATTTTTAAGTGTTGTGGTCAGAAAAAGGTCTCTTTGAGGAAGTGATATTTGGGGTGATAAGCCGAAGAATGAACAGAAAGCCTTGCAAAGCTCTGGAGGAAACGTTTTCCAACAAAAGAAGTAGTGGGTGCAAGGCCCTGGGGTGGGAAAGAGCTCGATCTATTCAAGGAACTGAAAGGAAGCCGATGTGTCTAAAGCATCATGAACAAGGGAAAGAGTGGACTGGAAAGAAGTTGGTGATGCGGGGGCAGGTTACCAGGCCCTGCCGCCCTAGACGGAATCTCAGTTTTCCACTGGGGTCAGGAGGAAAGGGTTTGGGGCAAGGAGTGACATTCCTTGAATTCCCCTTTTGGGAACAGCTGCTGAGGGATAAGAGGAGAGGCACAGAGACAGGTGGAGATAGTATAGTGTGCGAGGGCAGCTTGAGCCAAGTAAGTGGCAGTGGCTGGAGAAGGAATTTATTTGAAAGCAGTTTGGAGGTAGAACCACTGCATGGGAGGAACCAGGAGCAGAGAGGGCTTGGGGTATGAGCATACTGGGGTAGATGGTGGGGCTGTGCTTACTGAGGCGGGGAAGATGCCGAGGCATGTGTTTAGGAGGAGGGAATCAAGAGCTTGGACTGGAAGTTTTCCCTTGACGTTCCTGTCAGACCACCACTTGAAGATAACACACCAGTCTGCGGCTCTGACTCAGGAGACAGCTCCAGCTGGAGAGAACAGTTCAGAAAGCCATCAGCTAGAGAAGGGATTTAGAGCTGTGGGACCTTATCAGGTAACCTGGGGAAGCTGTGTAGAAAGGAAATGCAGTAGAGGAGGACCCAAGACAGAGTCCTGGGGCCCTCTGACAAGTGGGTTAAAGAAGGAGCCTGCAAGGGTGATTGAGAATTACCTGCCTTGCAGGAACGAGCAAAAACCAAGAGTGCAGTGTCCCTGCAGCCAAGGCAGAAAGGCACTGCAGGAAGGGCTTACGGGGCACAGGTTAAGGCATATGCTGTTAAAAGCATATGCTGTTAAAAGTTGCCAGGCACGGTGGCTCATGCCTATAATCCCAACACTTTGAGAGGCCGAGGCGGGAGGATTGCTTGAGGCCGGGAGTTTGAGGCCAGCCTGGGCAACCATAGCAAGACCTCTGTCTGGAGAATTTTTTTTTTAAGGTAGAATAATGTGGGGATAGTCCACTGCATTCAGCAGTGGTGGTGACCCTGCCAGTAACTGCTCCAGCAGAATAGGGAGGACAGAGCCTGCTGGAGCACATTGAGGAATGAACTCCCAGGAGGTCAGGACAAAGGGTAAATAGCTCTATTTTGCTGTGAAGAAAGTGGACATGAATGGATAACTGCAGAGAGATGTGGGGTTGAGAGGTTCGCTTTTGCTTGCAGGTAGTGGTGGTTTCTAAGATGGGAGATACTGGAGTAGAATGACATGCTGGTGGGAGTGATCCAGCAAAGAAAGAGAATGATTTAGGCAAGGGCTAGCTCGAGAGGTGGGGAGGGTTAGAACTGAACGATAGTGGCGAGACTGGCCATTGATAGGGACTCTTCCATTACAACAAGAGAAGACTTGGCAATGTGGGTTAGATGTCAGGTAGACCCATGGTGATTGGGGTGGAAAGATTAGGGAGCTATCTGAATATTTCTGTGTCTTTTTTTGTTTGTTTGTTTGTTTTCTTTGAGACAGAGTCTCGCTCTGCCGCCCAGGCTGGGGTGCAGTGGCCCGATCTCGGCTCACTGCACCCTCCACCTCCCAGGTTCAAGCGATTCTCCTTCCTCAGCCTCCTGAATAGCTGGGACTACAGGCTTCCACCACCACGCCCGGCTAATTTTTGTATTTTTAGTAGAGATGGGGTTTCACCATATTGGCCAGGCTGGTCTCGTACTCCTGACCTTGTGATCTGCCCGCCTCAGCCTCCCAAAGTGCTGGGATTACAGGCATGAGCCACCGCGCCTGGCCGGTACTTCTGTTTTTTGTTTTTGTTTGTTTGTTTAAGTATTACCTCCTTGTTACGGATGAGAAACGACTTGGAGGGATCAGCTATTTTGTCCAAGTTCAGATGGCTAGTAAGTGGCTGAGCTGGATTTTCTGACTCCAAGGCCTCTGAGCGCCTGGATCACCTTTTTGCTGTTGCTTCCCCTCTGATGCAAAGCCCAATGCCTTGAGCACCCTGAGTGCCCAATCATTGTTGAGTAAGTTCTCTTAAGCAGCCAATCAGGTGCAGGTAACTTTCCACTTTAATTATACCTGTTTGCAGTTCTATGTTAGTCATGCCATAAGGTGAAGGAAGATAAATGCCAGGGACTCTGGAAGTTCCTTTTTATGTTTTCATATTTCCAGTTGCTGTTTCATTTCACAGCAGCTTAGGCAGAAGAGAAACCTGCCACTGACCCCCATCGGTGCACAACAGGTCGATAAAGAGCAGAAGGTCCCAGTAGGGCCAGAACAGGCAAGGGCCATGGGTCAGTTCGACTGGTCAGGCCCACAGCATCCCTCCCCTTCCTCAGCCTCCAGCCCCCTCTTCTTTTATTATGAAAATGGTTTTGCAGCCCAGAATCTGACTGGAGGGAACTCTCCTTAGGCTCCCAGCATAGAGACAATCCTTCCAACTCTTGTCAGCAGAGCGGTGTTGGTGCCCAGTGCTGAGAAACCTCCACTCCAGCTTAGTCTGGAGCCTGCCAAAGGGACCCCCGACCCAGTGCCCTGCCCTGGCTGACTCTTCACCACTGTACCCTGCAGTAGATGCCTCGCTATGTGTTGGTTCAGATTAAACTCACTTCTTTACTCAGCAAGAGTAATTAGGGAAATTTTCCCATCTTATTATTCATGTATTTGGCATAAACAGCGATCTAGAGTTTTCCTTTGGACTCAGTGAACTCCTTTGCTTGGTTGACTTGCTTCAAAGGTAGAAGTCTTGCTAAAGGAATTTTGCTTCTAAGCAGTGTTCTTCAGGTGCAGAGGGATTCTGTTCTTGGCCTACAACAGGATTTCTTTTTCATAAACATATTTTGCATATAAGTTCTTAGTCACTTTTTTATTGAGACTTTTATCGGCTAAGGGGAGTGGGTTTGACTGTCAGATTTCTCTGGCCGAAATTGTCCTTGCTGGATACTAACTAACGCTGCAGTGTTTCTCCCCAAGAACTCCAGGCAGGCCTCCTGCTTTGCATGTGGCTTGTTCCAATTGGAGAGTGAGCAACAGAAGTACCAACCCCAGAGCCCAGCTGCAGGGACAGCGAAGCACCGTGCAGTGAATGGGACACACACTGAGCATACGTGAAAACCAGTTTGCTCACATTCTGCACCAGGCGACGTGTGCAGACACAGAAGGACTCTGGTTTTGGAGTCCCACACCCACTGATATTGCATTCCCCACCCTGCTGTGCTGCTGCCAGCGCCTGGGCCTCACCCGGGCCCAGCTGTCAGTGGGCCACACATTTGGGAGAAGTTCCAGGGCTGCTCCAGGCAGCCTCAGCCACCAGTTCCTGTTGCTGCTGTCTCCTATTGGCTACCGAATCTGGCCACCTCTCACCATGCTCCATTCCCACTCCTTAGGGCGGAGGCCACGTCTTGCCAGGACCATTGCACCAGCCTCTTAGTTGGCCCCCTTGCTGCCTATATTGGTCCCTGCTACTTTACCCATTCTGCAGCAAGCAAGATTTTTCTAAATCACAAGTCTTACCATGTGATTCTCCTGCTTCATTGTCCAGAGGCTTCCTATTGTTCCCTAGTCTGAACTGCTTAATGGAGTGAGAGGGGGGGGCTTCTCGAAATTGATTGTGCATCTAGTCACCTCAGAATTTTTTTGTTTTTTTTTTTCAGACAGGGTCTTGCTCTGTTGCCTAGGCTGGAGTATGTGGTATGATCACAGTTCACTGCAGCCTTGACCTCCCAGGCTTAAGGATTCTCCTGCCTCAGCCTCCCAAGTAGCTGGGTCCACAGGCGTGCACCACCAAACCTGGCTAATTTGTTGGTTTTTTTGTTTCTCACCACGTTGCCCAGGCTGGTCTCAAACTCCTGAGCTCAAGTGAGTCTCCAGCCTCAGCCCCCTAAAGTGCTAGGGTTACAGGCATGAGCCACCTTGCCCAGCCACCTGGGGATCTTAACATGAAGATTCTGATTCACTAAATCTGCAATTCTGCATTTCTAACAAGCTTCCTGGGAACACCAGTGCTGCCGGTCTTTGTGCTACACTTTGAGGAGTAGGGAACTGAAGGGCCCCTGCTTGCCTCCCTGGCCTCATTTCTTGACACTTCCCCAACTCTGTTCCAGCCATGCCTCAGTTATTCCAGCTCCCAAAGTGCATCCTGCTTTTGCTCACTGCAAAGCCTTTGGACAGGCTGGCCTCCCTCCCCAGAGCACTCTCACCCTGGCCTGGCTGCTCCTACAGGATTGGAGATGGCACTTTGCTTAGAAGCCTTCCCTGATTCTCTAAGCCCTGGAAACAAAGAGCATGTTTGTGGCCTGGGTGAGAATGATCTTTATGCTCAGTGATAAGGGGTGAGAGAGCTGGCCTATAAGGTGCAGGGCAGCAGCCAGAGGTTTCGTTCTACAGCAGGTTCTATGAAGAAAGTTGCTGCGTCACCTGGGAGGTGCCTCTGCCAGGTGCCATCTGCTGAGTCCATTCCTGCCTGAGCAGTAAGGGCTCCTGAGGTCAGGACACTGGCCAAACAAGGTCAGCCTCACAGCTGTGTGTATTCTCAGGTCAACCAAAAGTGCTGTCAGAGTGAGCAAGTTCATTACAGAGCTGTGAAAACCTTTTTAAGAAAGTTCTTTTCCAACCACAGCTTGAGGGAGAGTTACAGACACAAGACTCTGCTGTAGACATTTTACTTCTTATTTTTCTGTCCTTATTTCCTTAAAAAAAAAAACACCTTTTCTCTGGGATGTCCTTCCATTTTCTCTTTCTCAGGTTATGCACTCGGTTTTTTACATCTGTTTCAGTTATAAAATTACTGCTTATGCAGGTTGGAAGTCTGCCATTCCTTGGCTAAAGAAATCCTGAATTTTGCTAGCATGCTCCTGCCAGGATCCCAGCACCAGACTCTCCTGACCCTTTGGGGAGCTGAGAATGGAATCTGAAGCATGAGACATTGCATGGTCATGATGTACTGACCAGACCTGTTTAGCCATGTGATTGCAGCTTGGGTAGGAGCAGTGCCAGTTAGGTCTGGAAAAACTAAAACAACATTAGTTACACAGCAAATAAGTTTAGCAGCCGGGTAACAGCACCCAGGAAATGTTGAAAAGCATGTGACATAAGAAGAGATCTAATGTCGTTGTTTGCTACAAAAAATCTTTCTGCCCTCTAACTGTAAAAGGCGAGGAGTACTTCCTTTCTGGATTTTATTTCCTCTTTTTCTTAAAGGGAACATCCAAAAGAAATGATCCTCCTCTGCTCCCCCATGCCTGCCCTCCTGGGATGTGTTAAGTCTGTTTTGTAGTGTTATAGTTACAGAGGTTGAACAACGGGTCTGCTTAAAACAGATAACTTCATTAAACTGCCAAGTTGAGTGAGATATTCCTGTGTACTCAGTAATTAGTAACTGCTGTAGGAAGTTATATAAGAAAGTGGGAAAATTTGAGACATCAGTTCTTTTCCTCTCCGTCATAGAGAATCATACTCTGCCTTATGGGAAATTGACAGGAATGGACTGGATAAATTGTGGAAGAATATCATTTATGTGAAAGAGGAAAAGGGTTAAGCAAGGGCAACTAAAATGTCTAGCCTTATTCATCTTCTTGAACTGACTTTGAAGCAGTATTTACAACGTCTGAAAGTGAGGCGCTCTGTGCTCCAATGACATCGTCGAATCTCCAGGCCCTTTCTTCATCTGCCCCCTGGTGGACCCAGTGCTGAAAAGAAAATTCAACAGAAAAGCTCCCTGGAGAAAAGCTTGAGTCCAATAAGAAATGGCACCCCTTCTGTGTATCGAGGGGCCTCTACATTCTTCTCTTATCTTCATGAGAATCCTGTAAGATACCAAATAATATTCTCACTTAAAATCAAGCTAATGAGGCCAGGCGCGGTGGCGGACACCTGTCATCCCAGCACTTTGGGAGGCCAGGGTGGGTGGTTCTCGAGCCCAGGAGTTTGAGACCAGCCTGGACAACACGGCAAAACCCTCTCTGTGAAAAATACAAAAATTAGCCAGGCCTGGTGGCATGTGCCTGTAATCCCAGCTACTCGGGAGACTGAGGCAGGAGGATCGCTTGAGCCCAGGAATTTGAGACTGTAGTGAGCTATGAAGTCATCACAGCACTCCAGCCTGAACAACAGAGACCTTGTCTCAGTCCAATCAATCAATCAAAATCAAACTAACAATTCCAAAACATGGAATTCATATATACATCAACCTCCATCACAGGGAAGATATAGTTCCACATGGAAGTGTCCAGGCCCAAGCACTCAGTTTATCCCAAGCCTCCCTAAAGTTTTGTCATTATTTTCTATAGTTGGTATAATCAAAGCAATAGTTTTTTTTTTCCATTTCCCAAATATGAAAGCATATAACTTAAGGACCCACCACCTAGGTGTCCTCCAGTGTCCTGAAGCCTCTGGTCCTCTGGTGTCCCTGACGTTCCTTGCAGTTGCTCACATTGCTCCAGGTCACCTTTAGGACTCCTGACCCCGCTGCCTCCACTCCTGCGTTTTCAGCCCATCCCTTCCAACAAGCATGCTTCACCCCACCCTGAACACTATCTCGTTAATGGCAGCGAATCCACACAGGTCTGCAGCAACCTCAGTTCTTGCTTCCTCAGAGGAAAGAATTTGACCAAGGGGCATAAGGCAGAGCGAGAGACAGAGGCAACTTTTAGAGCCGAGTGAAAGTTTATTTAAAAGTTTTAGGCCGGGCGCGGTGGCTCACGCCTGTAATCCCAGCACTTTGGGAGGCAGAGGCGGGCGGATCACGAGGTCAGGAGATCGAGACCATCCTGGCTAACACGGTGAAACCCCGTCTCTACTAAAAATACAAAAAATTAGCCGGGCGTGGTAGCGGGCGCCTGTAGTCCCAGCTACTCGGGAGGCTGAGGCAGGAGAATGGCGTGAACCCGGGAGGCGGAGCTTGCAGTGAGCCGAGATCGCGCCACTGCACTCCAGCCTGGGCGACAGAGCGAGACTCCGTCTCAAAAAAAAAAAAAAAAAAAAAAAAAAAAAAAGTTTTAGAGCAGGAACAAAAGGAAGTAAAGTACACTTGGAAGAGGGCCAAGCGGGGACATGAGAGATTCAAGTGCTGTGTGGCCTTTGACTTGGGGTCTTATACGTTAGCATGCTTTGAGGGAGGGAGCGGTGTTACCTCTCCCTGGATTGTTCCCTTGGGGTGGGCTGTCCTGATGCGCAGTGGCCTGCCAGCACGTGGGAGGAGCCATAAACGCAACGTGTTTACTGAAGTTGTGCACATGCGCAGTTGAGGCGTTCTCCCATCTACCAATTAAACACCATCATTTTGCCTCTTACTGTGTATGCTTGAGCTCACTCACCCAAATCCTGAGATCTTATCCGGAAGCTGCTAATCACCAGCTTCAGATATTTTCTATTGGGAAATTGCCTTTCCCTCGTGCTGGCTGTGACCGATTATTATTGGTCTAAAATAAACAGTTTAACAGCCGCCTGACCATCCCCTGATGGCTGCCTGACTTTCCTGGTTGTAGGGGCCCTCTCCTGCCCTGCTCACGTCTGCCTGACTACCTACTGTAAGGATCCTTCCTTCCTCACCGCCCCTTAGACACACAAGGCTGTGGAGTTTAGCAAACTTTACTAACGGTTAACTGGTGGAAAGAGACCAGCACAACACAGGCACCATCTTAAAATGGAAAACACTGGCCATGGCTTCCCTAAAAAGTAACCTATTGTTCTCCTTGCGGGGAGTTTCTTTTCTGATTGGTTGGAATCTGCTGGGCATGGGGAGTTTCTTTTCTGATTGGTTGGAATCTGCTGGGCACCTCCTCTCCCCTCTACAGACCCTTCTCCCCTATGGCCAGCCTCCAGCCCCCACATTTTTATCAAGGGCTTATAATGAGCCTTTGTGTTCTCTTCCTGCCACCCAAACCAGGCTCCCCACCTGGCTTTCCATATCTACAAGCGCGCAGAGATGCTGTGGTTTCCATCCTCAACAACACAAATCACTACAGAAACTCTGAGATGGCCCTTCTGGGTCAGAATCATAGGTAGGGCTCTCACACAACCTCTGCCCAGAGCACCCCGGGAGTCTCCTTCCTGTGATAGCATCCACTGGCTTTATCAGGTTACCCCGCCCCAGGCATCCTGGTAGACCCCTTTCCCTCTTCCCTCTGCCCTCCCCTCACCCAAGCTGAGAATCATTGCTCTAAGCTGACAGTCTAACTGCGGAAGCAGCATGGAACAAAGGCAGGAGTGGGTTGGAATCTAGCTTCCCTATGAATAGCTCTACAACCCTGGGTGAGTTTCTGTCACGGATTTATCTGTTTCCCCAGCATGCATTTCCCCCTTTCCCAATTTATAGCCCCCTACTCGCCACTCCAGTTCCAGCGGGAATCAAGTGGTCCTAGGAAGCTAATGAGTGTATTCCATTTCCCTGGCCACAGGGATTGGTTCAGGGACAGTGTGATGGTAAATGTTAGGTGTCAACTTGGCTATGCCATGATGCCCAGTTGTTTGGTCAAACACCAGTCTAGGTATTGCCAGGAAGGCATTTTTTAGGTGTGATTACTATTTAAATCAGTAGGCTTTCACTGAAGCACATTACCCTCCATAATGTAGGTGGGCCTCACGCAATCTGTTGAAGGCCTTAAGACTGAGGTTTCCTGAAGAAGGAATTCTCCTCAATCCTGCAACACAGACACTCTGCCTGAGTTTCCAGGCTGTTGGGCCTGCTTTGTGGATTTTGGACTCCTGATGGCAACGTCAACTCTTACCTGAATTTCCAGCCTGTGGGCCTGTTCCTAGAGATTGCAGACTTGCCAGCCTCCACATTTGCATGAGCCAGTTCTTAAAATCTCTGCCCGCTGTCCCCATATGTACATTGGTTCTGCTTTTCTGGAGAGCCCAAATACAGGTAGGTGTGGCAGCCCTTTTTCTGGGAAGGCTGGGAGATACGGAGTCTCTTTCCCTGAATGGTAGAATTCAGACAGACATGGAATGGCTGCCGGGTTTCAAGCTCTGGACCAGGCTCCCAGTGTGTCTGGAATTGGTGGGTTCTTGGTCTCACTGACTTCAAGGATGAAGCCACTGTAACTGTAACTGAGTGTTACAGTTCTTAAAGGAGGCATGTCTGGAGTTTGTTCCTTCTGATGTTTGGATGTGTTTGGAGTTTCTTCCTTCTGGTGGGCTCGTGGTCTCGCTGGCTCAGAAGTGAAGCTGCAGACATTCGTGGTGAGTGTTACAGCTCATAAAGGCAGTGTGGACCCAAAGAGTGAGCAGCAGCAAGATTTATTGAAAAGAGCGAAAGAACAAAGCTTCCACAGTGTTGAAAGGGACCCAAGCATGTTGCCACTGCTGTTCTGGCAGCCTGCTTTTAATCCTTTATCTGGCCCCACCCACATCCTACTGATTGGTGCATTTTACAGAGCGCTGATTGGTCCATTTTGACAGCGTGCTGATTAGTGCGTTTACAATCCCTGAGCTAGACACAAAAGTTCTCCAAGTCCCCACTAGATTAGTTAGACACAGAGCACTGATAGGTGCATTTATAAACCTTGAGCTAGACACAGGGTGCTGATTGGTGTATTTACAAACCTTGAGCTAGACACAGAGTGCTGACTGGTGTATTTACAATCCCTTAGCTAGACGTAAAGATTCTCCAAGTCCCCACTAGATTAGCTAGACACAGAGCACTAATTGGTGCATTTACAAACCTTGAGCTGGACACAGGGTGCTGATTGGTGTATTTACAAACCTTGAGCTAGACATAGAGTGTTGATTGGTGTATCTACAATCCCTTAGCTAGACATAAAGGTTCTGCAAGTCCCCACCAGATGAGCCAGATACAGAGTGCTGATTGGTGCATTCACAAACCTGAGCTAGACACAGAGTGCTGATGGGTGCATTTACAAACCTTGAGCTAGACACAGAGTGCTGATTGGTGTATCTACAATCCCTTAGCTAGACATAAAGGTTCTCCAAGTCCCCACTAGACTCAGGAGCCCAGCTGGCTTCACCTAGTGGATCCCACACCAGGGCTGCAGGCGGAGCTGCCTGCCAGTCCCGCGCCATGTGCCCGCACTCCTCAGCCCTTGGGTGGTCGATGGGACTGGGCGCCACAGAGCAGGGGGTGATGCTTGTCGGGGAGGCTTAGCCGCACAGGAGCCCACGGTCGGGGGGAGGCTTGGGCATGGCGGGCTGCAGGTCCCGAGCCCTGCCCTGCGGGGAGGCAGCTGAGGCCCGATGAGAATTCAAGGGCAGTGCTGGCAGGCCGGCACTGCTGGGGGGCCCGGTGCACCCTCCACAGCTGCTGGCCCGGGTGCTAAGCCCCTCACTGCCCGGGGCTGGTGTCACCAGCCGGCCACTCCTGAGTGTGGAGCCCACCGAGCCTACGCCCACCCGGAACACACACTGGCCCGCGAGCGCCGCACAGCCCCAGTTCCTGCCTGCGCCTCTCCCTCCACATCTCCCTGCCAGCAGAGGGAGCCGGCTTCGACTTTGGCCAGCCCAGAGAGGGGCTCCCATAGTGCAGCGGCGGGCTGAAGGGCTCCTCAAGCATGGCCAGAGTGGGCGCTGAGGCTGAGGAGGCACTGAGAGTGAGCAAGGGCTGCCGGCACGCTGTCACCTCTCAATCCCCACTCTAAACAGGACACCCCAACTGATGTTGGGAATTTGGCCGATGACCACTCTAGCTACTTCCTGCTGGATAGGGGTGATGAAGGGGCCCTGCAGTTGTAGTGTCCTCCAGAGGGGAGCTCTCTAGGCCAGTAAAAGTGCCAGTGGACTGGTCCAGGGGTCCTCGGTAGAAGTTGTTAGTTGAACTCATTTGGGGTTCCATTTGTAAGACCATCTGTAGCTTGACGGCCTCAATTCTAGAGGAAACAAATTTGACAAGGAGGTTAAAAATACAGAGCCCGAACGTGAGTAACAGCAAGATGGCTGCCACGGGACCTTGAAAGGGGAGAAGCCACATTGCCCAACTCCAGAGGTTGGTATAAGAATTTGAAAAGCATTGCCTGATTTCAGAAGCCTTTTCCTGTAAACGCCGGGCGGCATCTCGTACTATCCCTGACTGGTTAGTGTAAAAACAACACTCTTCCCCTAAGAAGATGCAGAGTCCTCCTTTCTCAGCAGTGAGGAGGTCTAGGCCTCAGCGGTTTTGGAGAGTCTGTGCTGCCAAAGAGTCTATTTGGGATTGTAGAGTAAGAACAGATCCGTTATTTCTTGCAAACTGTCTGAGAAATCCTTTGAGAGTGTGTGGTAGTAGGACACTGAAGTAGATAAACCAGCTATTCCAGTTCCTGTAGCAGTAGCCATTCCTAACCCTATAAGTAGGGGTATTAGTTGTATGGCTCTGCACTGATGGACTTGAACTTTGAGGGGTATTGATAGAATCTGATTTCCTGGGCAATGTTAATGTTGGGACTTAGAAAGACTAAGATGCAGGTGCTGGTCCAGTTAGTGGGGAAGCAGATGTAGGTCGATGTTCCACATAGGAAGAATATGCCTTGGCTGGGTAGACAGAACTTTACCCTGACTTTTAAAGGAATAGGGTACTATGTTTTTTCTTTACTATTTCTATCTCTCTCTTTCTCTGACTTCTTCTTTGTCTCTCTCTTTCTCTCTGACTCCCCCTTTGTCTCTTCCTCTCTTTCCTGTTTTGTCTCTGTTTCTTCCTCTCTCTCTCTCTGACTTCCTGTCTCTTTCTCTCTTTCCTTTGACTCCTTCTCTTTGTCTCTCTTTTTCTTCCTCTCTCTCTGACTTTCTGTCTCTTTCCTTTCTACTGGTCTTTCCCTGCCTCTGCCAGCTGCTTATGCTGCTGTTCTCCCCTCTTCTTCCCCTTTTTGATGGCTTTGGCAGTGTAAGACTGCCACCTCCTTGGGTTCCTGCACTGCATGCAATAACTCTATAATTTCCTTGTGGTATTTAGTGGGGGTTCCCCAGAGGTTAGGAACTCCCTTTCTTTCCATATTGCAGCATGGGCATGTAGGATTAGATAAGCATACTTGCTATCTGTATACACATTTATTCTTTTTTCTTTTCCCAGTTCTAAGGCTCGGGTAAGGGCCACTAGTTCTACTAACTGGGAACTCGTCCCTGGGGGAAGAGGCTTACTTTCAAGTATGGTTACATCACTATGGTGTAACCTGCCTTTCGTATCCCATTCTCCACAAATGAACTTCCATCGGTATGTAGGTTAAGGTCAGGATTAGCTAAGGGGACTTCTAAGAGAGCATCTCAGGTGGCATAAGTCTGGACTATAATTTGTTGGCAGTCATGCTCGATTGGTTCCCCATCCTCTGGGAGAAAAGTAGCAGGGTTGAGGGCCACGCACGTGCGTATTTGAAGCACCGGTCCCTCAAGGAGTAGCGCCTGGTATCTAAGTAGGCGGTTGTCTGATAGCCATAAACTTCCTTTGGCACCTAGTATGCCATTTACATCATGAGTAGTCCAGACAGCGAGATCCTTTCCTGGTGTTATTTTGATAGCCTCTGACACTAAGATGGCCACTGCTGTAACTACCCTTAAACAGTGAGGCCAGCCTTTTGCTACTACATCAATTCCTTACTTAGGTATGCCACTGGTTGTGGGGTTGTCCCACGAGTCTGAGTATGGACTCCAAGAGCTATCCCAGCTATCTCTGTGACATATAAAGAGAAGTTTTGTCCTGTGGGAAGGCTTAAAGCTGGAGCTTGTACTAGGGCCTGCTTTAGGGTTTTGAAGGCTGTTTCTGCCTCTGGTTCCCATTCTACTAGATGAGTATTTGCCCTCTGGGTCTCCTTAATTAGAGTATAGAGGGGCCTGGCTATCTCACTGTATCCGGGGATCCATAGTCAGCAAAAGCCGGTGATTCCAAGGAACCCCTGCAACTGTTTTAATGTCTTAAGGTGAGGATAAGCCAGTATAGGCTGTATTCGTTCCTTGCTGAGGGCCCTGGTCCCTCTGGCTAAGATTAGGCCTAGATACTTGACCTGTTGTAGGCAAGGCTGGGCCTTTGACCTAGACACCTTGTACCCTTGATTAGCTAGAAATTTCAAGAGCTCTAGAGTAGCCTGCTGGCATGAGGCTTCCGAACTGGTAGCCAAAAGTAAATCATCCACATACTGAAGGACCAGAGTGCCTGGACTTGAGAAGTGGCATAGATCTTGGGCCAGTGCCTGACCAAACAGATGAGGTCTATCCCCAAACCCTTGGGGCAAGACTGTCCATGTAAGTCGGGACGTGTGGTCTGTGGGATCCTCAAAGGCAAAGAGAAACTGGGAGTCAGAGTGCAGGGGAATACAGAAGCAGGCATCCTTGAGCTCCAGAACCGTGAACCATTCTGCTTCCTCTGGTATTTGAGAGAGCACAGTATAGGGGTTGGGTACAACTGGATATAGAGGAATTACTGCCTCATTGATGAGTCTAAGATCTTGCACTAGTCTCCACTGACCATTCAGTTTTTATACTCCTAGAATTGGGGTGTTGCAGGGACTGCTGCATTTCCTTACTAAACCTTGAGCTTTTAAATATTTAACAATATTCTGTAATCTTTTATTAGCTTCAGGCCTTAAGGGATATTGCCTTTGTTAAGGAAAAGTGGTGGGATCTTTTAACCTGATTTGGGCTAGGCGGGCATTTTTTTGCCCTTCCAAATTGTCCTTCCAATGCCCAGACTTCAGGGTTGATTCTCTCCTCAAGTAGGGGACAACAAATGGGTAACTTTTTCCCCATATTCATGTAGATAATAGCTCCAGCCTTGGCTAATATATCCCTCCCTAATAAGGGTGTGGGACTTTCAGGCATAACAAGAAAGGCATGTGAAAAGAGCAAAGTCTCCCAATTACAACTGAAGAGGTGGGAGAAATACCTGGTTACAGGCTGTCCCAGGATTCCTTGGATGGTAACAGACCTTGAGGACAGTCGTCCAGGACAGGAGATTAACACTGAGAAGGCGGCGCCAGTGTCCAGGAGGAAGTCAATTTCCTGGCCCTCAATAGTTAAACGTACCCATGGCTCAGTGAGGGTGATGACATGTGCTGGTGCTTGCCCTGGGCACCCTTAGTCCTGTTGTTGGATCATCTGGTTAGGGGCTTCTGACCCAGGGAACCTTCGTCCTCTGGGGCAGTGCACCTTCCAGTGATTGCCTCGGCATAGCAGACATGGACGAGGGGGCAGCTTATTTCTCATTGGACAATCTTTTTTAAAGTGTCCTAGTAAACCACACTGATAACAAGCCCTACCAGGTGATTGGCCTGCTCCATTTTCTGTCCTCTCTGAACCACCAAGGTTTGTTTGTCTGAGGGCCATGACTAAGGCTGCAGCCTTTCTCTGATCTCGCTTTTCCTTTTGGGCCTGTTCCTCTTGGTCCCTATTATAGAACACCGAGGTTTCCAGGTTTAATAATGCCTCTAGATTTTGTTCAGGGCCCAGGGCTTGCTTTTGGAGCTTTCTCCTGATATCTGCAACTGATTGGGTAATAAACTTATCTTTTAGAATCAATTGACCCTCGAGTGATTCGGGTGACATGGGAGTGTATTTTCATAAGGCCTCCCATAGCCACTCAAGGAAGGCGGAAGGATTTTCTTCCTTTCCCTGAGTTATGGTGGACATCATTGAATAATTCATGGGCATTTTTCTAATTCTCCTTAGTCCTTCTAAAACACAGGTCAACAGATGTTTACAACTCCAGTCCCCATGATCTGAGTCAAGGTCCCAGTGGGGATCCATACTGGGGATGGCTTGCTGACTGGTAGGGAATTTGTCCCTTTCTTCGGCTGTCATTCTATCATTTACTTGACTAAGATACCAGGTATCTCCAAACTCTCAGGCTGCAGCTAAAGCCGCATTCTTTTCATTAAAGGCCAGGGTTTGATCTAACAGTAGCATGACATCTCTCCAAGCGAGGTCGAAGGTTTGCCCTAGACCCTGTAGGACATCTGTGTACCTATCAGGATCATCTGAAAACTTCCCCAGGTCTGCCTTGATCTGCTTTAAGTCAGAGAAGGAGAAGGGGACATGTACCCGGGTTGGGCCAAATTCCCCTCCCCCTACAGCTTGAAGGGGACATAGCCGATAACCTGGGGGTTTTTGTGGTCCTTTGGAGATTTCTTTGCTTATTTCCTTCTGGATAGGGGAGATTAGAGAGGATTATCATTAATAGGAAGGGGAGCTATAGGGAGGCTAGGATATGGGAGTAAGCTGAGAGGTCCTCTTGTGGGATGTAAATTGTAAGCTTTGCATAGTTGTGTATTTTCCCTCAATGAAAAGAAAGCTCGGACATAAGGTATTTCACTCCATTTGCCTTCCCTCTTACAGAAAAGGTCAAGCTGCAGGATACTATTATAATTTGTACTTCCCTCAGGTGGCCATTTTTCCCCATCAGAGAGAGAATATTGGTGCCAAGCTGCAGGGCAGACCACCTCTTTTACAGGGTTTATGGGTCAAATTGGTGCCAACGGCTTAGGATGCATTTCAAGGGTGAGCCTGTTGATGCCTGAGTGTTTCCCATCTGAAAGACAAAACCACCCGCGGTTTTGGTTTGTTTTGCTTGTCCCCCTGCCCAAGAACCCACAATGGTCCCTGGACCCTGCTGATCGGAATAGTTGCACTCACCGACGCAGCAGCAGAAACACTAGTTTTCCTCCCAGACCACATGGAGGACCAAGGAAGGTCGGATTTAGTGGCCCTTACCAACACATTCTCGAAAAACTGTTAAGGGTCCTAAGCATTCTCCTGTTAGTATTGGGACTTTATCCCTGTCCTATAAAGATGTTATGCCCCAAAAATGAAGTGGAGGGCCATACCCTGAGGGAGGGAAGGGATGTCCAAGGCTGGAAGAGTGACACCTTTTATCTTCACTTACATGAATAGGAAGGATACAATTTCTGAGGCTCCTCATAGCATACCTTCAGGAATAGCTTTTGTTAGGCCTGCTTGTCTGAGGAGGGATCCTAAAATTCCAGAAAAGATAGTCCCCCCCACCAAGATTGTGCCATTGCACTCCAGCCTGGGTGACAGAGCAAGACTCCATCTTGAAAAAAAAAAAAGAAATTAAAATAAAAAATATAAATAGGCCGGGCGCCGTGGCTCACGCCTGTCATCCCAGCACTTTGGGAGGCTGAGGTGGGCAGATCACGAGGTCAGGAGATCGAGACCTTCCTGACTAACACGGTGAAACCCCGTCTCTACTAAAAATACAAAAAAATTAGCCGGGCGTGGTGGCGGGCCCCTGTAGTCCCAGCTACTTCGGAGGTTGAGGCAGGAGAATGGCATGAACCCGGGAGGCAGAGCTTGCAGTGAGCCAAAATCAGGCCACTGCACTCCAGCCTGGTCGACAGAGCAAAACTCCAACTCAAAAAAAAAAAAAAAAAAAAAAAAAGAACTTACTCATGTAACCAAATAGCACCTGCACCCCAATAATTTATGGAAAAATAAAATAAATAAAAAATAAAAGCAATAGCTTTAGTAAGAAAGGGCACTTGCAGCATACCTACCAAATATCATATAAAGTTTAGAAACATACAATAATCAATACATTATTTGGGGCTATATCAAGGTAGAAAACCACAGGAATGATACACATAAAATCAGAAGAGTGGTTATTCTTTGGAGGAGGAGGATACCATTCAGAGGGGTACCCAAGAGTTATATATAAAAATGATCCATATCCCCATGTAGTGCTGGTTACACGGATGTTTGTTTTTATCTTTACATTACACGTTATATTCTTTCATATGCATGAAACGTAATATTTTTGTCGTAGTAAAATATACATAACAAAATTTAGCATTTTAACCGTTTTTAACTTTACAGTATTGTGGCATTAAGTACCTTCACCTTGTGCATCCATCCACCACTATTTCCAGAACGTTTTCATCATCCCAAACTGCTTTTGGTATCATATCCAAGAAATCATACCAAGTCCAATGTTATGAAGTTTTTGCTCTGTTTTCTTCTAAGAGTTTTAATTTTAGCCTTTATAGTTAGGTCTTTGATTCATTTTGCGTTAATTTTTATACGCGGTGTAAGGTAAGGGTTCAATTACATTCTTCTGCATTACACATTTTTAAACACAAACAAAATAAAAGAACAAAAGGAACCCTGTCCATTTACAAATGAAGGTATTGGGATAGCGGTAAAGTAACATGCTAAGCTCAGACAGCTGATAAAGGCAGCAGGGGCTGGAAGCCAAATCCTGTAGGCCTGGAAAGACGACTGCGGCCTCAGCGACAACAGCTGCGAACACGGGTCTCCACCCACCCTCTTACCTGCCCACGACTCAGGGACACTAGCTCCTCCCCTTTCCCCACCCCACAAGGGGCCGTCCCACGTGGCTCCCGGGCTTTCTGGCGCCGGAAAACTGGCGATGCGGGTGGGCGCGAAAGCCCGGAAAACTTTGGCATGTTTTGGACCGTAGGTAACTGGTTGTGCGGCATGGACTCCAGCTCCGTTGCGCTGTAATAACCAGACCCAGTTTTCCCTCACGCTCCAGGCCAGGGAGGAGCCCGGGGGCCGCTCAGGAAGTCCTGCGCACGCGCGCGTGCTCGGCCCGGATTGGCTGTTCGGAGCGGCGAGGGGCTTGGCGGGAGCTTCCAGTCGCTCGAGAGCGGAGAGCGGCACCATGGCCCCGCGGGGGCGGCGGCGGCCGCGGCCTCACAGGTCTGAGGGGTAAGTACTGCCGACCCTCGGGAGCGCGGGGCCGGAGACCAGCTTGAACTGCTTCCTCGCCTGCCGTGGTTTGCGCCTCCCGGCGCTGTTGGTGCTCCACTGTGGAGGTCGCCCGAGTGGCCAATCGCCCGGGTCCCCGGCTTCCTCCTCAGTCTAGTGGGGATAACAGTGATCCCACCTGCACGGGCCTGTCGGGGCCTAACACTGCCTGGCGGGTGGGAGAGACGTCAGCCAGTGTCGTGTCGTTTTGTGGGGAGGGGGAGTGCCGTCCAAAGTAGTGAGTCTCAAAGTGCTAGCTTGAAAGCAAAATATTCAGCAAATACGTATTGCCTGCGGTTTGCCAGACTTTGTTAGTGGAGTTTTATTCTCTGACTGGGAATCAGTTTTCTTATTTTGAAGACCCTGGTGTTTTCTTACTGCAAACCACAGACCGTAAACTGGAGCATAAATCCGGCTGGGGGACCGAGCTGCCGCTTGCGGTTCTCCAGGATGGCTCGAGCGGTTTTTGTTTACCAAAGAAAGCGAGCGTTTGGTCGGTTGCAAAACGCGCTCTAGAATGCTGGTCGCTGATTCGTTGGCGAATGGCCATCCAAGGCCCGGCCTGGATCTGGCGGGAAGGGTCTCGGCTTGCTGCAGACGGTGCACAAAGCCATACGCCAAGACGATCTGAAGAGAACAGGAGTTCCCCCGGGCCTGGGAAGGCTGCCTGGAGGAGGAGGTGCTGGTAGATGCGGGGTTAGGGTGGAAAAGCTGGAGCAGGACACCGCAGGTGGGTGGGGAAACCGAGACCAGACTTCTGTGGCCAGTGGAGGAGAATGAAGACTCCCCCAGTGCAAAAAAGGATTAGAAGAGAATGTCAGCCTTCAATGTCAGCTGAAAAGAGTTTATCTGAAAGGCTAGTGGTTTTTGTTGTCTTTTTTTATTTTTATCTTTTAACATTTTTGGGTTTGAGACTCATGAAATCTGTTCATGCCTCCTCCCAAAACACACTTACGCACATACAACAGAATTTTTTTTTTTTTTTTTTTTTGAGACGGAGTCTCACTCTGTGGCCCAGGCTGGAGTGCAGTGGCGCAATCTCCGCCTCCCAGGTTCAAGCGATTTTCCTGCCTCAGACTCCAGAGGAGCTGGGATTACAGGCGCTCGCCCCCACGTCCAGCTAATTTTTGTATTTTTAGTAAAGACGGGGTTTCACCATGTTGGCCAGGATGGTCTTGATTTCCTCACCTCGTGATCCGCCCTCCTGGGGTTCCCAAAGCGCTGAGATTACAGGCATGAGCCACCGCGCCTGGCCCAGAAATTTTACCTGTGGGTTGTCACAGAGGTTTCTGTCTCTCAGAAGCCCCACCTTGACTCCAGCGTAAGGCAAGGAGGAACCTTGACTTTTTTTCCCCCCCAAGAAAGGACAAGACAGCTCAAAGAGTTTAGGTTAAGAAGTTTATGTGGTCTAGTGTGTAGCTGGGTTTCTGTTACCTGGCTATGTGACCCTTGATAAGTCACTTAAATTTTCTGAATCCCGGAATCATCATCTATAAAATTGCCATAAAACCAATACTTGTCTTACCTGCTTCCTTAGGTTTCATGAATTAAATAAATAAATCGTGAACTTGTTAGAAATGCAGAATCCCAGACCTCACCCCAGAGGGACTGAATCAGACACTCCTGGGGTGGTGCCAAGCAACCTGTTCAACAAGCCCTCTTGAGAATTTTGATGACACTCAAGTCTGGGAACCACCGCTCTGAACAGTTTTCTAACTTTTTTTTTTTAACTGTGATTCACAGTAATGATGTTTTACATCACACTTAGTACACGTGTGCACACATCCACACATAAAACAAAAGGCTTGTGAACATAGTATATCCAGTGCAATGCTTCATTTTATATTTTCCTTTTTTATTGTTTGTTTTTTTAAAAATGCTGGCCTGGCAATCTTAAAAGACATTATAGGACAATTGATGTGATTTGGGTATGGACTGTAGATTAGATTATGGTATCAGTGTTAAATTTCTTGATTTTAGAAATTGTACCATGAATATGCAGTATAATGCCCTCTTAGGAAAGACATATTGTAGTATTTAGGGGTGGAAGTGCACAGTATCTCCAGACACACACACACACACACACACACACAGAGCACATGAGTAAAGGGCATACAGAAGGTCCTTGTGCTATGTTTGCAACTTTTCTGTGAGCTTGAAATTATATCAGATAAAAGGATACTAAAACATTGGTTTAGACTAAGCTGATTTTGCTGTCTACAAATGAGAAAAATATGGCTGCAATCTGCATGGCATATTTTAAAGTCTAATTATGTACTGTATTCTCCTGGAGTATCCCCCCCGTACCCTTGTACGATGCCTGGTTGGTGGAGGATAGTCTGTACATATTCACTGACTGCTGGCACTATTATTAGTAATAATGATATATAATCCTGCCACTGTTATTTCCCGTTTTTATTCTTGTCACCATTGTTACATTTGTTTTCTTGAAGCTTGTTGAAGATATATATACAACTTTATCATTTGAAGCTGTGGTCCAACTGAGAGAGTGTCAAGGGAGGTCGAGGGCAGGCCCTGGATTTGAACTGATGTAAATTTTAATGCAGGCTTGTCTCCCTCCTGGCTCCGTGTTGCTGTGGGCAAGCACACATCTGTAACATGGGATTCACTTCTACCTTATAGGACTGTTAGAATTAAATGAGAAAAGGACGTAGGAGAGCCAGGCACCGGATGGAGCAGGTGTCGGGGCTTAGCGTTAGCCTACCTCCCCTTTGTTCAGCTGTGCAGAGAAAGTCAATCACTGCTGATTGATTAAGGCCTCAGGGAAAAAGTTAACAGCAGGATTCCAACTTTTCCATGTCCCTGAGGGGGAGAGGTATGTTATTTTATACATTGGTGATAGGATTTGACCTATAAAAAATAAATTTGTGGAATATGGGTTCTTGTTTTTTTTTTTGGTAAAAATGCGCGGAAAGGGTCATAACTATGGTGTTTCCTCAGTTATTTTAACTATTTCCTAACTCTTGTGTTTTTTTGCTGTTTAATAGCGCAAGACGTTCAAAGAACACTTTAGAAAGAACACATTCCATGAAAGATGTAAGTTACCTTTTTGTGTTGTGGTTTTCTCAAAATTGACAGTACAAAATAACATTTTTTGGGTACCTCAGTTTTGTAGACTTCACTTGGCAAGTTCAATGTTTATTGTAGTGAAAAAGTGTGTTCATTTTCCTCACACTTTTTCCGGTATAGTGGATAAAATGACTTTTGTTAATGTTTTAGAATTTCCTTTATTTCTGAGCCGAGTTTGGTTTTATTTTCGTTTAGATAATTGACTTCATGTAAAAATTGTACAGTGCTGTAAGCTTTTTTCACTTAAAGCCATTTCTCCTCATTGTACTTTTCAAGAATTGTTTTATGATTTCATGATACTCCACTTAGTTCACATTACAGGTTTACTTTTCTTTAGAGTCTTAGAATAAATGTATGTTAAAGGCATGTGCATTTCTTTAACGTTCTTGATAGCTAATTCCAGTTTTTTTTTCCAGTGGCTTGTGTGATTGACATTGTAATCTCACATTAACAGTGTATGACAGTGCCAGGCACCCCGGAAGGAGTTCCTTCTGCTTGTTCTGCCCTGGGCTTTCTCTGTCCTGCATAGTCCTTAACCCCAGCCTGCAGACGATAGCTCTCTTCCCCTCTGGGAAACCCTGGGATCCCCCTGCAGGGTTTTGCTCAGCGCTCTGCTCCCACCCCGGCATTACTTCACGGGTTCTTTGGGTGGATTTCTCTCAGCTGTCCTGCCTTGCCCCTGCCATTGGTAGCCAAAGTACAGTGTGCCTCGGAGGGATTTCTCTAAGCTCCAGCCTTAGCTGGAAGCCCAGAGTGCCTGGAATGGATTCAGCTTTCCTGTCCTTCCCTCTGCAAGGCAGTCCCTGGTGGAGGCCCCCTATGCCTTGGGAGGGGCTGGAAGACCTGCCAGCTCTCTCCACATTCCACCCCCAAGCACTCCAGGAATGATTCTTTCACTGGGGGCATCTGAATGGTCAAGTTTTTATATGGTTTGCCAATTTTATTTGACCTCCTTTATACCTTCCAGAATTTTCTTATTTTTGTATCTGTTAATAGTACCCTTCCACATTTTCTGGAACTACCATGAAAGTTTTTCTCATTTTATGTATGTTTTCATGTTTCATTAGATTTGGGGTAGCAGACTTCATGGGTGTATCAGTATATTGAACTCTAAACCCTGGTGTCCTTTAGTCAGGAGTTTTTACACATGTGTACCCTTAAAACTGTTTATGAACTTTTGGGTATATGGGCATATTTCCGGAGACAGGACCCATCACTTTCCCTAGGTCAGAGGTTTAGGCAAACTGGCCCATGGGCCAAATCTAGCCTGCCACCTGTTTTTGTATATCCCTGCAAGCTAAGAATGGTTTTTACCTTTTTTAATGGTTGAAATAAAATAAAAAGACTATGTCATAATATGTGAACATGATATGAAATTCAAATTGCAGTGTTCAAAAGTCAAATTGTATTGGAACACAGCCATGCTCATTCTTTTCTGTGTGGTTACTGTCTGCATTCATGTGACAGTGGCTGAGTTAGTAGTCAAAACAGAAACCTTACGGCCTGCAAAGCCTAAAAGAATTTACTTTCTTGTCCTTTATAGAAAAAGTTTGCCAATCCATGCCTTAGGTTATCAAAAAATTCTATGTCCCCAAAAAGTGTTAGCTTGCTTCTTTCTTTTTATTTTAACTGAAACATTGTAATTGTACACATTTGTGGGGTCTGATTTGATCTTGCCATACATGTCTATGTTGTATAATGACCCAATCAGGGTAGGTAGTGAATCCATCACCCCATGCATAAGGATTGCTTCCTTAGGCAGCAGTGATTACAAGAATATTCTTGCTGTATAAATCAACCTATTGTTCTTTGTGAGAGCCAACTCAATGACTCAACTTTATTCACTTTTAGAAAGCTGGTCAAAAGTGCAAGCCTATTGACGTGTTCGACTTTCCTGATAATTCTGATGTCTCAAGCATTGGCAGGCTGGGTGAAAATGAGAAAGATGAAGAAACTTATGAGACCTTTGGTTAGTACTTTAAATCTTTATCCTAACATAACTCTAAAGCAACAACATTTAGGCCAGATATAATAAAAAATAGAAGTATCTTCAAATATAAAAATTAGTTGCCTGCATGTAAATATAATGTTCTCTGGGGAGTACTTGATAATTTGAATTAATTTTCCTCACTTACGGGTACATTGAAACTAAGAACATTATCAAAGCGGCACTCGTCTAGTAGTATTCATTAACAATCTGGTCACATGAGGACGCTTACTATAGTACTCTGTAATAAGGGGAACATAGCATACATTTCTCACTTCACTCTACCATTTGATAGAGCCATTAATTTAGGGAGGAGAAGAGTATGGGTAATTTTCCTTTGTCCTAAACTCATGGAGGCAGGGGATGCTTCGGGAGAGCCAGTGGGAGAGCTTCACCTGTGTTCCTTGGAGTGTGAGGTAAAAGGCCAGTACCAGGCTGGCCAGGAGTGTGTGAGTTGTCAGGGTGGGCTGCTTGTGTCACTGGGCACTCCAGAAGCCAGAAATGACAGAGAAAATGCCATGTGTCCCCACATCTAGAACTGCAGTAGTCAGGCATTTTTGCTGGAATAAGTTTTAAGAGAATTTTGAAGGCTTTTGGTTTAATTTTTTGTTTAAAGAAAATATTATACATTTTATAAGGTGAAATGTATTCACCAGAATAATGTCTTTTATTATGACTTGATAAAAATGTCCTATTTGTCTAAAATCTAAATCTAAAAGATCTGAACCTAAAACCCCATAATTTTAAAAATGGAAATGAATTCACATACCATAAAATTCACCCTTTTAAGGTGTACATGTCATTGGTTTTTAATTTATTCACAAGGTTGTACAACCGTCTGCATTATCTAATTCCAGAAAATTGTTATCCTGTAGAGAACCCTGTACCCATGAGTGGTCACTCCCTCTTCCCCCTTCCTTCAAGCCCCTGGCAGCCATGAATCTCCTTCCTGTCTCTACAGATTTGCCATTTCTGGACATATCAGTGGAATCCTAGACTCTGGTCCTTTGTGACTGGCTTCTTTTACTTAGTTTTCAGGGTTTGTCCATGTTGTAACGTGTATCTACCTCATTCCTGTAAGTTTTTATAGCTCAGTGATACTCCATTGTTTGGATATACCGCAGCTTGTTACCCATTTATCAGTTACATTTGGGTGGTTTCTATTTTTTGGCCACTGTGAATAATACTGCTGTGAACATTTGTGTAAGAGTTTTTGTGTGGACTTTTTTCACTTCTCTTGGGCATATAGTGGGAGCAGAATTGCTGAGTCCTATGGTAATTCTATTTTTAACTTTTTGAGGAACTGTTTTACAAAGCGGCTGCACCACTTTACAATTCCATGGCAGTATATGAGAGTTCCCGTTTCTGCACACCTTCACCAAAACTTACTGAGTTTTTTATTCTAGCCATCCCAGCACCTCATTGTGGGTGTGAGTGTGTGTATGGGGTATGGGTGGTAAAATATAGTTTACCATATTAACCTTTTTTAAGTGTATTAACTCTGTAGCAGATAAATACATTCACGTTGTTGTGCAACCATCATCACCATCCATCTCCAGAACTTTTTCATCTTTCCTAACTGAAATGCTCCACCTATTAAACAACTTCCCATTCTTCCCTCCCCTCAACTCCTGGCAACCATCATTCTGTTTTCTAGGAATCTGATGTAAAAGGAAACATAGAATAGTTGGTTCTTTGGTAACTGGCTTATTTCATTTAGCATAATGTCTTCAAGGTTTATCTGTGTTGTAGCCTGAGTCAGAAATTTTTTTTTTTTTTTTTTGGAGACGAAGTCTTCCTCTGTCACCTAGGCTGAAGTGCAGTGGCGCGATCTCGGCTCACTGCAACCTCCACCTCCTGGGTTCAAGCAATTCTCCCTGCCTCAGCTTCCCGAGTGGCTGGGATTCCAGGCGCCCCCCCCCCCCACCCCCCAGGACCACCACCACCACGCCTGGCTAATTTTTGTATTTTTCAGTAGCGATGGGGCTTTGCCATATTGGCCAGGCTGGTGTTGAACCCTTGACCTCAGGTGGTCCACCTGCCTCGGCCTCCCAAAGTGCTGGGATTACAGACGTGAGCCACTGCGCCCAGCCAGAATTTCCTTTTTAAGCTGAAGAACAGTCTGTATGTACCACATTTTATTTTTATCTACTCATCTGTTAATGGACCCTTGGGTTACTTCTGCTTTTTGACTGTGAATAATTCTGCTATTAATACTAACATGAGTGTATCAATATCTGTTTGAGTCCCTGCTTTCTCCTCTTTTGGACATTTACCCAGAAATGGAATTGCTGGATCATATATATTTTATATTTTCAGGAATCACCATTTCCACAGTGCCTGTGTTCCCACCAGCAGGGCCCAAGGGTTTCAGTTTCTCCACATCCTTGCCTACACTTGCTATTTTCTGGGTGTTTGTTTGGGTGTGAAGTACTATCTCACTGTGGTTTTGATTTGTATTTCCCTAATTACTAATGGTGTTCAGCACCTTTTCCGTGTACTTATGGCTGACCATTTGCTTTTTTTTTCCCTTTGACCTTCTTATGTATGATTATTGGCCATTTGTATATTCTTTGAAGAAGTTTCTGTTCACCCTTTGCCCGTTTTTAAATTGGATTATTTGTCTTTTTATTATGAAGTTGTAAGAATCCAGTTTATGTGAGTGGTTATCTGTGGACGTTTGGGATTGTTCTATTTCTTTTTTCCCCCCTTGTTATTCACAGCAATAGAGTAAATAAATCCCTTTGCCTCGTGGAGGGCAATACAAAGTATACTACTAACTTAAAAATTGTGCAGTTGATATGTTCATTATTTAAGCAGCTGTTTAGTTGAAAAAATGTTGAAGTTTGCACTGTCATGCTAAACTTTGAGCATGAAGAAATGGTTGCTTGGCTCTTACCAGGCCCCCTTACAGCAGTTCAGCTCTGTCACCACTGGCCACCTCTTCTTCTCCAAGCTCTCTACCCCTGCGTTAAGTCCTGGGTCTCTCCTGTTACTCCTCTTTCCTGAGCACCCGCTAGGAGCATCTTTCTCCTCTTAGCATCTCCTTTCTGTGCCTTTCCACCAAGTTCATTTGCTCTCCTTCTCTTTTATCTTCTTCCTCATTCAAGGTATCTTTTTATGTTATCTAAAGGCTCTGGCATCCCAGAGTAAAGCAGAGAGGAAGTAAGGGAGGCCTGGAATCTCCCCAAAGGGCTTTTCATTCAAAAATACTGAGGGCCCACTATATGCAGGGTACTTTGTGAGGTGACCTCTCTAGGCCTGTTGAGTTTATAGTTTAATGCAGTGGTCTCTCATGCAGAGTGTATGACGCCTGACAGGGATGAGGAAAGAAAATGTTGGACTTCCGATTTATATTTTTATTTCATTAAAATTTCCCCAACCTGGGCAACATAGTGAGACCCTGTCTCTACAGATAATTAAAAAATTAGCTGGGCATGGTGGCATGTGCCTGTAGTCCCAGCTATTTGGGAGGCTGAGGCAGGAAGATCGCTTGAGCCCAGGTGCTTCAGGCTGCAGTGAGCTGAGATCGCACTACTGCACTCCAGGCTGGGCGGCAGAGTGAGGCCCTGTTTCAGAAACCAAAAATAATTCCATGTAAGTGCAGTAATAAAGGTTTATTATTCATAAATATTCATGTATTTATTGGTGATAGGGTTTACAATTTTTATTGTTGAGGTGTGAGATCAAAAACATTTGGGAAGTGGCCTGTGTAATTGATTTTGATTTTGTTAGTTGAACAAAGATTGTTTTGTACTCCATTGTAAGGGAATAAACTACAGTACTGCCCAAATAGCCAGACTTTTAAAGTTGTGCTTCTTTTTTGTCTTTTGAAAGATCCTCCTTTACATAGCACAGCTATATATGCTGATGAAGAAGAATTCTCCAAACATTGTGGACTGTCTCTCTCTTCAACTCCTCCAGGAAAAGAAGCAAAAAGAAGGTACTGGTGTATTTCAAGCAATTGTTTATTCATGGTTAATGGGATTTCTGAGAAACTCTTTAAGATAGAAGCTAATAAAACAAAAGCATTTCAAGATCCTTTGAGCCAACTTGTTATGCTTTTTCTCAAGAGAACTGAGGCATAAAAACTTTATTAATAATTGACACGATAATTATAATAGCTGTGATAACTGACAGAATTCACACCTGATTATCCTAGAAATCATGCCTGGGAAGATAGTTTAGCTTTGAGTCAAATAAGAAAGGAGGGAAAGATTTTACAAGCATAGAATGTTAGGTGATTTTTGGGAGGTCTCTTTCATTTACAAATTCTCTATAATTATCACAAATGAGATGTTTCCTTGTATATGGTAGGTGATAATTACAAAGCAATAAAAAGGCTGTTTCAGATGCACTGTCCCTGAAGTGCATTGGTTTGAGTCTTTGAGATTTATGTGAAGCTATAGGTCCAGAAAATCTCTATAAAAATGATTTCATAGAGAAAACTTGGGAGCAAGTTATATAATGCAGAACTCTTCGATAACTGTAGTACTCATTTAAAATTATCTAGAGCAGCTCTTTGACTTAGGGACCTCTGTTGGGTAACAGGTCAGTTCTAGTTACTAAATGTATTTAGCAAGTATCAAAAGTGCAGTGTATTTTTGTTTGGTTGTTTGTTTGTTTGTTTTTTTGAGATGGAGTCTTGCTCTGTTGCCCACGCTGGAGTGCAGTGGCTCAATCTGGGCTCACTGCAAGCTCCACCTCCCGGGTTCACGCCATTCTCCTGCCTCAGCCTCCCGAGTGGCTGGGACTACAGGCGCCCGCCACCATGCCCAGCTGATTTTTTTTGTATTTTTAGTAGAGACGGGGTTTCACCATGTTACCCAGGCTGGTCTCGATCTCCTGATCTCGTGATCTGCCCACCTCGGCCTCCCAAAGTGCTGGGATTACAGGCGTCAGCCACTGCACCCGGCCAAAACTGCAGTTTTAAAACAAATATCCCAGCTGGGCAGAAATCTGAGAAGTCATTTTGAGATTGTCTACACTAGGGAAGTTTTATAGTACTTGGTTATTTTGGAGACTCCAGCTTATTTTTTTTTTTTTTTTTTTTTTTTTGAGATGGAGTCTCGCTCTGTCACCAGGCTGGAGTGCAGTGGCGCAATCTTGGCTCACTGTAACCTCCGCCTCCCAGGTTCAAGCAATTCTCCTGCCTCACCCTCCCGAGTAGCTTGGACTACAGGCACGTGCCACCATGTCCAGCTAATTTTTGTATTTTTTAGTAGAGATGGAGTTTCACCATGTTGGCCAGGATGGTCTTGATCTCTTGAGCTCGTGATCCGCCCGCCTTGGCCTCCCAAAGTGCTAGGATTACAGGCGTTAGCCACCGTGCCTGGCTGACTCCAGTTTTATATGTTACTGAAAATCAGTAAAAGTCATACATTTGGAAAACGTGCTCTACTTTAAACAGTGGTGAATGTAATTTTTAAACAGGAATATTTTGAGTAGGTAACACCTTCACATGGTTTAAAAATATAAAAAGGTGTATAGTAAGTCTTCATATCATGTCTACTATCCATCTAGCTCCTAGAACCCGATTCTTCCCTCTCCCTTATTATTAATTTCTCATATGTCCTTCCAGAATTTCTTGGTGCATATAAAAGTAAATATGAATACACATTTTAACCCTTTTTTGTCTACAAAAGGCAGCATAGGTTGCTACCTAGGTTTTTTCACTTACTACATCTTAGAGATCTTTACATATCAATACACATGGAGCTTTCTCATTCTTCTACCCTTTCCACAGCATGGGTGTTCCTTAGTGTGATTATCCAGTTCTGTATAGATGGGCAGTCAGGCTGTTTCCAGTCTGTGCTGTCACTCCCAGTGCCACTGGGAGTGCCATTTCACACTTGTGCCTGTGTATCTATAGGATATAGTCATAAAAGTTAAATTCTGAGTCAAATGAAACGTGTTTGTCCTTTTTATAGTTATTGCCACATTGCCACCTAAGTGAGATCAAACTTGGATTTTTGCCAATGTGATAGGTCAAAAATGCTATCCCAGCCTAGTTCTAATTTGTATTCTTAGGAATGATTGAGCAGCAATCATTTAAAAGCTCTTGAATTTCTCTTTCTGCAAACTGTTTATATCCTTTTTCCTATTTTCTAGTTGATGTTGGTCATTTTCTTCATGACTTCATTTAAACATTAGTGAGATTAGCCCTATGTTACAGTTTTTTTTTGTTTTGTTTTGTTTTGTTTTGTTTTTACTGGTTCATCTCTCTTTTGACAAAACACCTAATGGTGGTGGTTTTTTTTTTCAACATAGAAAATGTTCAGTTTTATTTAGATGCAGCGATATATTTATCACTTTTAGCATTTAGGGATTTTGAGTCATAGGAAGACATCTCCCTTCGTGTTTTCTTTTAGAACTTCTATGATTTATATTAAAATCCTTGATCTTTTCTATATATAAATGCAGCTTTTCTCATTATTTTTAATAATGACTTTTAAGAGCTACTTGTTAAAAGCAAAGTTGCTATCTTTATTGGGTTGAGGTAAATTTATACATTTATTTATAAAAGCTGATCTTTATTAGTTTTGGATTTGGTTTGTTCTTGCTTTTCTACTTCTTCAAGATGCATCATTAGGTTATTTATTTAAAGTTTTTCTTTTTTTGATGTAGGCGCTTATAGCTGTAAACTTCCCTCTTAGTACTGCTTTTGTGGTATCCCATAGGTTTTGGTATGTTGTGTTTCCATTATCATTTGTCTCAGGAAAATTTTCAGCTTCCTTCTTAATCTCTTAATTGACCCACTGGTCCTTCATTAACGTGTTGTTTTATCTCTCTGTGTTTGTATAACTTCCAAAATTCCTCCTGTTATTGATATCTAGTTTTATTCCACAGAGAAGATACTTGATATTTCGGTTTTTAAAAAATGTTTTAAGACTTGTTTTGTGACCTATCACGTGGTCTGTACTTGAGAGTGATCCATGTGCTGAGGAGAAGAATGCGTATTCTGCCGCTGTTGGATGAAATGTTCTGTAAATATCTGTTAGGTCCATTTGGTCTACAGTGCAGATTAAGTCTGCTGTTTCTTTATTGATTGTCTGTCTGGAAGATCTCTCCAGTGCTGAAAGTGGGGTGTTGAAGTCTCCAGCTAATGTATTGGGGTCTGTCTCTCCCTTTAGCTCTAATATTAGCTTCATCTATCTGGGTGTTCCAGTGTTGGGTGCATGTATGTTTCAAATTGTTATATCCTCTTGCTGAATTGACCCCTTTGTCATTATGTAGTGACCTTCTTTGTCTCTTCTTACAGTTTCTGTCTTAAAATCTAGTTTGTCTGAAATAAGTATAGCTACTCTGCTCTTTTTGGTTTCCATTGACAATGGAATATCTTTTTCCATACTTTTATTTTCAGTCTGTGTGTATCTTTATAGGTGAAATGTGTTTCTTGTAGGCAACAAATCATTGGGTCCTTTTTTTTTTTTTTTTTTTTTACAATCAGCCACTCTATGTCTTTTGATTGGAGAAGTTAGTCCATTTACATTCAGTGTTATTGCTAAGCAGGGACTTACTCATGCCATTTTACTATTTGTTTTCTGATTGTTTTGTGGCCCTCTCTTCCTTTTCTTCCTTCCTGTCTTCCTTTTAGTAAAGGTGATTTTCTCTGGCAGTGTGATTTCTTGCTCTTTTTATGTATTTGTTGTATTTATTATTTGAGGTTACCATGAGGCTAGCAGGTACTGCCATATAACCCATTATTTTATGCCATTAACAACTTAACCCTGCTCGCATAAACAAGCAAAAAGAAAACTAATAAAAACTACACCTTTACTTTGCTCCCCCACTTTTTAACTTTTTGTTTTTATTTTTATTGTACTGTTTATGTTTTGAAAAGTTATTATTTTTGATTGGTTCATCTTTTAGTCTTTCTACTTACAATGAGAGTAGTTTACATGCATCAGCTACAGTGTTATCTTTTTCCGTGTACTTCATATTACCAGTGAGTTTTATACCTTCAGATGATTTATACTGCTCATTAATGTCCTTTTCTTTCTGCTTGAATTACTCCCTTTAGCATTTCTTTTGGGACAGGTCTGGAGTTGATAAAATTTCTCAGCTTTTGTTTGGGAAAGTCTTTATTTCTTTTTCATGTTTGAAGGGTATTTTCACCAGATATATTATTCTAGGGTAAAAGTTTTTTTCCTTCAACACTTTAAATATGTCATGCCACTCTCTCCTGGCCTGTAAGGTGTCCACTGAAAAGTCTGCTGCCAGACATATTGGAGCTCCATTGTAAGTTATTTATTTCTTTTCTCTTGCTGCTTTTAGATTCTTTGTCTTTGACCTTTGGGTGTTTGATTATTAAATGCCTTGAGGGAGTCTTCCTTTGGGTTAAAGCTGCTTGGTGTTGGTTGTATAACCTTCTTGTACTTGGATATTGATACCTTTCTCTGGTTTAGGAAGTTCTCTGTTACTACGTTTTTGAATAAACTTTCTACCCCCTTTTCTCTACCTTTCTTTAAGGCCAATAACTCTTCGATTTGCCCTTTTGAAGCTTTTTTCTAGACCCTGTAGGCATGCTTCACGATTGTTTTTTCTTTTTTCTTTCCTTTCCTCTGACTGTATTTTCAAATAGCCTGTCTTCAAGCTCACTAATTCTTTCTTCTGCTTGATAGATTCTGCTATTAAGAGACTCTGATGTATTCTTTAGTATGTCCGTTACATTTTTCAACTACTGAATTGCTGCTTGATTTATAAAATTATTTCAATTCTTTGTTAAAGTTATTTGATAGAATTCTGAATTCCTTCTCTGTGTTATCTTGAATTTCTTTGAGTTTCCTCAGAACAGCTATTTTGAATTCTCTGTCTAGAAGGTCATGTATCTCCTGTTTCTCCAGGATTGGTCCCTGGTGCCTTATTTAGTTCATTTGATGAGGTCATGTTTCACTGGATGGTCTTGATGCTTATGGATGTTTATCAGTGTCTAGACATTGAAGAGTCAGGTATTTATTGTAGTCATTGGAGTCTGGGCTTGTTTGGATCCATCATTTGTGGGAAGGCTTTCCAGATATTTGAAAGGACTTAGGTGTTGTGATCTGCATTAGGGGGTCTCATGACCCTGACTGGTGCCCTATGCTACTGTGGCTGAGCTCGTATCCAAGATGGAAAACAAAGTCCTCTCCACTCTTCCCTCTCCTCTCCTCTCACAGAAGAAAGGGGTCTCTTTTGGAGCCATGGGCTGTGCTGCCTGGGCCTGGGGGAGGGGTGATGCCAGTACACCCTTAGCCACACCAGTTGGTGTCTCAGTAGGTCACATGCCCCTACAGTCCACTGGCTCCAAGCCCAGCTCAGCACTAGGAGTTGCCATCCTTGTGGCCTAGACTGCCCGTCAGGCTCACCTAGGGCCCCAGAGCACTTTAGCCCATAGTGGCAAGGCTTGTCAGAGCTCAAGCTCCTGCTGCTAAGATGGGCGATTCCCCTCACACCAGGACTAGTCCAAATGCTCCCTCTGTGTGTGGGCATCAGTTTAGTTCAGCCTGGTTCTGCTTTCCACTGTTACAGGACAGCACTGAATTCAAAGCAAAGCTTCAAAATCACTGTGCTCTCCTCCCAAGAGCACAGATTCTCTGTGCCACGCAGCCACTGCTGGGAGATGGGGAAGGGGTGGTATCAGCGATTGTAGACTCTTTCCTACCCTCTTCAGTGCCTCTTTCAGCAGTGGGAAGTCAAAACCAGGCACTGTGAGTACTCAGCTGACTTTTGTTTCCTGTGAAGGTGTTCCCTTTGTGTAGATAGTTGTTAAACTTGGTGTTCCTGCAGGGGACAATCAGTGGAGCCCTCTGTTCAGCCATCTTGCTCCTGGCTGTTTCCTCTCCTGTTTTTTTCTTTATGTGTAGGTGATTCTGCTGTCAGCCCCCTCTTCTCCGGCCCTCTCTTCTCCATCCAACCCCAGTTCACGCTCATGGTTTTAACTACCTGTGTGCCACCGTTTCTCAAGTTTCTTGTCCAGCCCTTCTCCTGAGTTCCCGGATGTTTTGCACATTGGCCGTATTTCTCTAAATGCCCACAGGCACCTCACTCAACAAAGGCAAAACTGAGCTTCATCCTTTTCCTTCTCATCTAGTGTCAGTGAACTTCTTTGGTGTTCTCTAGGTTAATAGTCTTGCCATTCACCCACTCCCCTCCGATCCAGCAATCTGGGCAATCAGTCTTGGTTTGTTCTGTCTGGCCAGTCCTATTTTTCTGGCCCGTGACTGCCTTGAAAATCCGTTTCTCCTCTCCACACCCCTGCCACCTCCCTGTGGCTGCCATGGTTTGGGGACCTCACTCTCACCAGCGTTCCTGCGGTAGTTTCCTGTCTGGCCTCCTTGTCCCTTATGCCAGCTCTCTCTGGCCTACCCGCCCATACACCTTCCAGAGTGATCTTTTGAAACCCCAGTCTCATCTCACTCCTACGTCCACCTCCTGGTAGGGCTCCCCTTTGCCTGTATGCATGGCATAGAGGGCCCCTGTGCCAGTTTGGATCCTGGGGTGAGTAGACACTGAGGCAGTTAGGAATGGAAGGGGTTTATTAGTGTTACCTGTGAAGGGTAAAGTTGGAAGAAGCAGGATTGGGCAGAGGTGGCCTCAGACTGCACTGCAGTGCCTACGGTTCTGAACAACCCACTGCGGAGCTCTGGAGGAATGAGGGCTGTTAAAAGGAGGCCTGGCCTGTATTGGGCAGAAACGTCGAGGCCCCAGACCCTTGCTGTGCTTACTTGTTGGCTAGAGACTGCCCACAGCTGTGGCCTCTGCCCAGCTGCTGCAGTGGATCCAGAAGGCGCTGCAGTGGGTGCAGAAGGTGCTGCAGCTGGAGGCTGGCACTGACCATAGGAGATCCATGCAGCATGCCTATGTGGGTGCCCTGCAGCCCGTCAGTCATAGCCTTTGACTCTTCCCTAGCGTTCGTTATTTTCTCTTAGAAAATACATTCTATCTGTGCTCTGTTGCATGTTTCTTGAACATGCTGGGCTGTTTTACACCACCAGGCTTTTACATTAACTTTTCCATCTGCTTTAAATGTCCTTCTTCACACTTGTTTTCCTGAAAAAGGTTTTTTTACCTGTCAGCGCCAAGTGTCATAACTGTGATGCTTTTCCTAATACCCCAGCTGTGTCTCCACATCATCTTCTCTGTCAGATGCTTGCCAGGTCATCACTCTGCACCATCTTTGGCCTTCCCACTAGACAGTGAACCCTTTGAAGGAAAGCCTCTCAATTTTAAAGTAATTTTATTCACTGTGCTTTGCATTTTGAGGTTGGTGTTAAATAAATTTGTTGTATTGAACAGAATGAAAAGATGAGTTTTCATCTCCCATCAGAAGTTAGGGCTATTTTTTTCCTCTTTAAAGGATAAAAGAAGGTGTTCCCTTTTCTGTCACCTAAGGATGGGCCTAGTGGATTAGCTTTTAGTACAAATGATGGCCCGTATTCCTGGGACTGGTAACTTGGAGAAAAGTGCAGTTCTCAGACATCACCACAGGTGCTGCAGTAATGGAACAGGTTACTTGCTTGCCTGGGATAAACTCATGTGGCCTGGGTATGGGAAGATGTGGGAGGCAGCAGTAAACCCAGGAAGGTGGCAGACTTGTATGTGACAAATAGGATATTTCCTCATTAAATTGAGTCTGTTTTCATGTTGAATGAGCAAGTTAGAGAAGACATGTGAATATAAATGGAATGTGTACAAGATATTGATGGCTTGTACTTTTTACAGTTCAGACACTTCTGGAAATGAAGCAAGTGAAATCGAATCTGTAAAAATTAGTGCAAAAAAGGTATGTAGGAGTATTCACTCTTCTACTTTAATTTGTAATATAGTTTGATTGGATGCAAGTACAGAAAATGTTCTGTAAAATATTTCATTTCCTCTTTAGATTGGATGCAAATAGAGAAAACATTCCGTAGCACCATTTTTCATAAAGTTCTATTTTTAGGATATACTTTTATAGTAAAAACCAAAATATTTTTGTAACTGAAGTGTTTTTCATTAAAGAGGTCTCACATCTCTATGTACTTTGTCAATTTTCATAGCATTCTTGTACTGTGGTTAGGTTGTGATTTTAAAAGGCAGAGTGAATTGCTGGGAGTGATTATTGTAACCTTTGATTTAGGTTTCCTGTCCTATCCACTAATTAAGTTGCCGTCTTCCTATTATGTTCAATTTTGAAGTGTAGAAGTGAGAAATGTGGACTATATATATGGTTTTCTACTATTACAGTAAGAATTATAAGCATTTCTATTTTCTACATAAGTACTGCTGTTTTTTCTTTCACACAGCCAGGAAGAAAGCTCAGGCCCATTAGTGATGACTCTGAAAGCATTGAAGAAAGTGATACAAGGAGAAAAGTTAAATCAGCAGAGAAAATAAGTACACAACGTCATGAGGTTATTCGAACCACAGCGTCTTCAGAACTTTCAGAGAAACCAGCTGAGTCTGTCACTTCTAAAAAGACAGGACCCCTTAGTGCCCAGCCCTCTGTTGAAAAAGAGAACTTGGCAATAGAAAGTCAATCGGTAAGAACGTCTGCCATCCCCTAGGAGGGCAAAAAAAGTTTATTGAAAAATTTTGGGGAAGAAAATGAAGCATTTTCTCTTTCCTTCAGATCTTTTCAAAGATAAATTTTATATTTTCCTTAATGTAATAAAGATGTTTGTTTTAGAAAATCTAGATGGTATGGCCGGGCGAGGTGGCTCATGCCTGTAATCCCAGCACTTTGGGAGACCGAGGCAGGGGGATCACCTGAGGTCAGAAGTTCAAGACCAGCCTGGGCAATATGGCGAAAACCCATTTCTACTAATAAAGTACAAAAATTAGCTGGATGGAGTGGTGCATGCCTTTAATCCCAGCTACTCAGGAGGCTGAGGCAGGAGAATTGCTTGAGCCCAGGAGGTAGAGGTTGCAGTGAGCTGAGATTGCGCCATTGCACTCCAGCCTGGGTGACAGAGCAAGACTCCGTCTTAAAAAAAAAAAAACAAAAAAAAAGCTAGAAGGTATGGAAAAGAAGATAAAATCATCTGTAATTCCATAACCCAAAATAACCACCATGTTTTTTGGTCTATGCTGTTCAGTCCTTTCAGTGAGCTTTAATTACCCTAAGTGAGATCATATACTTATTATTAAGTATTCAACAATGCATAACATTCCATTCATGGATATGCCATAGTTAATCTCTTACTAATCAAGAATTGCTATTTAAAAAATTATAAGTGCTTTGATGAATTTTGTTGTAGCTAAATATTTGTGCATTCCTTAGATCATTTCCTTAGAAAAAAACTGCTGATAAGAATTCTGGGTCTTAGGCGGGCACGGTGGCTCATGCCTGTAATCCTACCACTTTGGGAGGCCAAGGCAGGCAGATCACGTGAGGTCAGGAGTTCGAGACCAGCCTGGCCAACATGGCAAAACCCCATCTCTACTGAAAATACAAAAATTAGCTGGATGTGGTGGCGCGTGCCTGTAATCGCAGCTACTCAGAAGGTTGTAGCAGGAGAATCACCTTGAACCCGGGAGGTGGAGGTTGGAGTCAGCTGAGACCGTGCCACTGTACTGGGCAACAGAGTGAGACTCTGTCTCAAAAAACAAAGAATTCTGGGTCTTATTGGTGCTAAAATTCTTGACATATAATATCTTTTGGTCAAGTTCTTAATATGTGATTAATTCATTTGGGCTTAATTGAATAAATAATTTATGCTAATGTTTGAAAACTTTTTGAAGTATAATAAGTTGTCCCTGCCACCCTGTCTTCTTCACCTTTCCACCTGCTAAACATACACACAGGTAACCGTATAGTTTCTTATATATCCTTCAAATTTCCTTTTGTACATGTAAACAAATATGAATTTTTTTAATTTTTATTTCCTGTCTTTACACAAATTGAAGCAAACTATGATCTCTGTTGTTGATCTGTCTTGGTGAACATCCCATGTGCACTTGTGTTCTGTAAATGTCAGTTGAGGTCAAGTTGATTCAGAGTGTAGTTCAGAGATTTGGTCTCCTTACTTACTGTTTTGTTTTTGGTGATGGGGCATGGTCTGCTTGATCTATCAGTTACATAGAGGAGGTATTTTTTTAACTTCTGCTAAAAGTCCATTGACTTTTGATGTAATTTTAAATATGGTGAGGTTTACATCTACCATACTGTGTTTTCCATTTGCTCCTATTTTCTCTTTCTCTTAGAACTCATTTTGCATTAGTTGAATGTTGTTTTTGTATTCCATTTTATTTTCTCTATTGGCTTCTTAGCTATACCTTTTAAAATTTTTTTCAGTGGTTGCTCCTGGGTTAAAAATATACATCCATAAATTAGCAAAGTCTCTTTAGAATCAGTGTGTTATCACTTCATACATTCTACTTAACAATTAACTACCTTCCACTACATACATGTAATTACATAACAATATTATGTATAATTCTATTTATCCATCCCCATCCTCTGTGCTGTTTTGTCATATGTTTTACTTCTGTGTTACAAGTCTAACCTTACGGTATTGTCATTTCTGCTTGAAAGAGTTGTTTTTTTAAGAAAAGTATGAGAAGCAGCAGCTCTATAGTCTTTTACCTGTCCCTCTCTCCAGTTCACTGATTGCCTGCCTGTAGATACTAGTTTCCATTTGTTATCTTTTTCCATCAGCCTACAGAATATCTTCTAGCATTTCTTTCATGGCAGGTCTGCTGGTGACAAATTCTCTCAGATTTTGTTTCTCTGGAAGTGTTTTTATTTCAACTCTGTTTTTGAAGGATATTTCACTGGCCGTGGAATTCTGAGTTGACAGATTTATTTCCCAGCTCTTTATACCATTCTGTTGTCTTCTGGTTGCCATGGTTTCTGATGAGCCGTGAGTTGTCTCTTTCCCATGTACCTTTACCTTGTCCTGTGCCCCCATTGCTGCTTGTCCTTTGTTATCAGTTATGTTGTTATCCCCATGATAGTGCTTCTGGTAGGCTTTATGTGGTCTCAACCTGGCACATGGGCAGTACTCAGACAAGGACTCTTAGGACACCCCCCACAGGCACCTGTGCTCTCCTGAGCAGCTTATTCCAGGTGCCTCTCAGCTGGGTAGGATTGTCATGCCCTGCTTAGACTTCAGCTCACTATACCCCATCTAGAAATTGTATGTGTGTGGAGTGGGGGTGGTAGTCATGGGGTTCACCTTCCAAGTTTCCCCTTTCTCCAGGAACTCAGTCTTGTGTTGCCTACTGTCCAGTGCCTGAATAAAATTGCCACCCATATTCCCCCATTTTATGGTTGTTTATGGCAAGAGAGCTAGTTTGGAAGCTGTTACTTCACCATAGCTGGAACAGAAATTTGAGCTGATTCCACATGTTGTTATCTTAAGTAATAAAAGTTCAGCTTTTCCATCAAGGCAACAATTGTTAAAAGTCAACTGAAAGTTTTATTTTCTCTTATTTTGTGATAGTTTTGTTTGCAATGCTTCCTTGTATTACTGTAGATAATTTATGTAACTAATCTGTTTTAGAACTAAATGAGAATTGTAGCTAAAGTTTTTTTTCTTCTTGAGACGGAGTCTTGCTCTGTTGCCCAGGCTGGAGTGCAGTGGCGCAATCTCAGCTCACTGCAACCTCCGATTCCCGCCAGGTTCAAGCAATTCTCCTGCCTCAGCCTCCCCAGTAGCTGGGACTATAGGCACGCACCACCACACCCTGCCAATTTTTGTATTTTTAGTAGAGATGGGGTTTCACCATGTTGGCCAGGCTGGTCTGGAACTCCTGACCTCAAGTGATCTGCCCGCCTCAGCCTCCCAAAGTGCTGGGATTACAGGCATGTGCCACTGTGCGCAGCTAAAATATTGAATGACAGTTTGGTGACAGTCTTAATCCTAATGTTTTAAGAGAAAGAAAACTTTTCTTAAAAACTTAATGCTTTTTTTTTTTGTAGAAAACTCAGAAAAAAGGGAAGATATCTCATGACAAAAGGAAGAAATCAAGAAGTAAAGCCATAGGCTCAGGTAGAGAATGATGTTTTATACTTTGTCACTCATTCAGGAATTTCATAAGAGAAATAAGACCCTATTCTTAATTTGTTATAGTAGTAAATTGTAAGTACATAAAATTGCCACTTTTAAAAATTAGGAATATGTGACTTTGGAGTAACATTTTTTTCTAACGTTTTGTCATGAAAATTTTCAACATGCAACTAAGGTGAAAAAAATTTATAGTATATATTCATATACCCACTACCTAGATTTTACAGTTAACATTTTATTATTTACTTTATTAGATAGGTAGTAAAGCAAGTATTAATCCATTAATCCAGTTTTTAAGGCATTTTAAAATAATGTAGACATGAGTACTTCCTCTGGAATACATAAGTATGCACATGATTAACTGGAGTTCAGTGTGTGTTTACAGTTTTTTCTTTGAATGTAAAATGTACATACAGTACAATGTGTAACTCAAGTCACTGTCAACATGTAAAGTCTTTACTCCAGAAAGTTCCCCCATGCCTCTTTCATGTCAGTCCCCACCCCATTATCTCCAGAGGCAGTGGCTTCAGGGATGCTTTTTCTGCCCATGGATTAGTTTTGCCTGTTCTGGGATTTTGTATAAATGGAATCACATAGTGTGTACTCTTTTGTGTAAGGCTTCTTTCACTCAGCATAGTTTTTTTGCAATCCATCTATGTTGTTTGGTGTCATTTTTATTACTGAGCTTATTCCATTGTGTGATTACACTACAGTTGATCCAGTCTCTTATTGATGGACAACTGAGTTGTTTTCAGGTTTTGGCTATTTGAATAAAGCTGCTGTGAACTTTTTTTTTTTTTTTTTTTGAGACTGAGTCTTGCTCTGTTGCCAGGCTGGAGTGCAGTGGCTTGATCTCCGCTCACTGCAACTTCTGCCTCCCAGGTTCAAGCGAATCGCCTGCCTCAGCCTCCTGAGTAGCTGAGACTATAGGCCCACGCCACCATGCCCGGCTAATTTTTTGTATTTTAGTAGAGACGGGGTTTTACCATATTGGCCAGGATGATCTCAATCTCCTGACCTCATGATCCGCCTGCCTTGGCCTCCCAAAGTGCTGGGATTACAGGTGTGAGCCACCGCACCCAGCCAGTGAACATTTTTATACACATTTTTTTGCGAACGTATGTTTTCATTTCTCTTGGGTAAATGAAAAGGAGTGAAATTGCTGAGTCATAGGGTAGGCATATGTTAAATTTTACAAGAAACTGCCAAACTTTGCAAACTGCATTCCCAAAGTGGTTGTATAATATAGTTTTATACTCCTACCAGAAGTTTAAATGTTTAAGTGCACAGTTTAAATGTTGCTAAGAATATAATGAATAACTTCATGTGAATAAATTTAAAATAGTTAGGGGAGGCTAGTGGGGAGCAGGGGAGAGGGGGAGGCTGGTCAGCAGGTACAAAGTTAGATAGGAGGTATAAGTTCAGGTGTTCTGTTGCACAGTAGGGTGATTATGGTTAATATTACACATTTCAAAACAGCTAAAAGAGGATTTTTAGTCTTCTTACCACAAACAAATGATAAATGTATGAGGTGATGGATATGCTGAATACCCTAATTTGATTTTTTTACACAATACATACATGTATTGAAACATCACACCATACCCATAAATATGTACAATTACTATGTGTCAATTAAAAATAAAATTTTAAAAGTGAATCCACCCACCCCCCTAAAATAGAGGAAAAGGAGATATTAAAGAAGGAATTAATTACGGAAGAAGAGTAGACTATCCTGCCAATGGCTTATGTTAACATACAGAAAATTGGGGGCCGGGCATGGTGGGTGCACCCGTAATCCCAGCACTTTGGGAGGCTGAGGTGAGAGATTGCTTGAGCCCAGGAGTTCAAGACCAGCCTGGGCAACATAGTGGGACCCCACCTTTACAAAAAATTTTCAAAACTAGCCAGGCATAGTGGCGTACACTTGTAGTCCCAGCTGCTTGGGAGGCTGAGGTGGGAGGATCACTTGAGCCTAGGACTTCGAGGCTGTAATGAGTGGTGAGCGTGCTACTGCACTGCAGCTTGGGCAACAGAGTGAGACCCTGTCTCAAAAAAAAATTTTTCTAAGAAAAAAAATTAGGGTATGCTTTGCAAATTGATAACACCTTACAGATGTATAGTAATTTATAGTTTTTGTAAATGCATTCACAGATATTTTCTTGCTTGAGTCTCAATAAAAGGGAGAGCATTGTTTTATTCCATTTATCATTGAGGAAACAGCCTCTGGAAGGTTAAATGGCTTGCCTGAGATCTTAGACTAGTAAGAAAGAAGCTCAAACTAGAACCAAGGTCTTCAGATTCCTGTCTGGTATATTACTGTATATTACTACAATTATTTAAATTAATACACTGAGTAATCTTGCTGTATCCTACAAGTGGCCTATCAGATAGATTAAAATTCAGAAAATACAGCTAACAATGAAGAGCTTATCCCCAGTAATGTTAAATAACAGCACAATACTAAATAAAGATGCAGTAAGGTGATTAAAAGGCAGCAATGCTTTTGGTTGCTTTAGCAGAAATAGGAGAACCAGCGAGACAGCAGTTAGAGTGAAAGTGTATGTAGGGGTTTGCGAGACTGTGCACAGGGATAAGAAGTGAGTACGGCACCTCCTCTCTGATTGTTCAGCTGTAGCTATCTTTTACAATTTGGTGAGACTATTTTTGTGTCAGGCTTTCAGAACCCTGGACCTACAGCCAAAATATGAATAACCAGCATGTTAACTTATCTTAATATTTTAGATACTTCTGACATTGTGCACATTTGGTGTCCAGAAGGAATGAAAACCAGTGACATCAAGGAGTTGAATATTGTTTTGCCTGAATTTGAGAAAACCCACCTAGAGCATCAGTAAGTCTTTTGATGATGTGCTATATTTACCTAATAAATTTCCCCTGAAGCACCATTTTTGCTCATCCTACAGTTTTTGTTATGTACTATTTTCATTGTCATTGTTTTAGATATTTTTACATTTTATTATAATTTTTTCTTTAATTCTTTGAAGAATTCATATGTTTTTATTTGTCCCAAATATGTAGACTTTTAAATTTATATTTTTGTATTAACCTTCTATCTTAAATATGTTGTGGTCAAAGATCATGGTCCAGTGATACCTTTTTTTTTTTTTAAATTTTGAGGCTTTCTTCATGACCTGGTACATGATCTGTGTGGAATTTCTAATCATTAGATCTAGATAGAATCTCTAATTATTGGATCTATGTTCAGTTTTTCTTGGTACTTCTATTCATTTGTGCTGTATATATTTAGAGACTATTAGGAAAATCATGTTTAAAATTGCTCTGTCTTGCAAATTGAACATTTTAGTTGGTCACCCACTCTATTCCTAAACATACTTTGTCTTAAAATTTATTTTACCTGATACTAATATGCATCATAGTTTTCTTTTGCTAGCATTTGGCAGATTTTTTTTTTTTTTGAGATGGAGTCTCTCTCTGTCTCCAGGCTGGAGTAGAGTGGAGAGATCTCGGCTCACTGAAACCTCCACCTCCCGGGTTCAAGCAATTCTCCTGCCTCAGCCTCCCAAGTAGCTGGGACTACAGGCATGTGCCACCCCGCCCAGCTAATTTTTGCATTTTTAGTAGAGACAGGGTTTCACCATGTTGGCCAGGATGGTCTCGATCTCCTGATCTCGTGATCTGCCCACCTCAGCCTCCCAAAGTGCTGGGATTATAGACGTGAGCCACTGCACCCGGCCAGATTTTACATTCTTTTTAATTTCTTTTACTTCCAACCTTTTTGCGACCTTAAATTTTAATTTCCTTATTAGTCTTTTTAAATACAGTGTATCAGTCTTTGAATTTCAACTGTTTAGTCCATTAACATTTATTGTAATATCGATATATCTTGAACAATATGTTGATATATTGTTACTTCTTTAACTTTTTTATTCTACTTTTTGATGTTCTGAATTTTTTTTAACTTAAAAAAGTTGTATTTATAACTCCCCACCTTTAATTCTAAATTAAGGTAGATAGAATTTCCCCTTCTGTTGTGTGTGTCTGTCTCTGTTTTTAAGACAACAACAAAATTCACTTAGGTATTTGATCACTTTTATCTCATATATTTTCTTGCAATATCCTGTAGATAAGTATTTTCTCATATTTAAGCATTTCATCCAACACCTCAGTGTGACTCTTTATGTTGCAAAACTTCTAAACCTTCTGATTATTTTGATTATACCCTTGAATTTGAATGACAGCTTAGCTGGATATAATACTTTAGGTTCTAAATTATTTTCTTAAATACTTTGGAAACTTTGTATTCTTTTACATCAAGTGTTGCTTTTGGAAAATTTGATGTCTATCTAATTCTTATTTCTTTGAATGTGATCTGTTCTTTAGCTCTCTAAACTGTTATTTTTTTTCTTTGATATTCTTAAATTTCACTATATTGAGTCTGACCTTTTCATTCCAAGGTTTTTTAATTTTTTATTTTTTTATTCTATTGCTGCTGAACAAATTTTTTTAATTCTAAGAATTTAAAATATTTTTATCCTGATTTTCTTTTTTGTTCTCTTATCCTTTGCTTCATTCACTGGGAGATTTCCTCAATCTAAGAAATTAGATTTGCTAATTTATTCTTAGAAATATCCATTCTGCCATTTGTCCCATCTGTTGAGTTCTTTATTTAACTTAGCTTTTATATTAATATTTCTGCTTTTTTTTTTTTTTTTTTTTTTGAGATGGAGTCTCACTCTATCACCCAGGCTAGAGTGCCGTAGCGCGATCTCAGTCCCTGCAACTTCCACCTCCCAGGTTCAAGCGATTCACCTGCCTCAGCCTCCCAAATAGCTGGGATTACAAGCATGCGCCACCACGCCCAGCTAATTTTTTGTATTTTTAGTAGAGATGGGGTTTCACTATGTCGGCCAGTCTGCTCTCAAACTCCTGATCTCAAGTGATCCACCCACTTTGGCCTCCCAAAGTGCTGGGATTTCAGGTGTGAGCCACCGCGCCCAGCTATTTCTGCTGCTTGCTTTGTGTCTTGTATTCATGTTTTATGCTGCTAATATCTTCCTTAGAATATCTGTTGGGCTAATTTCAAATTACTGGATCAGCTATTCTAAAATACCTGCTTCTGGTAAGGTTTCGGATATAATATGTGTTTTCCGTTTGAAATAGTTGGGTTCCTCCAGCATCCTGTTATTCCAGCCTCTGAGCTTATTTTCCCCTGGGCCTGTCAGCTTCTGTCAGACAGTATGTATAGAAGAAGGCCAAACCCCAGTCCCTGTTAGTGCCCGTCAGTGCAGGGGGTGGGGTAAGCCCTAGGATGGGCAGCCTCAGCGACTCATCTCACAAAACAGCCTGTCAGGTCAGCACTTCACTCCTCGCCCTCCAGAGAGGAGCAGCAGGAAGAAAAGATGGACTCTGGGTCATCATTCTCCAGCATGGGGGTTTGGCTGGGGAAGGGTGAGGAAACAGCTGCCCAAAGTCAGTCAGCCTCCCATGTTTTTCTCTAGGCCCCACAAGTCCAACCCCAGTTTCAGTCTTGAGGACACAGGGACAGAGGTCTCAGTTGCTGCAGGGGGCAGGGGAGCGGGGGTGAGCAGGCACACTATTGATGAGATCGGTGATGGGAAGAGGCAGGAGTCAGTTTCCTGCAGCTCTCTATTCCTGCCCTGGCCACAGCGCCACTCCTTACAGCAGTTATTCTCTCTACATGACCTTCCCCTCAGGGTTTTCACAGCTTTCTCCATTTTCTTGGTATTCCCTCTGTAGTTCTGGGTGAGCTTGGGGAAAGGAGCCAGCCTGTCATGCCAACTCATCATTATCATTGTGAGAAGTGCCTGTTTTACTCTTCTTTATATTCCAGAGCCAGTTTCCTGTTAAAACTAGGACAGTTCTGTTAACACACCCAAGACCATCTTGCTTGTGTTATCCTTTACCTATTCACAAATCTCTTATAGGAAGCTTATTATAGACTTCTGATGTTTTAGGGAAAATGGCATTGTCCCCTTCTAAATCATTTCTTATATCAAGAACTTACCACCCAGTGGGTAGTAAGGACACAGGGACAGAGGTCTGAGTTGCTGCAGTGGGTAGTAAGTTCTTGATATAAGAAATGATTTAGAAGAGGCATAGTATTTTTTCTTAGACTTATTGCAGTACAACCTTGTGTTTTTGTCATACCAAATAAGAATTCTGGTGAATCACTGATCTCATTTTGTTTCCTTGACAATATGGTGTTCTCAGCCACGTGAAACACTTCACTCTTTCAAAATTAAGTCAACAACTGTTTAAGGGTCTGTTTGTAATATCCTGTACCTAGCACTCACACCTGAATAGCTTCACTGTCATATCAGTATGAACTGATGATAAGCAGTTTATGTATAAGTAGGGAAGTATGCCATGAAATGCAACATTACAAACTCTTAGAATATTCTATAGCTGATTCAATTAATTGAATTTTGCCAGATGTTTTAAGTTGCTAGAATTTGGAAGAGCTGTCTTGTGTAGACCATCACCTTTGTGATTGAAAGAATCCATTGATTTATCATTACAAGCCATATGCAGAGAGGCCTGACCAGTTTTTCTTATTTAAAAAACAAAACAAAACTTTCTTTAGATGGGGGGTGTCACTGTGTTGCCCAGGCTGGTCTCCAACTCCTGGGTTTAGGGGACCCTCCCATCTCAGCCTCCAGAGTAGTTGAGATTACAGGCATGTGCCACCATGACTGGCTATATTTTAAAAATATTTTAACATCTGAAAATAATGATTTGATATTATATTACATTAGAAATTCTTTTTTTTAAAGTGGGGCTTATGTAAATTTTTAATTGTGCTAAAATACACATAACATAAAATTTGCCATTATGCGTTTTTAAGAACACAGGTCAATAGTGTTAAGTATATTCACGTTGTTGTGCTATCAGTCTCCAGAACTTCTTTATCTTGCCCAACTGACATTCTGTACCCGTTAAATCACAATTTTCTATTCTCCACCCCATCTCCAGTGCTTGGCAACCACCCTTCTACTTTCTGTTTCTATGAAGTTGACTACTTCGAATACTTCACGGAAATGAAACCATCCAGTATTTGTCTTTTTGTGACTGGCTTATTTCACTTAGCATGTCCTCAAGGCTCATCTGTGTGATAGCTTGCATCAGAATTTCCTTCTTTGTTAAGGCTGTGTATTGTGTATATACAGATAACCATTCCTCCATTCATTGTTTATCCATTCATTCATCAGTTGACACTTGGGTTGCTTCCACCTGTTGGCTGTTGTGAATAATGTTGCTATGAACATGGATGTATAGAAATACCTCATTATTCATGAATTTTTTTGTTCAATGTGTAATAACAAGTTACAACTTTTTTTTTTAATTAAATGTCTTCTTTTGAGATAATTGTAGAATCACGTGCAGTTGTAAGGAATAATATAGGGATTTTATCATATGCATAGGTTTGTGTATTGCATCACCTCCAGGATCCTTGTGTTCTCGTGCCCCCGCTGTCTTCATGTTGCCCTTTTATAACTACACCCACAGCCCCAAGCCCTGGAAACCACTAACCCGTTCTCCATTTCTATCATTTCATCATTTCAGGAATGTTATATAAATGAAACTGTATCGTGTGCAACCTTTTGGGATTAGCTTTTTTCCACTCAGCATAATGCCTTGGAGATTCATCCAAGCTGTTGTATGATTCCATTCCACTTCATTGCTAGGTAACATTCTATGGTATGGATATACCATGGTTTGTTTGACATTCACCCATTGAAGGAATTTGGGTTGTTTCCAGTTTGGGGCTGTTAACACACACAGTGCTGTAAACATTTGGATACATTTTTTTTTGTTTGAACCTGAGCTTCCATTTCTCTGGGATAAATGCCCAAGAGTGCAGTTGTTGGGTTATATGGTAATTGCATGTTTAGTTTTGTAAGGGACTGAGACTGTTTTCCACGGTGTATGATCTTATTTATGATCCAGATTCTCTACATCCTTGCCAGCATTTGGTGTTCTCACTAATTTTTATTTTAGCCATTGTGATAGGTGTGAAGTGTAGAAATATTTTCTTTTTATTGTGTGTTAACTGTGTGCAACTTGTTAAGCAGCCCATCTCTAGAACTAAAGCCTTAGGAAACGGTAGCTTTGTACCCATTCGAGCAATGACTCCTCATTCCTCCCTCCCCCAGCAATCACCATTCTACTTTGTCTCTATAAATCTAACTGTTCTGGGTACCTCATATGAGTGGAATCATACAATATTTGTCCTTTTGTGACTGTCTTATTTCACTCAGCATAATGTCCTCAAGGCTCACCCATGTCATAGCATGTGTCAGAATTTACTTATTAAGGTGGAATCATATTCAGTCATGTATACACATTCATGTCACTTAACAACGGGGATGTGTTCTGAGAACTGCATCCTTAGGCAGTTTTGTCATTGTGTTAACAGTGTACTTAAACCAACTTAGATGGCATGTACTAGGCTTAGGTGTAAGCCTAGTACATGCCGCGGCTATATGATGTGTTGCCTATTCCTCCCAGGATACACACTTGGACAGCATGTTACTGTATTGAGTACTGTAGATAATTGTAGCATGATGGTAAGTTGTGTATCTAAACATAGAAAAGGTACAGTAAAAATACAGTATAAAAGATAAAAAATGAGCCTGGGCAACATAATGAGACCTGTTTTCTACAAAAAAGTTAAAAATTAGGCGTGGTGGCATATGCCTGTAGTCCCAGCTACACGGGAGGCTGAGGCAGGAGGATCACTGGAGTCAAGGAGTTTGAGGCTGCAGTGAGCCATGATCACACTACTCAGTCCAGCGGGGGTGACAGAGTGAGACCTTATCTCAAAAAAAAAAAAGATGAAGTATGTTACACCTGTTTGGGGCACTTAGTAATTTATTACCTAGTATTATGTAGTATACCTAAGTATGTGTGCTATACTTTTACACAGCTAGGCAACACTATAGGTTTGTTTACACCAGCATCACCACAAGTATGTGCATAATGCATTGTGCTATGACATTATGATGGCAACAGTGTCACTAGGTGATTAGAAATTTTTAGCTCCATTATTGTCTTATGGGTCTACCACTGTATGTGCCATCCATCGTTGACTGAGACATTGTTATGTGGTCATGATTTTAACACATTTCCTTTATCCATTCATCTATCAATGGACACTTGAGTTGTTCCCACCTTTTGGCTATTGTGAATAATGCTGCTACAAACATTGGTGTACAATTGATATTCAAGTCCGTGCTTTCAATTCTTTTGTGTATGTACCTAGAAGAGGAATTGCTGGATCATGTGGTAATTCTGTGTTTAATTAATTTAATTTATTTATTTTTTTGGAACTGCCAATACTGTTTTCCACAGTGACTATATCATTTTACATTTCCACCAGCAACACAAGGGTTCCTATTTCTGTACTTTCTCACCAACACTTGTTGTTTTGTTTTTTTTTAATAATAGCCATCTTAATGGGTGAGTGAGCCAAGCCAGGAGAATCAGAGCCTGGCCACCAGATCTCTTCTCCCCAGTGACAGAGACCTGAGGCAGTTTCTTTGAGTCAGCTTTATAGTTTCTGAAGAACTAACACCTGATTTATGGCTACTTTTTGGCTAGTCCAGATGTGTTACACAGTTGCTCCTCCTTTTGCTAACAGGCAAAGAGGGAGGGAATAAAGTCTGCTGGGTCTATCAGTTAGCAGAAAAAGATTGGGAGTATCCATAAGCATTTCTACCTTACTTGGTATCACCTGTGAGGTTGGTCAGTATCAGGGAATTAAGATGACCCCGTACCAGAGGGCTTAGGGAATAATATGTTTGTTCTTTTTCTTTTGCTGATACATGTTTCCGGTGTTTTTTTCAGGCTGAACATTGCCATCTTAGTTATTTAAAATGGTGCTCTCATATGTTCATTGCAGCATTATCCATGATAGTAAAGACGGAATCAACCTAAGTGCCCATCAACTGTGGGTTGGATAAAGAAAATATGGTACATATAGACCATGGAATACTACACAGCTATAAAAAAGAACAAAATCATGTCCTTTGCAGCAATATGGATGCAGCTGGAGGTCATTATCCCAAGTGAATTATTGCAGGAACAGAAAGCCAAATACCGCGTGTTCTTACTTATAAGTGGGAGCTAAACACTGGGTGCACATGGACATAAAGATGGCAACAATAGACACTGGGGACTCCTAGAGGGAAGAGAGACAGAGGGATTCAAGGACTGAAAACAACCTGTTTGCTACTATGCTCGCTACCTGAGTGGTGGGGTCAGTTGTACCCCAAACGTCAGTGTCATGCAGTATGCCCATATAACAAACCCCTTAATCTAAAACATTGAGATTATTAAAAATAAGAGATTAAAGATATTTTTAAAATAAAAAAAGGTATATGCCAAATTGTATGTGTATGTTTGTTTGTATGCTAAGCAAATGAAACACCTTTCAAAATCCATCATGGTACTTAGACTTTTTTTTAATTCCTCTACAGACAAAGAATAGAATCTAAAGTTTGTAAGGCAGCCATCGCCACATTTTATGTTAATGTTAAAGAACAATTCATCAAAATGGTAAGCTCACGGACATGCATTTGTTGGTCTAAGGTTTTTTTCACTAATCCTGTAGCAGCATATTGTTGTCTTAGAAAAGCTTGCATTTGCTGGCAGTATGGTAATAAACTCATTAGAACTATTCATATTCCACATAACTGTTTTTAAACTAAATGTGACACATGTGAAACTAATTAACATTTACTTTTGGAAACTGATGTACATGTGTATTTTTTGTTTTGTGTAGCTTAAAGAAAGCCAGATGTTGACAAATCTGAAAAGGAAGAATGCTAAGGTAAATTATTTATGTGATTAGAGTCATAGAGTCAAACACAATACTAATGTAGAGTTATGCGAAGACTTGACTCTGGGTTTACAGCCTTTAGAGTGTGAGTAGATTTCATAATCTTGTCAGGCTTTTATTTGGTTGATCTTGTGGTTGATACGGTTGGTATTATTAATGCAAGGTAAGGAATGGGGATCCTAGTCACTTTTGTTTCCTAAGGCTGCACGAGTGTCAAAATAATTGTTTTTATAATTAAAGACAGAAATTTAAGCCTTTTATTAATGTCACAAAGGTAGCTTTAAAAAAACTACCCAGTCCAAAATGACCACTTACATGGATAAATATTAATATATATTTATTGCTTTTGTGGATGTCGAAAAGCACAACCTTTTAGAATAAAGAACTGTCCCAGGTAGGACAGCCTGGGAAGAATACTGGGTTAAGGGTCAGGAGACCTCATGTCTAGTCCTGGTTCTGCTGCTTCATTGCTATACCACCTATAAGCTGTATACCACTGGGTCTGCAGTGGGTGACAAGCCAGCCAGCATGAGAGTCTCCTTTGCTTACCTGGAAATGGTTGGACCAAATGACCTCTGAGCATCAGAGGTGAATCCAGGAGTGGAAGTCCACCTCTACATTTAAAGTAGAAGTGGACTTGAAATACATACGTTTTCCTTCCAGTGATTGCAAGCTCTGGGATGTTTTTGTTTTTCAGTTTTAATCTCTTATTGGTCATTTCTGCATTGCTTATTACGGAGTGGGAACATTATGAATGTCTAACAATGGAGAATTAGGTAGTCACTAAAAGTGACTGAATGTCCGAGATAATAAAATATGAAATATTTCTTTTAAAATACAGAGTGGATCACAACACTCCCCTGCTTTGATAGTTTCCTAGTATGCCTAGATAAAATCTCCTCACTTTACAGGTCACAGGGTCCAGTAAAGACCTGGCCCCTGCTTTCCTTCCTCTGGTCATTCTGAAGTAGATACCCCTGCTTTTCTTTTCCAGAGTTCTCTCTTCTTTTCCTACATATCACAAGCTGTAAATACATACTGTTTCTATGTAATGTCTGTCTTCCCCATTAGACCAAAGTCTGTGATGGTAAGAACTGGGTCTGTCTTGTTTTCCACTGCACTTCATTACCTGGCAGCTTATGTGGCAGTGCTCAAACAGTTACAAATTAATTTTAACACAAATGATTGTGTTACTTAGATGATTTCAGATATCGAAAAGAAAAGGCAGCGTATGATTGAAGTCCAGGATGAACTGCTTCGGTAAGATACTGTCAAATCCTGTTTGAGCACTTACCTAAAAGGATGTAATGATGGTGTGTCATTTAGGGGAGTGACACTTGCTGCTGTGATGTATTAAAGCCCCAGGTTATCTTCAAGCTCCGATACTCAGTGAAGGCAGGGTATGCTGCTTAGTTGCCCCACCTTTTGACAAAGGAGAATTCCACACTGATCTATCTCCACAGATTTCTCAGCTCTGGCCTTAAGAGATATAATGCCTAGATTCTAGAATTCAGCTGCCTGGGTTGAATTCTAGAATCTACACATTAAACTGCTTGAACTGCTTGGGTTGAACCCAAGCTCTGCCACTTACTGGCTGCGCAACATTGACCAAGTTATTTAATGTCCCAGTGTCTCAGTTCCCTCTTTTGTATATAGGCATAATAATAATCATACCTATACTTCACAGAGTGTTGTGGAAATTAAATAAGTACATATATAGAAAGTGCTTCACAGGGACAGGCGCACACAGTAAGTGCTGTGTAAGTGTTGACAATTGTTTATGTTATTGTCGAAGGGTATGCCTTGGAGTGACATGCATGTGAATCCACTCCCAAGTGTGGGCCAGGTGAACTTACCAGGCCCTGCAGGCCAGGGCTGCCCCCAGTTTCTGGTTAGGAAGACTGGAGTGCACATCAGCTGTCAGCCCCCAAGTGTGTTTTGAGGCCAGGGCTGTTGTGAGAGCTAGAGGCTTGGTAGTAAAACAGTGCTAGATGTGGTGTCTGCTCCTGAGCTTAAAAATAGCTTGAGAAAGACAGTGATATTATCAGAAAAGAATGTGCATAATGAAAAGTTGAAACTTTTAAAAACTCACTCAAAACTAAGTTTTAAAAAAGAGGCTGCTAGGCCGGGCACGGTGGCTCACGCCTGTAATCCCAGCACTTTGGGAGGCCGAGGTGGGCAGATCACTTGAGGTCAGGAGTTCAAGACCAGCTTGGCCAACATAGTGAAACCCCATCTCAAAAATACAAAAATTAGCCGGGTGTGGTGGTGCATACCTGTAATCCAAGCTACTCGGGAGGTTGAGGCACGAGAATCGCTTGAACCTGGGAGGCGGAGGTTGCAGGGAGCCGAGATTGTGCCAGTGCACTCCAGCCTGGGTGACAGAGTGAAACTGTGTCTCAAAAAAAAAAGAGAGACTGCCACAGGAGTTTAAGTGGGAGAAAGCAGTTGTCTAATCTGTTGGTTTCTAAATTGAGTCTCTGGACAGGTGCTGGCCTATGGTAAGGTTTTCACTGACCCAGGCCAAAATAAGAAAACTAAAGGTAAATATAATAGGGAAAGCTAACATTTACAAGCTTCCTGTGTGGCAGGGCACTTTCCTAAACGCTTCCTATGCTAACTCATCATCATCACAGTCCTATGAGATAAGTGGTTATAGCTACAGTCAGGCCGTGCCTGGTTACACTTGTCTTCGGTGTGAGACTACTGAGACAAGTTTATTTTATTTATTTATTTATTTATTTATTTTTGAGACGGAGTCTGGCTCTGTCGCCCAGGCTGGAGTGCGGTGGCGCTATCTTGGCTCACTGCAAGCTCCGCCTCCCGGGTTCGCGCTATTCTCCTGCCTCATCCTCCCGAATAGTTGGGACTACAGGCGCCTGCCACTGTGCCCGGCTAATTTTTTTTTGTATTTTTAGTAGAGACAGGGTTTCACCATGTTAGTCAGGATGCTCTGGATCTCCTGACCTCGTGATTCGCCTGCCTTGGCCTCCCAAAGTGCTGGGATTACAGGTGTGAGCCACCGCGCCCAGCCTGAGACGTGTTTTAAAGACTGACTTTTGTTTCTTTTCTAGATATAAATTTAGAAATTGAGAAGTGTATTTTGAAAAGGCATAATAAAAAAACCTATGGTATATAATTATTTTAACTTGCCATATGAAAACCTAAGGCACAGGGAGGTAACTTGCCTACGGTGCAGCCCTAGGAAGTCAGGGAGCCAGGATTCACTGTCAGCTGACTGACTCCAAATCCAGCACTCCTGACCATGGCTGCCAGTTCAGTAGTGAGTTTTCCCCAGCGCTGCATTTGTTCAGTGTAAAGAATCGTTAAAGAAGACTTTTCCTGGCTCACGCCTGTAGTCCCAGCACTTTGGGAGGCTGGGGCGGGTGGATCACTGAGGTCAGGAGTTCGAGACCAGCCTGGCCAACATGGTGAAACCCCGTCTCTACTAAAAATACAAAACTTAGCCGGGCGTGGTGTGGGCACCTGTAATCCCAGCTACTCGAGAGGCTGAGGCAGGAGAATCACTTGAACCTGGGAGGCGGAGGTTGCAGTGAGCTGAGATCACGCCACTGCACTCCCAGCCTGGGTGACAGAGCAAGACTCTGTCTCAAAAAAACAAACAAAAAAGACGTTTTTATGAAATTATATTAGAGAATTGTGTTTTATATCTTTATTTGGCAAAATACAAAATTTGCCGCCTTTGCCCCTCATTTTTTTGTTGGTCCATAAAACCCAAGTTATCCCTTTTTATTTTATAGATGAAGAAACTCAGCCACTGAGAGATGAAACAGTTTGCCCCAAGTCACACATTTTCATCCAGGCACTGACAGTCTTCCACTGGTTTTATTAGACTTTGGAAAGTGGACAAGATTTGATAAGAGGAAGGAGCACTGGGAAGGCTTTTTCTCCATGGTTTCTGTGTTAGACTGTAGTGCCTGGCTCCGCTGGTGCGAGCCTCTGAATGTCAACCAGGCATACATTTGATCCAGTAGTTCCCAAGACTTGAACGGCTTGATGAATTTCAGCATTTATAAGGAATATTCTTCTGTGGATATCACTGCTAATTATTCATTGTGCATTGTATTTCAGAGATTTTTTTTCCTACATTTTAAACTGAAACCCAGAATCTTTTACACATTCGTAGTTTCAGAGCCAAAGCAAGTCATCTAGTTGGCCAGCCCCGGTTCTTCACACTCGCTCAGCGTACTTACAACCTCAGTTTCACCACGATAGGCTGGTACATTTTATTATTTGTCACTTATTTTTGTTTTAGGTTAGAGCCACAGCTGAAACAACTACAAACAAAATATGATGAACTTAAAGAGAGAAAGTCTTCCCTTAGGAATGCAGCATATTTCTTATCTAATTTAAAACAGCTTTATCAAGATTATTCAGATGTTCAAGCTCAAGAACCAAACGTAAAGGAAACGGTAACTCCAATTTTACTTTTTACCATGCTTCAGAAGATGATTGTGGGAGGGCATTTTCATGCTAGAGTATCAGAAGCTTTGGGGAAAGACAAATGCAGATACAGAATTACAGAGTCCACCTAAAATAGTATCACTATAAGCCAGTGAAACTTCATTATATCAGCACTTTTCTTAGCTACTTAATGAAGGCTGGAGGAGTAATGTCTAGAATTGCTGATTGTGTAAGGTATTTTCACTCGGACAGCTGAATTTCATCAAGGGAAGTTTTTATTCTGTGTATAAATCTCAATTGAAAAATCACACTCTGCTGTATTACAGTTTTCATTCATGTAAGACCACTCAGCCATGTTCGAAAGACCAGCCTCTTCTGTTTGGTCTAGCCCATGTTCACGGCATCTTTTGCATATGAAAAACAAGCTATTTTCCCGTATAAGTGGTAGGTAGGATTTTAGAAGTTAAGAAACAGGCCGGGTGTGATAGCTCTCACCTGTAATCATAGCACTTCGGGAGGCTGAGGCAAGTAGATCCCTTGAGCCCAGGAGTTCAAGACCAGCCTTGGGCGATATGGTGAAACCCCATCTCTACTAAAAATACAAAAACTAGCCAGGTGTGGTGGTGTATGCCTGTAGTCCCAGCTACTCAGGAGGCTGAGGTGGCAAGATCGCTTGAGCCCTGGAGGTCCAGGCTGCACTGAGCTGTGATCGCACTACTGCACTCCAGCCTGGGTGACAGAGCAAGACTTTGCCTCAAAAAAAAAAAAAAAGTTAAGGAACATTAAAAAGGAATATAATGGGAAAACAAGTTTATTGTTTTAATACATTTTGTAGTTGCTTCTGGATTTTTACTGCAGACTTTGCTACTGTTATGCCATCTGCCTCAGATTAATAGAAATGTTTAAGTTCTAGGAAAGAAATTTGTATTTGTATGCCCTAATATAATTTTATATAATATATATATATGTAATGTATACATATTTTATGATCAGATTTGTATTCACTTCTAAATTCAATGTTAAGGTTTTGACACTGATCTAAATTAATTTTCCTGAGCCTAAGGTTTGTGTATATATTAGAGATCCAGAAATAGAATGCTTTTAAAGGTATTTTTTTAATTACCTAAGTAGTCCAAAGCTTATGATTTGGAGTTTGTTACTAAATTTGGGCAAGTTATCTGTAGCATTGATTCAGCTTGAACATAATACTTTGGTTAAAAGCGAGGTTTAGTGTCTCTGCCTTGTTTGGAACACACCACCTGATGAGCGTCCTGTTCTTAGAGTGAGCTCAATGCCTTCTTGCACTCCTCTTGTATTAACTGTCCCTTTTGCCTTATTAAGTGTAGATATTTGGGCATATGTCTTACTCTAAACATTTAGTGACAAATGTGACTTCTTCCCCTTTATTCCTCCCTAGAGCAGGTGCCCATGGGAGCTTGAACACATTAGTTTGTCAAATATTTGTATAAAATTCCATTATCATGTGTGTGGTAGTCACAGCATGACACCTTTTCTGCTGTCATCTTGAAAACATGCTATTAAACAGCAAACTATCAAAGTATGACAAAATTCTGTAAGAGGAATTTAATCATGCACCCTTAGATACAATTTGCAACTGGAAGTTTGACTTTGTTAATTATTTCAAAATCATGAGTTGGATATTGTATTTTATGTTGGGTTTGTATTCTAATTTTAACATGAATCATTAAGAACATTTGGATTGGCAGCCTTTGAGACATTTAATTGATTCTCCCAATAAATAATTTCTTGAGATGATAGATTTGGGTTTTCTTTTTTCCTTAAGAACTTTTATGGATCTGGTGTTCTCATTCCATTAGTTATTTCAGTTAAAGTAAAACCTGTCTTACAGTTTTCTGTGTTTTAAAATAGACATGATATCAAGCAGATTCTACACAGCACGAGCAGACCTGCCCAAACCAAGCCTTGACATGTCCCAGATGTGATTTCCTGTCTCCAGTAATAGAGATGATACAATTCTTTGAATCAGCTGGTCTTCTGGGATAAGAAGATCAGTTCAAGCTTTGCAGAGCAGCTCCCTAGCAACTTTGTGATCAATTATATTCTAAGGGAAATGGATTAAAACCAATTGTCTTAATGGTCCTAGTTAAAAATGAGAGGAGGAGTAGTTAATGGAAAGCTCAATCAAAATTTGCATTAGTCATAAGATTGGGCTATCTAAGGACAAGGTTATGAGTTTTTGATATTGCTAATTATATAATTTTCTTTCAACAGTATGATTCATCCAGCCTTCCAGCTCTGTTATTTAAAGCAAGAACACTTCTGGGAGCCGAAAGCCATCTGCGAAATATCAACCATCAGTTAGAGAAGCTCCTTGACCAGGGATGAGAAGAGCAGTCTACTAAAATGTGCCTATAGGAAGACTAGTCTCATGCTGTTACCTTCTGAAACTGTACCTTTATAAATCAATTGTTTTGCAAAGAAGTTATGGCCTACTTAGAATCTAAAATTTGTTATTCAAATTAAATGGCTGTGAACAATGTTAAATAGCATCAGTTTGTCCAATAGTTTTAAAGGCCATAATCATCTTTTCTGGTTAATATCTTGAGTAATTTTAAAATGTTGACACCTTAATCGGTCCCAGGTATGAGCTATAATAAACTTGTAAAATTAAGTTGATGTGAACATAATTTTGATTAATTAATAAGGCGATTTCTCCTGAATTTACACCAAAGCTAATTTTTAATGAAATTGGTTTACAGAAGTAAAAAACAAAAATTGGAAAGCAAAGTAATAAAACTTAGTTTATATAAACAGGTTGAATGATATATTTATCAAATCTCACAGACATCAGGCAAATTATAGCCTGGTGACAAAAGTGTTCATAGTGAATTAGTTACTCTTGTAATACTTCTATAATTAGTTCATCAGGAATTTCATCCACTTCACTGTTATAACTGAGAAGACTGTTCTCTGCAGCTTCAGCTAATTCAGCATCTTCAGTAGCTTCTAAAAAATAAGCATCATCAATGCCATTATCCCAGACAGCATCAGCAGATGCACCTGTTGACAGCCTGCTAGGTGATGGTTTATGAGGATTCTGGGTTTCATTGCTCCTAGTTTCATCTGCTTCATCTGTTGTAAACTCTTCTTCCTTTATTTCAGTGGTGAAGGGATAGAGAGTGGGATAGGAAAATATTTACTCAGGATATGTGATTTAACCTTATACTCTATGTTGAAGTAAGGTATTAAGTGACAGATACTAAAGTGAATATGCAGGAGGAATGCTGTCTCCGATATCTCACCGTGGGAATGAGTGCACTGATTCAAACGTTGCTGCACTGAAGCTCAGACACACTTGAAACTCCAAATTTGAAATTACCTACAGTTCTGTGCACATACTTTTCAATACTCCCCGACGGAAGAGCAAGGGTGGATTTAATTTTTTAACAAGTGGACAGTCCAGCTGAAGACAAATCAGAAGATAAATTTGCTATCTTGACAATGGACTTAGTACCCATGCTTTAAATTTTAAAGTATTTAGCAAATCGTAAACATGGATTGAAAAAAGATTAAAAACAGTTGCCAAAATATGACTGGATTGTATATTACATAATAGTATTGTATCAATTATTTTACCATAGAATGTCTTCAGTATAGACATTTAGTTGATCCGCCCAATACATTATTTATGTAAAGAATGTCCTTATTCAGTGCAGTGGCACGTGCCTGTAATCCCAGCTACTGGGGAGGCTGAGACGGGAGGACTGCTTGAGGCCAGGAGTTTGAGACCAGCCCGGGCAACATGATACCCCCCTGTCATTAAAAAAGCTACAGAATGTCTTATTCTTTCCGCTACGTGCTTAAATATTAGATGAAGGGTTTTGATGTCTGCAGTTTAAGAGAGTCATCAAAAATAATGCGTATGTATACAGTAGAGGGAGAAAACCAATGTGGCCAAGTGTTAACAAATGGCAGATCTCAATAGAGGACAGACAGCAGAGTTCCTTATTCTTGTACATTTCTGTAGGTTAGGCCTTTATAGTAAATTTAAAATCAAGTGACCAATGAAATATCAGTGCAATAGAAAAGCAGGTATAAATAACACCAACTGGTAATTTAAAATATTTGTTTTAAAAAACAAGATGAAGCAGGAGAGGCAAAATGTTAACTGAAAACTAAGTGACAGCTACATGGGTGTTCATTATATATCTTACTTTAAAAAGTTATGTCCAAGTAGTGGTAATACTGACCAATGGTACTTTCAACTTGGCATTTTTGAGGTGTTACTAGATAAGCGGAAAAAGTAGCTTAAAAATCCACTGCAACCACGAATATCTAAATCACAATCCAGACTAACAAGGGCGATGCAATCCTCCTCCTCTTGGAGACAGTTTATTTTTTAAAATTTACTTTGTTCTTGGTTATTTCAAAACACATTTTAACCTGGTATTTTGCCAGAGAATCTGGCTATCAGTTATTTTATGTCCAGTTCTTGCAGACCAAGAATGGAATTTCCACCATTTCAAACATATGGAGTTTTTTCGAGAGACGTGTTAAGACTGAGTTTTCTAGAATATAAACCCCATCACCTGTTCTGCTTGTAGCAGGTAACTTCTTTTATTCTATTAACACTATAGAGGAGAAAGCTGACAGATGTGACAAAAAACAAAACACAAACTACAATTTAAAAGTGAAATACGTCAAAAACAGTACTTAATTACTGCAAAAAAGTTACAGAAAAATGGACAGAGGACAGGTACAGGCACTTCATTATAGAAATACTAATAGTGAATCCGAAAAAAGTTCATTACAGAGATGCAAATTAAAACAACTGAGGTACTGCATTTTGCCTACCAGATTGGTAGTGATTCGAGGTAAACAAGCACTGCTGGCAAAGTGTGAGGTAATAGGTGCTCTCATAAATTATCTGTGGAGGTCTAATATCCTATACTTTTTATGGAGAGCAATTTGATAATAGGTACTAAAAATATTTGTGATACTTTAGAAAAAAAACTGAAATAGTATGTGTGCTATCACTTCAAAAAAAAAGAAAATGAGCATACATAAATTCTCGAAGGTACGTGCCAAAACGTGTATCATTTATTTCTGGTCAAATGAGTAAGGAAGATTCTTTCCTCTTTGCTTCTTGTGTATTTCCTAATTTTATGTATTTTCTTTCTTTTTTTTTTTTTTTTTTTTTTGAGGCAGAGTCGCTCTGTCTCCCAGGCTGGAGTGTAATGGCGTGATATCAGCTCACTGCAACCTCCACCTCCCAGGTTCAAGGGATTCTCCTGCCTCAGCCTCCTGAGTAGCTGGGATTATAGGCATAGGCCACCACACCTGGCTAATTTTTGTGTTTTTAGTAGAGATGGGGTTTCTCCATGTTGGCCAGGCCGGTCTCAAACTCATGACCTCAAGTGATCTGCCTGCCTCAGCCTCTCAAAGTGCTGGGATTACAGGCCTGAGCCACTGTGCCTGACCTAATTTTATGTATTTTCAATTCATTCTACAATGCACGTTAATTATTTGGGTAAATAAAAAATCTTTAAGAGAAAAATGTTGGTTTGACAACCTGGTAATACCTACCAAAATTAAAACTGAATATGCCCTTTGACACAATTCTACTTCTAGAAATTCATCCTACAGATACAGATGTTCAAAGAAATACAAAGATGGGTATTTTGTTACTTTGAAAAGCAAAATATGGGAAACTTCTTAAATGTCTGGGACTGATTAAACTGTACACCTCAAGCAGCAGTAAAAAAAAAAAAAAAAGGTTTGTATTATCAGATATGTGCTGAAATGGGAAAATCACTACAATATATTCCTATAATACAGTCATAAGTGAAAACAAGGTAGCAAATGGGTTTCAATGCTATTTGGACACTACTCATGGCTCAGGTATACTATTGTACCAAGAACTCCCTGGTAAGGAGAAAGACACTAAAATCTGTACTTACCTCTTTGAAAAGAAACAGGAGACATACTTCAGCAGGTAATGGGAAACCTGAATCAGAAAGATAGCAAAACTATTACATATTACAGTTATCTAATTTTTACTTTGTGGTAAATGTAAAAATTAGTAACTTACAGTCAGATTTGAAGTTTTCTGCTTTACATACAGGGTCATGACATTTTTGATACCAAACTTCATTTTTCAGATCAACCAGAATCCTTTATGTTTAAAAAAAAAAAAAAAGTATTAATACCAAGACTGGGTAGAAAACAAAATCCAGCTGCATGCTGTTCCAAGAAATATGCCTAAGACTTAAAGATGGAGAAAAATTAAAAAGTAAAAGGATAAGGATAGATACATACCAATCAAAACGGTGGTTGCCAAAAATCACACAAAATGAACTGCAGGGCAAAAAGTAGATACTGATGAAAGTTCCCCCAGGAAGATGTAACAATTCTCAACCTGTACTCACCAAATAATACAGCTGCAAAATATGTGAGCAAAAATGGACAGGACCACAATGATAAACAAATCTACCATAAATCAAGGTTTTTAAAAAACATACTCTCAGTAATTTATAGATCAAAGGATAACCACAAAAAAGGTCCAATAAGGATACAGAAAAAATGAATGACAAAAAGCAATTAAGAAGTTTGATCTAATAGGTAAATATGAAGCAGTTCTTTATAAAACCAATTCCATGCTAGCTATAAAGTGAATTTTATCAAATTTAAAATCATCACTTCATACAGAACACATCTGAGCATAAAGCAAATTTTAGAAATAAAACTAATAGAAATCCATAATTTGGAAATTAAGAACAACTTGAAACAACCAATGGTTCAAGGAAAAATAGTGGAAATTAGAAAACGCTTAGACCTGAGTGGACTGGAAGTGTACATATTAAAATATGTGAAATGCAGCTAAAGTCACCTTTAGAGGGTAATTTATAGTCTTAAAATCTTGTGTTATGAAAGAAGAATAGCTAAAGATACATGGATTAAGTGACTAACGTGGAAAACAACGAACTGAATAAAGAGACCAGCCTGGCCAACATAGTGAAACCCCGTCTATACTGAAAATACAAAAATTAGCTGGGCGTGGTGGGGGGCACCTGTAATCCCAGCTACTTGGGAGGCTGAGGCAGGAGAATCACTTGAACCTGGGAGGCGGAGGTTGCAGTGAGCCAAGCTGGTGCCACTGCTCTCCAGCCCGGGTGACAGTGTGAGACTCTGTCTCTAAATAAATAAATAAGTAAATAAATAAATAAAAGGCAGGCAGTCATAAAGAGACAAAAGTAAAAAGAATCAACGAGGCCTACATTTGAAGAAAATGAAATTAGGGTAAAATTGATTTAAAAATAAGGCAAAGACACAAATGTTATTAGAAATTAAATGCATCATATGTTTTTAAGAAAACAATATTGTGAACAACTTTTGCCAGTAACTTTGAAAGTTTTTGTAAAATAAAGTACTACATAAAAATAAACTAAGCAAACTTAAAAAGCAACAGAAAACCTAAACAATCCTATAATCACTAAAATTCTTAAAGATTTGATTAAATAGTTGAAAATGTTCCCACATTTTACAGAAAAGGAAATAAGATGGTTAACACTCCCCATGGCAGTAGGTGAGGTGTGGGATGGGGAGGTGGTAAGGGACCTGCACCCAGGAGCAAAAAAAGGCAGGTGACTTAGTCTAATCTTCCCTTAAACATTCTAGTAACAGGCCTCCCAATTAATGAGCTAATAATGCTGTGGCTCCCAAACTGTACAGGAAGGTGCCCCGGGCACTGCAGGATATTGAAATACTGCTAGAAAACACAGTGATACTTGACATTTCTTGAGCAATCTGAAAACTCCTTGCCTGCAGTTCACATGTGACTTCATTCCTTTCATTCATGCTCCATCTTTGTAGAGCTGGGCTTTGGGGTGTGGTTGTAATAGAAAGCACCATTAACATCAGGCCGGGCATGGTGGCTCGCGCCTGTAATCCCAGCACTTTGGGAGGCCGAGGTGGGTGGATCACAAGGTCAGGAGTTCGAGACCAGCCTGGCCAACATGGTGAAACCGCATCTCTAATAAAAATACAACAAAAATTAGCCAGGCGTGGCGGTGGGCACCTGTAATCCCAGCTACTCGGGGGGCTGAGGCAGGAGAATTGCTTGAAGCCAGGAGGCAGAGGTTGCAGTGAGCCGAGATTGCACCACTGCACTTCAGCCTGGGTGACAGAGCAAGACTCCATCTCAAAAAAAAAAAAAAAAAAAAAAAAGCACCATTAACATCAATGGAGAACAAGGTATGAGTTGGGGAGGGTGGGGTCTAATCTGATTCCAGGGTTTAAGAGTGCATACATAGGCCTGGTGAGGTGGTTCACACCTGTAATTCCAGCATTTTGGGAGGCTGAGGTGGGAGGATAGCTTGAAGGCTGGAGTTCAAGGCCAACCTGGGCAAGAGAGGGAGATCCCACCTACAAAAAATTTAAAAATTAACCAGCCATGGTGGCACACCTGTAGTCTAAACTACGTGAGAGGCTGAAGCAGGAAGATCGCTCAAGCCCAGGAGATCAAGGCTGCAGTGAGCTCCTGCACTCTGTCCTCAAGCCTGGGCCATCACACTGCACTCAAGCCTGGGCGACAGGGCGAGACCCTGTCTCAAAAAAATGAAAAAATGGAGAGTATACATCCCATTAATAAGTAATTGTATTTAAGAATGAAAAGTGGCTTTTTTTTTTAGTTTATGGATACTATTATTCAAACTGCTACTAAACTGTTCGGACATAAACACTTACCAAGTTGTTTGAAATTCATTACCAGAGCTCGGGTATTTCTGTCAGCCTCAGAGAAAATGTGAAGAAACAAAGACACCAGGGGAACCATGAACCAAGAAAATCGGGGAACGTCTGGACCAAACGCTAGGAGTTCAGTCCTTACCTACAGAATGCTCTTCGTAGGACGTTTCTGACTTTAGAACTGCATTTGGTAAAAAGTCTAGAATCAATGCATTATGAGGCATGCTTTCCGGAAATGTCACCCAGCTGTGCAACTTGAGTGTAAAATGCAGGTGATTCACAACCTCGGTGCTTCCTGCTGTGTGCATGGATTGCTCACGCCTGCCTCGGGTTTCCTCCTGAGTCAGAAAGAGCAGGAAGGGCCAGGGGAGCCGGGCCAGATGCCCCGGGCCTCACTCTGCCCCATTTGTGCCTTTTCATTCCTTGTATTCCTACATTATTAGTAAAGCTTGACACTGGGCAAGATTTCTGATCTGTGTGGATGTAATTTGATTATCCATCCTCAACTTCATTAGTAATCAGGGAAATTCCCAAGAAAACTACAATATTGTTTTACATCTGCCAGATGAGCAAAACCAATTTTTTAATCCTAACAATACTAAAGTGTTGGTGAGAATATGGAACAGTAGAAAAATCTCAAAACACTGCTGGCAGGACTATAAACTGGCACACCCATTTGGGAAAACAATTTATGATCTAGTAAAATTAATTATGTGCATATTCCACGACACAGCAAGTCCACTTTGAGAAACTCTAGCACATGTATACTAGGTGATATGTACAACACGGTTCCCACCTTCACGGTTTATAATAGCAACCCAAATGTCCACTGTGGGAAAACAGATAAACTGTGGCCTATTTATATTTATACACATGGCATGCTGCACAATAGTGACACAAATAAGCAACAGCTACATACTGCAACGTGGGTGAAAATCACAGATATGCTACCGCAAGGCAAGGGAGAGGATGCGATTCGAAAACAAGCAAAAGAAAACACTATATTGTTTATGGCCGGGCACGGTGGCTCATGCCTGTAATCCCAGCACTTTGGGAAGCCAAGGCAGGCAGATCACCTGAGGTCGGGAGTTCGAGACCAGCCAGACCAACATGCAGAAACCCCGTCTCTACTAAAAATACAAAAAATTAGCTGGGCATGGTGGCGCATGCCTGTAATCCCAGCTACTCGGGAGGCTGAGGCCGGAGAATTGCTTGAACCCGGGAGACAGAGGTTGCAGTGAGCCGAGATCGTGCGATTGCACCCCAGCCTGGGCGACAAGAGCAAAACTCTGTCTCAAAAAACAAAAGAAAAGAAAAAGAAAACAGTATATTGTTTAGAGATATGAACGTATATGGGAGAAATCATAAAAGCGAGGAAAAGATGAACACAAAATCGGGATACTGGCTACCATCTCTGAGGGCCAGGGAGAGAAGGAAATTGGGGTTGGGCCCACAGGTGCTTCTGAGGTTTGATCAGCTTCTGGTTGTTAAGGTGGGCGGCAGATACAACAGGTGGTCACTTTAGTCTTTAAAATGTGCGTATACAAGTGTGTTATCGGCTGGGTGCGGTGGCTCACACCTGTAATCCCAGCACTTTGGGAGGCCAAGGCGGGCAGATCACTTGAGGTCAGGAGTTTGAGACCAGCCCAGCCAACATAGTGAAACTCCGTCTCTACTAAAATTACAAAAATTAACCGGGCATGGTAGTACACACTTGTAATCCCAGCTACTTGAGAGGCTAAGGCAGGAGAATCACTTGAATCAAGGAAGCGGAGGTTGCAGTGAGCTGAGATCATGCCACTGCACTCCAGCCTGGGCAACGGAGTGAGATTCCATCTCAGAAAATAAAAAAAAGTGTGTTATCTATACTTTTGTATGTATGATATATTCCACGGTTAAAAAACAGAATAGATTATGGAGACATAATACAAGGTGTTATGATCACCATGTAATAATGATTTTTTGGTAAGTTAATACGCATAGAAAAAAGAACAGAAGAAACGTCAACTGATAGCTGCAGTTATGCCCTGGCTGTGGCACTGTATCTCCTTCGTGTTTTCTACGTTATAGCTTTGTGTATTGAGCATATAGTTTTTGCAAGCTTTTTTTAAACTGAATTAATCTAAGTATATCAAGTATGGCACTGAACCATGCTACCCAATGTGTTTCCAGCTTCCCAGCAAGAGCTTCCCGATCATTCCCCATGTCCAGCACACAGGCCGCATATGCTTGAGGATACGGGAGTTGCTTTGACATGAAATAAAAAACAGCAAAATTTCTCACCTCATAACTGATAACTACTGGGTATCTATTTATCTCTATTCTAATCACATCCTTTTATATTTTAAAGTTCTATTTCTGGCTTTACTTCATCCTTTACTTTCCCTCCTCTTCCCATGGGCGTTTTAAAGAAAATCTCTAAAACAGGGCCTGGCATATATAGCAAGCATTCAATAAATACTAGTTCCCTCAGTACCATGCTGTGTCTTGAACGAGTTAACACAATCCTAGCTCCAGCTCTTAACACTAACTGAGGAGATCCCTTCTTGCCCAAACCTGCGCACTTTCGACGTAGAGTCCATAAGGTGGCAAGGGCCAATGGCAACAGGAAGGACAGGCATGCTTCCCATCCTCACTGCTCCCTGCCCACAGCCTTCTCCCAGCCCTGCTCAACCCCACCTTTGTCCTCTCCACATATACTAAGGGGTTATCTTAGCAAAGAAAGTACACATAAAGCTGACATGCTAGAAGCAACGCAATAATCACAACATTTAAATTAAATATTATGTAATGCTAACCATATACAACAAATAGAAATTTAATACAACAGCTGAGTGCAGTGGCTCACACCTGTAATCCCAGGACTTTGGGAGGCTGAGGTGGGTGGATCACAAGGTCAGGAGTTCGAGACCAGCCTGGCCAACATGGTGAAACCTTGTCTCTACTAAAAATACAAAAATTAGCTGGGTGTAGTGGCAGGCGCCTGTAATCCCAGCTACTTAGGAGGCTGAGGCAGGAGAATTGCTAGAACCCAGGAGGCGGAGGTTGCACTGAGCCGCGATCGCGCCACTGTACTCCAGCCTGGGCGACAGAGCAAGATTTCGTCTTGGAAAAAAAAAAGAAATTTAATACAACTAAATTTATTTTTAAAACAAAATAGTTTTCATATTCGCAACTTTAAAAGTTATAAATATTTAAAATATAATATTGGTTAAATACACACAAATCATTAATATTACTTACATTATATTATTACTCTTATGGGCTCTTCCAATGTTTTCACACCACCGATATTTACAAATATCATAAACCAGTAATTCTTCTGGGAAAAAGTAGTTCCAACGCCGAATTCCTAAAATGCAAATAATGTTTCTAAAGCTACTATCACTCTATCATATAACAGTTAACAAAGGATGAGATTAACTTTACCTCCTTTAATGCCATCTTTATTCACCAAAGAAAGAACAAAATGATCAACTTCAGGATAGGGAGAACACTGAAAACCTTCAATGGTTTCTACTGCAACAGAGAGAATGGTTTATAAATTACAATAGCTGAAAGTTGAGAAGTTAAATTTTGATTAAATGTTGTTGAGCACAATTACGGGTTTTGCAATCTCTCAGCCTTCCCTCACTCTTTGCAATTTCAGTCAATTCATGTTTGTGACACTACAAGGAAGCAGGTAAGATTCAAACCTCTCAATTAGGTCAAATGTTAACTAATTTCATAAAAAGCGTTTGAAATAATTTCAACTGCTGTCTTCATTTTGGCAAAGAGAAAGGCAGTCCCTCACGTCCATAACAGGCCTAGCTCCATCAGCCAGGTCTTGGTGTTGCCATGCACTAGCCTGGCACGCCTACCTCAGCCGGGCATTCTCCTGTGAACACAGGCAATCTCACAGAACTTCAACAACAGATAAGGCCCCTGTGGTCATGAGGACTCAAGGCACAAAGATAACCACTCTGTAATCATGTCCCAACACAGGCAAAACAGGAACATCTTCCAAACCACAAACATGACCAACACCCCCGATCCCAGCTAACAGAAGCAACTGCTGGTTTTTTTGTTTGTTTTTTTTAACAAAGTACAGTGTTAATTTCTATTCTGATTTCCTTTCAGTTAAGCTTTACTAAGAAAACCAGTCCTAGAATTGTCCCTAACAACACCCAACTCAGAACAAACCCCAAACTTCCTGGTATACTCCCCCAAGCCACCCATTCCAAGCCCAAATCCAATCCTCCCGGTCCTTTCCAACCTCCTCTTCCCAAGATGCCCCACTTTACTGAAGTTTCCCATGGTGTGTGCTCACCATTGCTTTCCTGGCAATACACTCAGCTGACCTGCTACAGGTGTGTGCCCTGAGACCTTTAGCTGGAAGGTACTGACAATACAATTATATTTTCTATCTAAAAAGCTACTGTAGTAATTTAGAATGACCTATTTTAAATATCATTTAATTTTTTTTTTTTCTTGAGACAGAGTCTTGCTCTGTTGCCCAGGCTGGAGTGCAGTGGCGCGATCTCGGCTCACTGCAAGCTCGGCCTTCTGGGTTCAAGCGATTCTCCTGCCTCAGCCTCCTGAGTAGCTGGGATTACAGGCGTGCAACACCACGCCTTGCTAATTTTTGTATTTTTAGTAGAGACGGGGTTTCACTGCATTGGTCAGGCTGGTCTTGAACTCCTGACCTCATGATCCGCCTGCCTTGGCCTCCCAAAGTGCTGGGATTACAGGCGTGAGCCACCGTACCCAGCCAGTATCATTTAATTTTTAAGGACAAGAATCTAGTTTGCTTTAAATGAAGTTTATGTTTCACTTACTAAAATAATATATATAATTGGAGAAATATTGAAAAATATATTAATGTGGAAATGTGAGAGGCAGACTCTAAATCAATGTCTATAAATACATATAAGACAAGAAAATAAACATAAGAAAATTTATCCATATTTTAAAGCTTGTAATCATACCATACACATAATTTTAGAGACTAGTTTTTCTTTTAACATCACAAATGGGTGTTTTCCACATTATACAGGCTTCACAAATTTAAATTTAACAGCTAGAGGATTTCATAGTATATAACCAATTCAATTTTGTTGTACATTTAGATTGCTGTCAGTTTTTTGCTATTATAAATAACAATATATGAAAATATGTGTATAAAAATGTTTACTGGAGGGCTTATGTAAGAAATCTTTGAAAAAAACACTCTATGTTCTTCAGTAGAGGAATGGGTAAGTTATGACAGAGCTATACCATGAAAAACTATACAACCATTAAAAGACTGAGGAAGATCTCTCTCTATATATAGGAAATATAGGAAACGCTCTTCTAGGTTAAATAGCAAATGATTGCAGTGGTTACCTGCCTTTGATCATGGACAGAAGAGTGAAAAAGAACTTTACATTTTCATTTTGTTAACCTACATTATTTTTGTAGTTTTTTGAAAAACACCATAAAATGAAAATTAGTGAAATTAGTGAATAATACTTTTTTTTTTTTTTTGAGATGGAGTCTCACTCTTGTTGCGCATGCTGGAGTGCAATGGCACAATCTCAGCTCACTGCAACCTCCGCCTCCCAGGTTCAAGTGATTCTCCTCCTCAGTCTCCTGAGTAGCTCGGATTACAGGCACCCGCCACCATGCCCTGCTAATTTTTATATTTTTAGTGGTTTCACCATGTTGGCCAGGCTGTTCTCAAACTCCTGAACTCAGGTTATCTGCCCGACTCAGCCTCCCAAAGTGCTGGGATTAGAGGCATGAGCCACCACGCCCAGTGAATAATACTTCTTAATAAACATCTTTCTCATACTTTTTCCATTTGAGATAGAAAACCTGAAGTAGATTACTGATTGATTAATTGATTAATTGACTGGTTGAGACAGGGTCTGATTCTGCTGTCCAGGCTGGAGTGCAATGGCACCAACAAGACTCACTGTAGCTTCAACCTCCTGGCCTCAAGAGATCCTCCTGCCTTAGCCTCCTGAGTGGCTGGGACTACAGGCATGCACCACAATTCCTGGCTAATTTTTGGATTTTTTGTAGAGATAGGGTTTTGCTAAGTTGCTCAGGATTGTCTCTAACTCCTGGGCTCAAGTGATCCTCCCGCCTCAGCCTCCCAAAGTGCTGGAATTACAGGTGTGAGCCCCTGTGCTTGGCTAGAGGTAGTTTTTGAAAGGTCAGTGATTATGAACACTTAACACTGAAGATTTTAAAGGCAAAACAGATTCTGTACCCTTACATTTTGATAGGAAATTATTTTTTAAAAATTACCTGAAGTAGCTGGGTGCAGTGGCTTGCACCTGTAACCCCAGCATTTTGGGAGGCTGAGGCAGACAGATCGTTTGAGCCCAGGAGTTTGAGACCAGCCTGGGCAACATGGTGAAATCTCATCTCTACTAAAAATGCAAAAATTATCTGGGCGTGATGGTGCACACCTGTAAACCCAACTACTCCGGAGGCTGAGGCAGGAGATGGCTTGAGCCTGGGAGGAGGAGGCTGCAGTGAGCCGAGATCGCACCACTGCACTCCAGCCTGGGTGACAATGAGAGATGCTGTCTCAAAAAGAAAAACAAACATCAAAAAATTTACCTGAAGTGCCGATACTGTTAAAATATCCAACTCCTTTTTGTTTATTCTGAGATGGCTCACATGTAAGAATTCGTAAAGTATCTGAGAACCTGAAGAAGAAATAGGTAAAAGAAACAAAGCACCATCACACTGGAACTAACAAGGCCTGGCTACAGAAAGGACACTGAATTCCTAATAGTTCCTCATTAAAATCCTTTGTTCAGCAGATAATTGTTCTAGGACATTTATGCCACATTTGCCCACAAAACCACAAACCCTACACATATAAAAAAAATATGATTTGTCAATTAAAGAAAATAATTTTTTTAAAAGAGTAGGTTGGTGATTACTTATAATACTATCCTTAATTACAGAATGGATCAGGGGACTCTAGGACTGCTGAAGCCCTGTGTCCATGGTTTCTTATCTGCAGATTCAACCAACAGCAGATCAAAAGTATGTTTTTTAAAAAACAATAAAAATAGGCCAGATGCAGTGGCTCACGCCTATAATCCCAGGACTTTGGGAGGCTGAGATGGGCCGATCACTTGAGGTCAGGAGTTTGAGACCAGCCTGGCCAACATAGTGAAACCCCTGTCTACTAAAAATACAAAAATTAGCTGGGCATGGTGGCAAACGCCTGTAATTCCAGCTACATGGGAGGCTGAGGCAGAAGAACTGCTTGAACCCAGGAGGCAGAGGTTGCAGTGAGCTGAGATTGCACCACTGCACTCCAGCCTGGGAGACAGAGTGAGATTCCATCTCAAAAAAATAAGTAAATAAGTGAAAATAAAAATAAAAAAACAATAAAAATAATAAAAATAATACAAATTAAAAACAATATAGTATAACAACTATATAGCATGTGCACTATATTAGGTATAGGTAATCTAGAAGGATTTACAGTATTATATAGGGAGGATGCGTGTGGGTTACGTGAAAATAGTACATCCTTTTATATCTGCAGATTTTTGTATCCACAGGGACCTTGGAATAATAATCACCCACAGACACCAGGAGACGACTATATAACTCTATTCACCAAACACAAAGAGCCTTTGAATTTTTTGTTACAACAATTTTAGAGGTGTGACTTATAGGAAGAAATGAAGAAAGAAGGAGGGGTGAGAGCAAAGGGGAAAAACAGATTAAAATTAACGGAAAGAAAAGGTACATTCATAACCATAAAGGATTTAGCCTTTATTTCAAGAAGTAAACTACCTGGTATTTACTTGGAATACACAAAAGACAAGGTAACTGTATTCAGTAGAAGAACCCTCCACCTCTGTAAGATTCATATTTAAACTGCGAAAGAAACGAGATTGGGTAATCGGGAGATTACCTGCACTTCGGGCTGTAGTTGCTTTTCCCATATGAGCTAGAACTAACAATGTTGCTTTTCACACTTCTCCATACGTGGCAGAAAGAATGTGACCTTATTCTGGTGCCAATAGGGTGTGGCAGGAATTACACAATTTTTACACTCCTGCTACGGCACTTTGCACTTCAGAATCCCGGATCTACTACTGCTACCAACAACATTCACTGAGCAGATGTCATGGGCTGGGCACAGCTGTAAATGTTTTATGTGCAGTTTTAACTTTTTAAATCCTCTCGACAACTCCGTAAGATAGGTGTTAGTATCACTTCCATTTAAAAGTAGGAAACTCAGACCTTACTTCTGAGACATGTTATTAAAGAACTCAAAGAGTACAAATATACTTATATATATATATGAAGAAAAACAATCCATCTTCCACCCTCCTGGGTAACGGCTGTTAACTGTACAACCTGATACCTACAGCAATGTATTTTAGACAATTACTAAAATTAATTTCTAGAGAATCTTTCCTTAAAATTATATTTAAGTGGCCGGGCACGGTGGCTCACGCCTGTAATCCCAGCACTTTGGGAGGCCAAGGTGGGCAGATCACATGAGGTCAGGAGTTTGAGACCGGCCCCCCCAACATGGGGAAACCCCATCTCTACTAAAAATACAAAAATTATCTGGGTGTGGTGGCACACACCTGTAGTCCCAGCTACTTGGGAGGCTGAGGCAGGAGAATCGCTTGAACCTGTGAGGCAGAGGTTGCAGTAAGCTGAGATCGCACCACTGCACTCCAGCCTAGGCCACAGAGCAAGACTGTCTCAAAAAAAAAATTATATTTAGAAAGGCAAAAGGAAAAGAATTATGGCAAGTTGATGGTAATTTAGTCTGAACCTTAACCATGTTTTGGGCTGAAAAAGTTGCCAGCCTAGAAAAACAGGGAATGAAGGCAAATACAGTTAAGTCCTCACTTAAGGCCATGGATAGATTCTTGGAAACTGCAACTCTAAGAGAAATGACATCTAGCAGGTCTTTGAATAATGTTGTTTTGTTCAACATCATTTCCTTATAACGGCAGTCCCCAACCTTTCTGGCACCAGGAACCGGTTTCCTGGAAGACAATCTTTCCATGGGTGGGGCAGGGGCAAGGTGGGCTGGTTTCAGGCTGAAACTGTTCCACCTCAGATCATCAGGCATTAGATTCTCATAAGGAGTGTGCAACCTAGATCCCTCCCATGTGCTGTTCACAGCAGGATTTGCACTCCTATAAGAATCTAATGCCACTGCAGATCTGGCAGGAGGCGGAGCTGAGGTGGGAAGGTGGTATTGCTCGCTCGCTCGCCTACTGCTCACCTCCTGCTGTGGGGTCCAGTTCCCACCACAGACCACTGGTCTGTGACTCAGGGACCACTACCTTCTAACATGGATGAGAAAAACAACTGGATTCATCACACATTATTTAAAGTTCAGTTTCCAATAACTTATCAACATCAAATGAAGACTTACTATAGTATTTCTGTTGAAAGATGACTTTCACAGATTTTATTTTTATTTATTTATTTATTTTAGTTTTTAGCAATGGGGTCTCACCCTGTCACCCAGGCTGGAGTGCAGTGGTGCATTCATAGCTCACTGCAGCTTTGAACTCCTGGGCTCAAGTGATCCTCCTACCTCAGCCTCCTGGGTAGCTGGGACTACAGGCACATGCTACTGTGCCTAGCCAACATTAACACTTTTAAAAAATGATCAAAACATGGGAACCTAAAGGCTCAACAATAGAACTCACAATAAATTCCAGTGTCAATATAATGGAAATTTACATAGGCATTAGAAGTTTTATTTACAATTAATTGTTGGCAAATTCTTAACAAATATTCATAAAATCAAGTAGAAAAAACAAATGACAATCATTTAAATAATAATCTCAGAATATTTTTTGATTAAAGGAGCTATACAAATTATATGTATGTGCATACATGAAAAGAAAATGAGACATTTTAATAGTAAAATATTTCCAAATGCAATACCAGTAGTATTGTTTTCTTCTTTACAGAAGTGATAATCATTTTAGAAA